>NC_000005.10:116170413-116473443 GCF_000001405.40 Homo sapiens
AGTAATTTGTAGATTCAGTGCCATCCCCATCAAGCTACCATTGAACTTCTTCACAGAATTAGAGGAAACTACTTTAAATTTCATGTGGAACCAAAAAAGAACCCGTATAGCCAAGACAATCCTAAGCAAAAAGAACAAAGCTGGAGGCATCACACTACCTAACTTAAAACTATACTACAAGGCTACAGTAACCAAAACAGCATGGTACTGGTACCAAAACAGATATATATACCAGTGGAACAGAACAGAGGCCTCAGAAATAATGCCACACATCTACAACCATCTGATCTTTGACAAACCTGACAAAAACAAGGAATGGGGAAAGGGTATTCTATTTAATAAATTATGTTAGGAAAACTGGCTAGCCATGTGCAGAAAACTGAAACTGGACCCCTTCCTTACACCTTATATAAAAATTAACTCAAGATGGATTAAAGACTTAAACATAAGACCTAAAACCATAAAAACCCTAGGAAAAAATCTTGGCAATGCCATTCAAGACATAGGCATGGGCCAAGATTTCATGGCTAAAACACCAAAAGCAATGGCAACAAAGGCCAAAATTGACAAATGGGATCTAATTAAACTAAAGAGCTTCTGCACAGCAAAAGAAACTATCATCAGAGTGAAAAGACTAGCTACAGAATGAGAAAAATTTTGCAATCTGTCCATCTGAGAAAGGTCTAATATCCAGAATCTACAAATAACTTAAATAAATTTACATGAAGAAAACTGCATCAAAAAATGGGCAAAGGATAGGAACAGACACTTCTTAAAAGAAGACATTTATGCAGCCAGCAGACATACGAAAAAAAGCTCATCATCAGTGGTCATTAGAGAAATGCAAATCAACATCACAATGAGATACCATCTCACGCCAGTTGGAATGGCGATCATTAAAAAGTCAGGAAACACCAGATGCTGGAGAGGGTGTGGAGAAATAGAAATGCTTTTACACTGTTGGTGGGAGTGTAAATTAGTTCAACCATTGTGGAAGACAGTGTGGCGATTCCTCAGGGATCTAGAACCAGAAATACCATTTGATACAGCAATCCCCTTACTGGGTATATACCCAGATGATTATAAATCATTCTACTATAAAGACACATGCACGTGTATGTTTATTGCAGCACAATTTACAATAGCAAAGACTTGGAACCAACCCAAATGCCCATCAATGATATACTGGATAAAGAAAATGTGGCACATATACACCATGGAATACTATTCAGCCATAAAAAAGGGTGAGTTTATGTCCTTTGCAGCATCATGGATGAAGCTGGAAACCATCATTCTGAGCAAAGTAACACAGGAACAGAAAACCAAAGACTGCATGCTCTCACTCATAAGGGGGAGTTGAACAGTGAGAACACATGGACACAGGGAGGGGAACATCACACACTGGGGCCTGTCACGGGTGTGGGGCTAGGGGAGGGATAACATTAGGAGAAATACCTAATGTAGATGACGGGTTGATGGTGCAACAAACCACCATGGCACGTGTATACCTATGTAACAAATCTGCATGTTCTGCACATGTATCCTAGAACTTAAATTATAATAAAAAAATCTGTCCGTTGTTTTGTGAATTATCATATTTAAACTCAGTTTCTGGTGGTTGATGTCCAAAATAAGATTTTGCTTAGTGGTATGTCCAGAGCTTACAGAAGAATAACCAAAGGCTGGAAAAATATATCTTTCAGCCCAGCAACTTTATTATAGTACATATGGTAAACTGTGTAGAATGTTAAGGAAACATCCCATATTGGCTTACCAGCTGCTATTTTTATGGCAAGATTTTATTTAATATGTAAGGCTGGAGGGAGGTGTGAGAGGAAAGTAAAGAAAAGCTTTGGATTATTAAAGGTGTGGGAAAGCTATTTACACTGCTTCAGGGATAAATAGGAGGGAAGGAGTACTCAGACAGAGGGAGCGAGTGATTATATGAAGAAAAATACTATGATGATACTAATTGTGTTTTGTAGGAATATGGATGCTGCCTCTTTGTCTCTAAATGTGCTACCCTGAATTACAAGTTACCTTTGGCTTTTTGATTCTACAAAATCATAGGAGCTCCCTGAAATCTGGAGCATTTGCTCAGACTATTGCTTTCTGTTATCTACCCTAGGTCGGAAATATTTAAGTGTTTTTTCTTCAGTCCTACAGAGTTTTAGTCTGATACTTTAGAAAACAGAACTGAGTTCCTATTCGAAAAGATTTACTCACAGTGTTTTGTGTTATAAAGTCATACTCCAGGGTATCTTTTAGAGCAACAGCCCTGAACCAGGCTAAGAGGCATGGAGAAGAGCAGCACAGGGCTTCTGAATCCTGGCTGTGCATAGATGTGGGTTAAAATTAAAATATTACTAACCTTTCCTCATCTGAGATAGTAAGATTTTGGAGCTTGAATTCTTCATGCTTTTTAATTACAAAAAATACGATGAAATTTCAGTGTTCTTGCAAAAATTTGACTAATACAAGAATTGACAATATGAGAGGATGTCTTTAATAATTTTATGTAACACAATCAGATCTTTAACTTTTGCTCATGTAAAGTTTATAAAATTTAAACTGCTTAAAATAATGGCAGTATTAGAATACTGAGATTCATAATAATGTAAATTAACACATATAACCCTTTTTTCTGTTTGTATATTATCTTTTAATATATAATGAAAATGTTTAGGTAGTAAATACTAAGGTTAAGGTAAAGTCATATAATCTTAATTCATCTAACAGCTGCCTGTTGTTTCATATTTATTCCATTTTTGAAGTAGTTTACAAATGAAAAAAATTGTATGAATGCCTTGGCATTAAACAGCAGTTCTTGGAAATCAGGAAATTCCTAAGTTATACTTCCTCTAGCAGTGATATATCAGCGTTATTTCTATGAGTTTAGTTATATTCAATTTTCCAGTTATATATACACCTTTAAAGTGTTATATAAGCCAATTTAAGCAAGTTAGTATTAGAGTAGAAGTGTAAACTTTGGAATTTCCTGATTTTTAACATTTTACTTTCTATGTTATTTTGGTGAACTGGATCATGCAACTTAATTTATACAGTTAGTATGAATATACTTACAAAGAGCTAGATTTTATTTTCAGCCATCACATTATGAATAGCTTTTTTTAAAAAAGACTATTTCATCCTCTATAATGAAGTACTTAGTGTTTGCCATTCACTTTTGGTAGCTTTTAATTTTTACCTCTTCAGCTATGATCTGAAGTCATTCCAAAAGTTATGGTCTGTTCTATGTCTTCAGTAGAGAGTTATAGTTTCATAAATTATCCACCTGCTCTAGATGCGTTGTAGAGATACAAATAGAATTGCACATACTAACTGCAGAAGCCAAAGCATTGGGTATCACCTTCCTTGTTAATCCATTTTTTTTCCAACTGTTTTTGGGTTTTTGTTTTGTTTTGTTTTGTTTTTGTTTTTTTTTTTTTGGAACAAGGACAGTCATAATATAGTAATATGAATTCATTCCTTAATTCTTTATTCAACAAACATCTATTGAAAATATGCCATGTGCCATATACTTCCAGGTATTGAAGATACAGCAGTAACCAAAGCAAAGTCCTTCTCTCTTAGAGCATTCATTCTAATAAGTGGAAAAAGAACATAGATTGAATAAGTGTATACTCTATCAGGTTGTGATTAACACTATGAAGAAAAATTAAGTAGGATATGGAGATGGAGAGCAATAACGGTACTATTTTAGGGAAGGCTTTTCTTCCTGATAATACCTAACTGGATACCTGAAAAAGATGTGCATGTCTTAAGGAAAAACAATCCAGTAAGTAAGAACACCAATTGCAAAGGCCCTGAGATGGAAGTGTGCTTGCTAAATTCCCAGAAGGAGGCCAGTGTGGCAGGAGTAGAGTATGTGGGAAGAGAGGTTCAGATGATAAGGTGAGAGTAATAATGGGTATGGGAGGACATGGAATTCTGTATTGCCTTATAGGACTTGGTAAAGACTTTGAATTTTCCTCAAAATGGAGGATGTTGAGCAGAAACATACATGTTCTGAATTATAGTCTACAAGGATCACTATAGCTACTGCACAGAAAACAGATTGCAAGGGAGCAATGATATAACTGATGGATAATCAATTAGTAGAATAACCATTCAGTCACGAGATGGTAGTGGTTTAGACCAGAATGATGATGGTGGAGGTAGTGAAAGGGGAATTCCAAAATACTTTGAAGGGAATATGGTAGGATTTGTTGGTTAGATACAAAGTGTGAGATAAAGTGAGTCATTAAAGATAACCCCAAAATTTACCTGGATAACTTGTGTCTCTCTTACTTGCCTATAGTTGTCTTTACAGAAATCCTTTCCTAACCATGTTGGATCTTCTCTAGGTAGTAGCCACTCTTACTCAATTTTTAATCAAAGCTAACAGTTGTCCTTGAAGTCTATTAATGTGTCCTATTTTAACTTCTCTATAAAGAAATGGTCAGTTTCTAAATGTTTACCAAAGTTTGAAACTCCTTTAAGCAATTTAAAACATAAGATTAACTTTTCGTTTTTTTAAATAATTGTACCTTATGGCAGATATAATATAGCTTGCTGACTAAGAGATGTGGAGAACCAGTTTGCTGGGGAACAGAGCTCTTTGTGATCTTTCATAACTATTTCCTTTACTTCCTGAATGTCTTTCTAAATGCCACATTCAGAGTGGACTTTTCTCACCACCACATTTAAAACACTCCCGCATTACTTTCTATCTCCTTACCTTGTTTTATTTGTCTCAGTTGTATTTAATATATGATATATATATTTGTTTTTTATTTTTGTGTCTGTATCACCTCACTAAAATACAAATTTCTTAAGGGCAGTGGCTTTAAAAAAAAATTGCTGCAGCTCAGTGGGCTAGGTAGTTAGTAACTTACTATAAATGAATTGAATGAATAGATGGTTTTAAGTAGATGTCCTTATGTCACATAATGGGTGTTTATTAAATGGCAGCATGAAAAGAATAATGGGTATCCTTGTACATTACCGGTGGCAATGAATGTAAAATTGTATAGCCACTCTGGAAAACAATATGGCAGTTCATAAAAAATTATACATAGAATTACCATATGACCTAGCATTGCTACTTCTGAGTGTATATTCAAAAGAATAGCAAGGACTCAGATATTTATCCACCCATGTTTGTAGCAGCAGAATTCACAATAGCCAAAAGGTGGAGGCAACCCAAGTATTTATTTGGCAGATGCATGGATAAGCAAAATATGGTATATATATGCAACGGGATATTATTCGGTCATAAAAAGGAATGAAATTCTGCCATACGTTGCAACATGGATGAAACTTGAAGACATTCAGCTAAGTAAAATAAGCCAGTCACAAAAGGACAAATGTGGTATGATTTTATTTTATGAGGTACATAGAGCGGTCAAATTCATAGAGACAGAAAGTAGAATGGTAGTTGCTAGAGGCCAGGGGGAATGAGGAGTAGGGAGTTATTGTTTAATGGGTACAGAGCTTCAGTTAAAGAAGATGAAAAAGTCTGGAGATGGATGGTGGTGATGGTTGCACAACAATATGAATGTACTTGTTGCCACAGAACTGTACTCAAAATGGTTAATTTGGCAAATTTTATGTTATGTATATTTTACCACAATTTAGAAAAAAAAATGTTCTGAGCTTGAATGTCACATTCACCTTGTTGGCTTTTTGGACTTATTCACTGTTTGTTTATTTGTTGAGATAGATTGTCTTTGTCTCCCAGGCTGGAGTGCAGTGGCACGATCTTGGTTCTCTGCAACCTCCACCTACAAGATTCAAGCAATTCTCATGCCTCAGCCTCCTGAGTAGCTGAGATTACAGGCATGTGCCACCACGCCTAGCTGATTGTTTTTCTATTTTTAGTAGAGACAGCGTTTGCCAGGCTGACTAGGCTGGACTGGAATTCCTGGCATCAAGTGATCCACTCTCGTCGGCCTCCCAAAGTGTTGGGATTACAGGTGTGAGCCACCGTGCTCAGCCTGGACTTATTCACTGTTCTGCTTTAGGCTTTTACAAATAGAATCTAAAACATTTAACCTAACATCTGAGATGTGGGTTTACCACTGTTATTCCAAGTCCTTTAATTTTGTATGTCTTCATTTTAAAGTCCCTAAGTTCATGTTATTAATGGTTATTTTCCTATATGTTTTACTTTCTCATGTATATAAAATTCATATTTTAAAGTCTTAAATTCTGTTTTCTGATGTTGAGGGTCCTATAAGGTTGTACTCTTAATGGGTGGCTTACTTTCATTTTCTCATTTAATTATTATTTTTAAAAAATTTCCTAGTTATTGATTCTCATGTTATTTCTTATGATTGTTGTCAGTATCTCCCTAAATCTAATAAGGAGACAGAAACCACAAAGTAATTTTAAACAGGGGAAGTTTAATATAAAGAATTAGAAAGCTATGATACGTGAGTAACTATAAAAGTGTAAAGAGAACTGTAACAAACATACTAGGCCTGAAGGAGGAGAGTATTTAAGGAAAAGAACAACTTGGAAGAGGGTCCTTCCCCAAAGTTAGAGTTCAGACCTTGTTAGAGAAGGTACAATCTGCTAAGGCCAGAGTTGGTCTGTAGTTGCTGGGCAAGCAGGAAACAATCTTTTGGGGGTGCAGTCAAGCTGAGGCTCCTGGATGGGCTTGCAAAGGTAGTCACAGTGCCACTGATAGGTAGCATGTTCTAGATCACGTACTATTGTGTTGGAAGAGCCTCAGAGTGGTGATTAAGACAGGGATCCAGTGGACAAAGTGTCTTAATGGAGATGGGAAACTTGGGAGGGGTTGATTGTATTGGGTGGACCAGAAATAAGCTGGGACATTTGGAATGGGTTTTGAGAAAGGAAAGAAAGAGACAGCTTTCTCTCTCATCTTCATATGTTTAAAATACATGTAAATGTAAATGCTCTTTGCATTAATATCTTTTCATCTTCATTGCTTCAACTGAAGCTTTTATTATCTCCATCCTAAGGGACTGCATTATTCTCCTAATTTATCTTCCTGCCTTCAGAATCTTCCTCTTCCAACCTAGTGTCATTTTTCTAAAACAAAGTTCTGATATGATACTTTCCTGCTTAAAATGTCTAAGTGACCCCCCCCACCCCACTGCAGAATAATGTGACTTTGTAGGATCAGATCTCTGCCTACTCTGTTAGTTTCTTTTCATCCCACTTTCCCATAGTCATCCTAGGAACTTTCTGTATTCAATTTTTCAAAGATTTTCAAGCATCATTTTCTTCTCCTTTGCATATTTTGTCCCTTCTCTTCTCCCTTACCTTTGCGTCTGGAAAAATCTATCAATCCTTTAAAACTTATATGCTACCTTGTTTGCCCAAACCTTTCTCAGTACTAAGTGGCCATTTCACTTTGAACATGCTTTCATTTGTATATGTATCTCTCATCCCACTTCATACTGAGTTTTGTTTCCTTATTCATATTTTTCCTTTTGGAATTTACACAGCACATAGTGGGTGCTTAATAAACGTTTATTATCTGAACAAATAAACCTGCATACTTGGCTTTAATATTCTTTTACTCAGATAATATGAGCATGTACCTTAACTTAAAAAGATAGGGTTCAGAATGGTACACACTATACTTGAGAGTTATTTGGGCTCTTTTGTGTTTTCTGCCTGTAAAAGAAATAAATACTTCATTTTCCTAATGTTTAGGTATTTAGCTGTATGATAGATAAAGCAAGTTAGAGATAAGGAAAGTAAGGTGAAAATGAGCCAACTGCTTAAATGAATGATGGAGTTGAGATAGAAACCACTTCATTTTGGATTGTCTTCTTTTATTCTCATTAGTATTATAAGATTGCTTAGATAAGTATTTATTTATTGAGCCTCTACTATGTAACAAACATTGTGTTAGACCTGTGATTCTAGGTTCTTTCCCACTTCTTAAGATTCTGCGATTAATTAGTAAGATTAAAGCCTTAAACAAAACTTACTTTATAAAATTGTTCTAAAGTATATGATTACATTACATATTTGGAGTTATTATAAAGTTACTATCAAATTAACGGATAATAAAGTACAATAAAATCCCTGAAGGCACCAAAAATGTATCTTGGGTATGCAAATGTAAATGTGTAAATATTTATAATTTTAAAAATGTGTGCATAACTATAATAACGGGGATGATGCCCCCTATTTGAGTTCCTGTCCCTAAAAACATTCACTATTCTAATTCCTAAGAAGCACTTAATATTATAGCATCAGGAGATATATCATCTCAGGCCAAGTTTACTTTCTAGCCTAGATGGGCCTTTTGCAGTTAGTTGACTCTGCTTTTCTTAGCAGCATTAAGGAAAGTTGGTTTATAATAAGGTTTTAGCACAAAAGTTAATGCCCTGATTTATTCTCAGAAGTGGTTAGCTGTAGTTGATGCAGATGGCCACTAGAATGTATTCATATAAACATCTTCCATTCCAAAATGTTAAGAAAATATAACATTGTATACCTTAATTATTCAATTACATTAGATACATGTTATTTAATAATATACCTGAACCAGAGGCTTAGGGATTTCAGACGCTCTGTGTTAAAGGAATACAAAATAAGCTTGTTTTAAAATGTAATACATCATGCTTCTGTCCCCATGTTTACCTATGTAATTTTATGATTCCATAGGTAAAATAGCTGAAAGAGAACCATTATGTTATCAAACACTGTGTCATGCTTGCTGAGTTTGCAAAAATGTAAAACGTACAATGTGTAACTTTTATCTTCAGGAAGTTTATAACCTAATAAATAAGATTCAATACACATAAAACCTTTAATGTACGATTAAGTGATAAAGTATTAAGACTATAAGTGTTGTGGGAGTTAAATAATTTTAAAACAGATTTTAGGAATAATCTAATATCTCATTTTATTGACGAGGAAACAAAAGTCTGGACTAGCTGTTTAACTCAAAAATCTGCCCAGAGTTACACTACTGGATAATGTCAGAACCAGACTAAGAACGCAGGTTTCCTGACTTTGGCCTGGTACTCTTTCCATTCGTAAATACCCACGAGCCTGTGTGGAATGGGCTTGATTCAAAGCATGTAGAAGAAATGAGACATTGAAGGTTATGGGTAGGTGGTGGGGAGAAGAGCTGTTCCACAATGGAAGGAACAAGAAGGAAGCTTAAAAGACCTGGCACAGAGCATAAGGAATGGCCTAATGAGAGTAGAAGGTATACAATAGGAATTAATTTCAGTTAGTAACCTGGGCCTGGATTGAAGCAGTCCTTGCAAACCAGGTAGTTTTTATGGGATAGGCACCAGAATGCTTTTATAGATTTCTTGAGCAGGATGACTTGATAAAAATTATATCAGTTTTATCAACTGGAAGGTCAGTGTGATGGTAACCATGAAAGATTGAAGTAATATTGAGGCAGGAAAAGGTAGTAGTAGTAGGAATGAAGTAGAAAACTCAAATCTACAAGACATTTCTTGGGGGAAAATGATTGGACGAGATGGCAGTTTTCTATAGAAAATAAAGGTAAGAAGAGTGTAGCAAGCAGAATGCTATTTCCATGGACAGAAATAAAATAACTTGGAAGGAGGGCTGGGATGAATTGAGGTTTTTTGTTGTTACTCTTGATATTAAAAAGATTATTACTCAGTATTAAAGCTTACTGTAAAATATAGGATTTTAGGTTTTTGAGAGCTTTCCATATCTTTGGACAGTCAATACTGAAATTTTTGAATTTAGGGTTAATTGATTATATCTGTTGTATACACTTAGAGACGCTTGGGTTACCTCTGTACATTTTCAGTTATATGTATAAAACATTTTTGAATGGAATAATACGTACATTCAGGTTTATAGAAACCTTGATGGATATGATTTAATACAAATTAGCAATAGTATATCTAAATTTGTAATTGTCACTGATCCATTGCTTAGGATATATTTTAAAATATGTTCACTAAATTCTGTTTTCAGTTAAGTTATTCATTTATCTTTTGTTTAGGTCCTAGGCCACTGAAATGGAGTACAAGAGAAGTGGGTATTTTTTCTAATTTGATTTTTTTCCTGTATTAGTGTTGGGATAATGGATTTGTATTTCATACATAATTTTAAGTGCCTCATATTTTTAATAATAGTTGCCTAGACAATACAATTTATTGTGAAATTTTCTATTAGCAGTTCATTCTAAATGTTTAAGAAATTATACGTTTTTCTCTTTTTGTGACCTTCAATCTTAAAAGTTTATTTGAAAAACGAATTTAGTGAAACCAAAATTAAAAAAAAATAAACTCCCTAACTAAAAAAATATATTCTTAAAACTATTTTTATAAAATCAATTTTTTTGACTTGGGATCATTTAGGGGGATCGCATATATTGTAGTATATCAGCTATTGACGACATTTTAATTCTTATCATTTTAATGAGTTTTTTGTTGTAATTTTTAGGAGAAAATGATGAAATGCTTATTTAAAAAGTCTTTATTAGGCTCATGTCTCTCATCCCAGCACTTTGGGAGGCTGAGGCGGGCAGATTGCCTGAGCTTAGTAGTTCGAGACCAGCCTGGACAACATGGTGAAACCCTGTTTCTACAAAAATTACCTGGGCATGATGACACACACCTGTAGTTCCAGCTACTTGGTGGGCTAAGGTGGGAGGATCACTTGAGCCTGGGAGGTTGAAGCTGCAGTGAGCTGAGATTGTGCCACTGTACTTCAGCCTGGGCGACAGAGTGAGACCCTGTCTCCAAAAATTATAAAATAAAAAAGTCTTTATTATTATTGCTGTACTTTCATTTTAATTAGAAATCTGTTTCTGTAGTGTACTTCTCTGTTGGATTACATTGAGATCTCTGGAAGTAGTATGTGAATGTATGGTCAGTTGATAATATGTGAATTCTAAATGCTGAAATTTATGCTTTTGGGGTGTTTGTTTATCAGTGTTCTTATTATTGACCAAGATTATGCTTTATATCTTCTATCTTCTGAAGTTGTGTGAAATAGTGATACAATACAAATTAAAGCTGAGCTGGTGTTTTACATCTAGTATGAAAGAAATTAGCAGAAATCAGAGCAGTTTAAACCTATCTACATTATTGCTACTGAGTTTTGAGTCATAGATTTTTTTAAAAAGTATGAAACATGGTTAATCATAAAAATCCACATAAAGAAGGAAATAATAATAGGAAGTCTGTTTTGTCGAATTCTAGAAATATTTTTAGAGAACTATTATTTTGAAATGTGCAGGATGCTTCTGGTCCAAGGACCATACTTTGAGAATCATTGTTATAAATCATGGTGGAACCGTTTGACCTAATCAAAATTAAAATGAGAAGGAAGGTTTTTTAATTTAAGAAAGTTATCTTTAACTTCTGGCAACATGATCTTGCTTATCACAGTAGTAGGATATTATAAAATTGGCCAACATCTCAGCATTTCTTTAAACTTGCTACTATATTCATTTATTCAGTAAATATTTACTAAACATCTAATATGTGCCAGGCATATTTCGAGCTGGAGATAAAGAGTAGGATAGACATAGCTCCTGCCCCCATGGAGTTTATATTCTCTTAGGGGACATATATATGAACAAAAACAGGTAAACAGACAAATTATGTAGTTGCCAGTTGAAATATGTCATGTGAAGGACAAGAACAAGGAGATGATTGATACTATTAGCAAACTATTTTAGGTGTAGTGATCTCTGAGGAGATGACATTGAAATTGAGACCCACAGAAGAGAAACAACTAGGTCTGTTAAGAGGAGGGAGGCGCATTATTCAAGCAGACAATTGAATGTATACAGGCTTTGAGGCAACAACAACAACAAAAAGTTTCTTTACTCTAAGAACTGATAGTAGTTTAGCTCTAGGCTACTATTTAATATTAAGATTATGGATGGAAGGCAGGGAGGGAGGTGAAAGAGAAAGAGGAGAGAAATTAAGAACAATAGGTTTCCGATTTATGTAAATTAATTAATGGTAGTATTGTTTACTGAAATGGGGAAGAGGTGTGGGGGGTGGGTGTCAGTGAGCTCAGCTGTTTTGAGAGAGTTTGAGCAAAAAAAAAGTCAGTTGAGGTGATTAAAAATTGATACATTAAAGTGAGAAATCAAAGAAGAAACTTTGTTGCTGAGACATTTAGACTATTTCTCAGATATTAATAAAATTTAGAGAACAAAACAGTATTCTAGAGAAACACTAAGGTTATTAATTAAGAGGAAAGCAATCTATTTGGGGAGGTTTAAGGGAATGTTGACATATACAAATACTAAAAAATTAGAAAGCCAAGTAAAAAGGGATTAAAATTCTATCTCCAAGTGGAAAAAATCAGGTTGTCCAGAAAATAATAAATACATGATTGATATGGTTTGGCTGTGTCTCCTCACCCAAAATCTCATCTTTAATTGTAATCCCCATAATCCTCAAGGGCAGGACCAAGTAGATGTAATTGGATCATGGGGGCAGTTTCCCCCATGCTGTCCTTATGATAGTGAGTCTCAAGAGATCTGATGGTTTTTTAAGCATGTGGCATTTCCCCTGCTTGCACTCACTCCATCCTGCCACCCTGTGAAGAAGGTGCCTGCTTCTCCTTTGCCTTCTGCCATGATTGTAAGTTTCCTGAGGCCTCTCCAGCAATGCAGAAATGTGAGTCAGTGAAACCGCTTTTCTTTGCAAATTACCCAGTCTTCGGTATTTCTTCATAGCAATGTGAGAACAGACTAATATAATGATCATAAAGAGATTGTTGGTGAGAGAGGCCATTGACTCACCAGAGAACCTAGAAATAAATTACCATGGGCATATAATATCTAACATTATATTGAGTTAGTCAAAATATGAAATGTTAATATTTATAGGGGAGACTAAGGATGATGCCAGAACTGAAAGAAAAATGTTTCTAGAAGACCTAAAACCTAAAGAACTTAGCAGACTCCTTGAGAAAAATGTAAATGCCTGAAGTAGTTTTGAAAATCTGGGTTTAGCTAGCTCATGCCCTAGAATTTCAGTGACTACATAGACTCATTAAAATGAAATTCAATCTTGTTTTTATTTTAAACATATTTTTCAGGTATCCAAGGGACTGTTAGGAGGACTTAAATAACCCATATCCTTATGAAAGTGAATTATAGGCCTCCTTGAAATTAATAAAAATCTTCAAAGTAGTATTTAATTTAAACTTGTAACTTTCTTTGTGTTCTGAGAGAGTGCTGTTTCTTTATATTTTAAAGAAATAGACCATTTCTGTTTTGTTCACCAATATATTCACTGCACTTAGCACACTGACACAGAGTAACCATTTAATAAATACTTTCTGAATGAATGTATAAATATAAATTTTACATTTAGTTTTGGGTTACCTGGATAGCTGATAATTAATGAAGCAGTTCCTTTGTGGCCCTTAGGAAATGTCTCTACTGTGACCATATTCAGGTATATATGGTGGCAGGCTATACGTGAATAGAATTAGTGCTTATTAGAAATGAGGTAGGATGTTTTTGAGATTATATGTTTCCATGCACTGCAGAGCATACTGGTGTTATTTTAAACAAAATATAAATAACTTTTGGATTTTGTGTGGATTTTAATTATTTTAATCAGTCATCCGTTAAGGGTTAATAATCCAGTTAACTATGTTGTTCTCAAATTCCAAATACTAAATTACTGAGGTCATGATGCTTTGGGGAACAAATACTATTAATGACTAGTGAAAGAAGTTTTATAGATCTCACATTGTTTCTGGAAGACCAATAGATGTATTTATTACCATAATAACACGTAGAAAAAGGACAGACATTTCTATGTGGTTCTTAGTTCTGTCTCTCTTTTTTTTTTTAATCCAGGATGTCAATCCTTTTGTGTTCACTCCCTAATTATGTATTTACATTTTCTTTATTTTTCTTAACTATATATCTGACCTTTTTTTTTTTTTCTCAAGGTCTTGATTAAAATCAGCTTTACTCTACAATAAGTTGAATTGATTTGGGCTTCTTTTTCTCATGATCCTATTATTTAGTGACTGTTTTCTTCAAATATTTGTTTCCATGACTTTTGTTACTTCTTTATAGACATATTTTTAGTAGTTGCAATTTCACCTCCACCCCGCCTTTCTGGGTTGATAATATTGGTTAACACTGACTCCTAGGGTACAGTCTCATCAATGTTGGTGTAGAAATAAGATATAATGAACACCAAACCTAAAAAAGCAGCGTCAACTTTTACTCCAGCAGCAGTGGAGTTGTTATTTACCAAAAGAAAACAGATTCAGCAGAGATCTGTTAGAATGCCTATGTTATGCCCTATTAATCTAAAACAGTTCCATGATAATTCTCTAGGGTTGAACTGTTTTTAATGGTATGTATGAGAAAACGTTTTATGGGCTTTTAGCCAGAAGATTTTATATATAAATGGTAGTAGAGGAACATTGTTAAATTCATGAATCTTGGAGGCAATGTAATATAATCGATTTTGGGGCTTTTAAATCAGCTTTGAATCCTGACCCCTTCACTTATTAACTTTGTGACTTTAGGCAAGTTACTTGACTCCTCTGGGCCTTAACTTCCTATTTTGCAAAATGAGAATAATATGACTTCCTGACAAGAATTTTGAAAGAATAGAAGGCAGTTATACAAAATGTGTGATAAAAGTTTTGGCACATACAGGTTTCTTCCCAAAGATGAACAAGTCCTACTGCTAAGTATAGAAAGGGAGATATAAGTACAAGTTCCTCGTTATTTCTTAGAGCTTTGCGCCCATAGATCTTTATATTGTCTTAACCTATGTGATCCACAATGACCCAAACTACAATGTATGTCTTAAGAAAGCATAGAATTTTTACTTTTTTTTCAGTTTGAACAAAAATGGTCAGTTGTGCTCTGAGTCCTAGGTGTCTTCTAGATATAAATATGTGGGAAGGACAAAGGCAAGGGGCATTTAACAGAACCTCAGGTCCTACTTCTAGCAGAGCAGCTATACTTTTCTGTTTTACCATTTGTATTTCTGTGCAAGATATTGATTGAACAAAGGGGTCTGTGTATTACAAAAAAGCTTGAAAAAACAAAAGCAGGGTCAAGCAGTCTATTTCTTGGCTTTCCTTTTTCTCCGATGCCACCCTGCTTTCTCCTTGGCGTTTTAAAGTTTGTGGGAATGGGTGGGAGTTAGGGTGGGGAAGTAGGGAGGAATTCCATTCTGTCTTATTGCATGGAGTTCTCTGAGAACAAAACATAGCAAAAGGACAAGGGTCCTATGTAAAGAGGGCATTTCTGGTGGAAAAATTCCTTGACCTCCTTAGCTCTTGCGTTGAACTCTATCAACAAAGAGCTATGTTTTGAGCCTTGATTACAAATTTTAAAACTGGTAAATAACAAATACATCTTGCCTCTGATTGCTTCCTCCTCTGACTACATTGAGATATCTTTATTAGACCCTTAATATTTTCATTATCTTCTTATCTTAGACTCTAATCACTTTACTCTCATTTCAGTGTCTGCAAGTTCTTTTCCCATTAGTCTTCTCTGTACCAACCAGCAAGAACTCTGACCCTGGATGAATGTTACCTGACTTTACTGCCATCAAGCATTTTTGGAGAAAATAACACATTGGGCTAATGGTTACCTATGATTTCCTGAGGTCTGGGTTCGACCCCTTTTAATCATCTGAGGAATTTTTCTTTCCTCCATCTTCATTATCTTTCTCCCTGTAGACTTTTTACTGTCAACGTTTAAACATGTTCAAATAAATCCAAGCATCGAATGAAGGTAACAAATTAATCAACTTATTGGTTCAGCTGCAACTCTGTTTCTCACCCCGCAGTCAAACTTTTTAAACAAATTGTTTATTTTCATTGTCTTTAGCCCATTCCAATACAGCTTCTGCTCCCATAACCCCAAACTGCTTTTGTAAATTTGTTTCATTTCCGCACTTAACAGCTTTCCCATTACCTTCTGATAGTCTCATATCCCTAACATTATATTTGCACAATTCTACCTCTCCTTTCTAGCTCTAAGCACTTTTTTCATTTCATGAAATACAGTTAATATTCTCCTTCTCTGGGTTTTTGCAGGTTCTATCCTTTAACTGGGAAACACTCTCTGCCTTCCTCAACTCCTCCCACCTAACTGTTCAGTTATCAGATGTGATCTTCTGAAGGAGGTTTACCTTGACCTGAACTGGCTGAGTTCTCCTACTTCATACCTTCTCTTCACAGCACTTGTCACATTTGTAATAATGTATTTGTCATTCTCCCTGTGCCTTTTAATGTTGGCTTCTAGAGATTAGGGATCCCACTGGTTATAGGACTGGAGAGGGGAGCTCAAGAAATATTTGTTGAAGAAATGACTGAATAAATTAACAACTGTAGCTTTTCCCAGTTCAGTGCATCAGTTGTGTCCTTGGCCTTATTGGAGTTTCTCTTCCTTAGCAGCATAATGAATTTTAAGTGGAGGAAAAACTATTAGTGATTCCACTAGAGTTATTAAGCACTGTAGCCCGTAATGCATCATAGGCGCACAACATATATACTTTTCCATTATTGTCCTCTCCTTTTTGCTTTAAAAATAACTAGAAATATGTAATAATTTCAAATACTAGGAAGCTGAGTATTTTGTTTCTTATGGCACTTTTAATCAAATCACATTATTTATTGAGTACTACTCAGTGTATATCCTAAAGTAAAAAATAATAATAAACAAATGAATCAAGTTTCTAAAAATCAAAACAAAAAACTTTAAAAACAGTATGGGAATACATGTGTTCAAAAGAGACCCCAGAAAGTGTTTTCTTCCTGAATATATTAGACCCTTTTCAGCTCCTAATGCTGTAGAATAAATGAAGTGTTATGAAACTTATAATTAGGAACTATCTGAAAGCCAAATGTTTAGCTAAAATGTGTGATAAATTAATGAACATACAAATGAATAGATAGCAGTGGCAGTGTATTTGTTTTGTGAATTTTATTTATATGCAAAATAATAATTGTATATGCATTTAAATATAATTGAATGGTATACATATGTATAGAGATTGCTACCATATTTGATGGATTGGTAAATAGTATTAGAGGTAATTTCTGAAGATATTTTAGTGTAAAGATATTGATGTAAAAAAAAATTCAGCAACCTATCTATATATGGCTGTAACAAAGAAGAGTGATTTGGACTACTGCTACAAAGTAGGTTAAATGATCTCTACATTACTTCATGCATTAACATTCTCTAAATTACTTCATATATTAACATTTACATGTAATATATTTGTAGTATATTCTAATTTAAATATCCAACGGAAATTTGGAAATGAATATAGTTTGTGTTTAACTGAGTTGAGAAAGCATAGTATGGTAATTAAATTCTTTTTTTAACCAAACATTATTATAAATAAAATTGCTGAATTCCAAGTATTTATACTTAAATAACTTTATGTTGTAAACAGTGTTTTTTTAAAGTACTTTCTTTATACCTTACACTTTATTTTAGTTAAGTTATAGCCATGTGTCTTGGGTAGAATTCTGAGAGAATAATAAGGGACTTTACCCTGTAATCACAGAAGCAGTTTGGTAATATAGGAACCAAGTGACAGCTTTTCTTTTTCAAGTATATAGATTCAGATCTGGACAGGAATCTTTAAGGGTGACCTAAAACATCATTACGTCAGTTTACAACAGAAGGTTTACTCTGTTAGTTTCCAGTAACTATAATGGAAACTAACCTAGATGAACATTGGTACCTACTTTGCAGTTAGTGACTGATTTTATTTGACCAATTAGTACTCATGATGGAGAGGAAAATAACTTGTCTGTGACCTGTCATGATCAACTCCTAAGGGACAAGCTTTGATTACCTCTTAGGTTTATTGTTTTTGCCTTATCAAGTCCACTTGACTTAAAGTATGTTCTACAGGCGGAATACACTGGGGGTGGCGGGCATGGAATTTTTTTTTGCTAGAATTAGAGCTAATAAGTTTGATTTAGAGTAATCAGTTTTTGCCTCTGTTCTCCCAACAATTGTGTGATATTAGGAATATCTTTCTTGTGTTTCTTTTTAATAGTTTTTATTTTATTTAAAAAAAATGGAACACTTCACAAATTTGTGCAGGGGCCATGCTAATCTTCCCTTTGTCTTTCCAATTTTAGCATATATGCTACTGAAGTAAGTGAGCACATGGTTTTTCTCTTTCTTTCTTCTTTCTTTCTTTCTTTCTTTTCTTCTTTTTCCTTCCTTCCTTCCTTCTTTCTTTCTCTCTCTCTCTTTTTTTTTTTTGACAAGGTCTGGCTCTATCATCCTCCAGGTTGGAGTGCAGTGGCACGATCTTGGCTCAGCTTCCACCTCCCGGCTCAAGCAATCCTCCCACCTCAGCCTCCCAAGTAGCTGAGACTACAGGTGCACACCACCACACTTGACTAATCTTTGTATTTTTTTGTAGAGAGGGGGTTTCTCCATGTTGCCCAGGCTAGTCGTGAACTTGTGAGTTCAAGCAGTTCACCCACCTTGGCCTTCCATAGTTCTGGGATTATAGGCGTAAGCCACTGCACCCAGCCCATATGTTTGTTATTAATGAAGGTTGTGCTATCAGACACATAATATCACTGTGAAAACAACATTTGCCACCTAATTCCTTAAACAGTGTTCTACAAGAATAAAAAATTTATTGATGGCTCATTGTATGTTAGGGTTTATTCTGAGTGCCTTAGGTTCCACTTCCCTCTGTGGAAGCCAAAGTGGGGCAGATAGTTCCTCTCATAACTCCTGTGACAGCTAGAGTTTGGGGCATATGACCTCCTGTGACAGCTAGAGTTTCCATCAACTAGTTGGAAATCGCTGCATGAGACTTCACATCTAGGAAAAGTGATGCAAAGACATAGCAACAGTTTAGAATTTATTCTTCTAGTGGTTTCCAACTCCCAGGCTCAAGCAGTCCTCCCACCTCAGCCTCTAGTGGCTAGAGCAGCATCCAGTGTCTCATACCAGTGGAGATACTGGTACCAGCAGTGGTGGTGGTGCCACATTCTCAGCAGAGGCTTCCTAGGCTGTCTTTTTTCCAGCATGATTTTGGTTGCAGTTCTGGCTTCCTAACCTTCTTTAGTGCCATCTTGTTTCCCAAGTCTGTTTCTTCAGCTTCATCATTTTGTGTGCCATCCGAATTGTTTCCTACTTAACTTAACCAGAAATCACTTCCATTCTTTGTGACCAAGAACTGGACTAGTACAATTCTCTTGGAAAAATTGGCCTTAATCCCTAGCTGTTTGGCAATATCTTATTATGATTAATTTTTTATAGCCACAGCTGCCAGAACCCTAAATTTCAGTTAACACTGTAAAGAGAATTTAAGAAAGAGGAAATAAGTTTATTTAAGTCATGACATCAGAAGAAAACAGTAATGAAAATCTAATGAACAGTACTATTTTCAAGAAATTGTTCATGTATTTTAGCAAAATGAAAACCACTTAAAGCATATTTTCAGTTGTTGCTGTTTATTAATATTATCTTTATTATGAAAGGAGGTAATTTGTACTAGGCATGTACTCCTGACCTTCTGAAAAACCTCCCTTCATTTTTCTTTGAAGAATCTTTCCCTTTCCTGCTCTTAGAGTAGGGCTACCTCCACCAATTCAGAGGTGATGTATGTGACCTATGCCTAAGCAATCAGCACGCTTTATCTCCTTCAACACAGTGATTGGTTGAGATTGGATGAGTATATATCAGGGTACCTCCACTGAAAGATAGCTATTGCAGCTTCAAGCACCACAGCCTCACACATCACATGGAGCTGAGAAGACCAAAATATCAGAAAGTAGGACTGAGAGGATGGAGGGAAAGAAACTGAGTCCTGATGGTGTATTTTGAGGCCTATATATATATATCTAGTAGAAAATGTTATGAAACTTTTATAATTAGGAACTGTTTGAAAGTTAAATATGCAGCTAAAATATATGATTAATTAATGAATGTACAGAGGAACAGATAGCAGTGACAGTGTATGTTGTGGAATTCTACTTACATACAAAATAATTGTATGTGCATTTAAATGCAACTAAGTGGTACACATATGTACAGAAATTGCTACCATATTTTATAGTTTGATAAATACCCAGCTATTTTAAAAACTATTTCTAATCCTACAGTTTCAGTTCCATAACCCATTACACTGCTTTTTTGCCTATGCCAGTTTGGGTTAGATTTTCTGTCACTGGCAACCAAGAGTTCTCTGTTTCTTTGGAATATAAATGCTAAATCATCTTGAGTTGGGATTGTAAAGTCTTGCTACCATGTTTTGAGGAATACCTCTTATTTATGTTTTAGTTACATATAACTTTTGTACCTAAAATATTAACAAGGAAAGCAACTAACAACTTTAAGCTGAAATACTAATCCTGAAAGATAAGAATGAAAACTCAAACCTTAAGTTCTATAAAACTTTGAGATAGCTACATGTTTACTTTCAGAATAATTTAAATTGGTAGAGTACAAGTTGGGAAACAAACACTTTAAGTGAATATTTAAGTCATGTAAAATATGTATTTTTAAAAGTCAAATTAAACATATTACCAAATTTGCTGGAACTATATATTTTATTTATAATAAGCACTTTTCTACATTTTACACCCTGTTGCCTTACATAACTTTCCACAGTTTTGACATTATAACATTGTGATTTTCTGTCAAACATGAATGAAAATACGAGTTTATGGATGATAGACTCATGCTATTTCCAGATTTCAGAGGGGTAGAGGAAGCAGCAGAAAGGCCCTGGAGCTCGCTGGATCCCCTAGCAGGCCATTCCTGCATGACACCACAGGGATCCATCAGGAGGGTGGCCAGAGGAGCAGGGGGCAAAACTCCACAGAGAGAAGTAAATCTCTAGCTGAACTTTGTAACAATTTGAATGGGGTGAGAAGCCTCCTGGCCAGAACTCGGGTGAGGACACAAATCTGGAGGGCACACTCAACAGGTGGGGGAAGAATGAAGCCCTATTCTTTTGCAACTGGGTGGCGGATAGCCTGGGGCAAGTTTTCAAGCCTGTGTCACCCACCACCTGGAAACAGACTTGGGGCTCTTGTGGGGCTCGGTGGGAGTGAGACTGGCCCTTTGGTTTGCATAAGAGCTGGGTGACGCCTGTGACTGCCAGCTTTCCCCCACTTCCCTGACAACCTGCATGACTCAGCAGAGGCAGCCATAATCCTCCTAGGTACACAGCTCTAGTGACCTGGGAATCTCACCCCAACCCCCAACAGCAGCCACAGCAAGACCCACCCAAGGAGAGTCTGAGCTCAGACATACCTAGCCCTGCCCCCACTTGATGGTCCTTCCCTACCCACCC
Organism: Homo sapiens; assembly: GCF_000001405.40. NCBI lineage: Eukaryota > Metazoa > Chordata > Mammalia > Primates > Hominidae > Homo > Homo sapiens. Next base: position 116,191,710 of record NC_000005.10, read on the forward strand.
TAGTAGCGGAAGACAGAGTGCATATAATCTTGGGAGTTCTAAGCCCCTGCCCATTGCTGGTCCCTCTCTGCACTACTACAGCTGATGCTCTCTGGAAAGCACCACCTCCTGGCAGGAGGCCAACCAGCACTAAAATAGAGCATTAAACCACCAAAGCTAAGAACCCTCATGGAGTCCGTTGCACAACCCCCCATCCTCCCACCCCCCACTAACTCCACTGGAACAGGTGCTGGTATCTACGGAGAAGAGACACATAGATGGTTCACATCACAGGATGTGATATTGTGCAGACAACCCCCAGTACCAGCCTGGAGCCGGGTAGACTCGGTGGCTAGACCCAGAAGAGAGACAGTAATCACTGCACACAGTAATCACAGGAAGCCACGTCCATAGGAAAATGGAGAGAGTACTACATCAAGGGAACACCCCATGGGACAAAAGAATCTGAACAACAGCCTTCAGCCCTAGACCTTCCCTCTGACAGAGCCTACCTAAATGAGAAGGAACCAAAAAACCAACTCTGGTAATATGACAAAAGAAGGCTCTTTAACAACCCCCCCCCCCAAAAATAACACTAGTTCACAAGCAGTGGATCCAAACCAAGAAGAAATCCCTGATTTACCTGAAAAAGAGTTCAGGAGGTGAGTTATTTAGGTAATCAGGGAGGCACCAGAGAAAGGTGAAGCCCAATGCAAGGAAATCCAAAAAACAATACAAGAAGTGAAGGGGGAAATATTCAAGGAAATAGATACTTTAAAGAAAAAACAATAAAAAATTCAGGAAACTTTGGACAAACTTATAGAAATGTGAAATGCTCTGGAAAGTCTCAACAATAGAATTGAACAATTATAAGAAAGAAATTCAGAGCTCAAAGATAAGGTCTTCAAATTAATCCAATCCAACAAAGACAAAAAAGAATAAGAAAATATGAACAAAGTTTCCAAGAAGTCTGGGATTATGTTAAACAACAAACCTAAGAATAATCAGTATTACTGAGGAAGAAGAGATTTCTACAAGCTTGGAAAACATATTTGATGGAATCATCCAGGAAAACTTCGCCAGCCTTGCTAGGAACCTAGACATCCAAATACAAGAAGCACAGAGAACACTTGGGAAATTTATCACAAAGAGATCATGGCACACTGACTGTCATCAGGTTATCCAAAGTTAAGACGAAAGAATCTTAAGAGCTGTGAGACAGAAGCACCAGGTAACTAACTTATAAAGGAAAGCCTATTGGATTAACAGCAGATTTCTCAGCAGAAACCCTATAAGCTAGAAGGGATTAGCCTTATCTTCAGCCTCCTCACACAAAACAATTATCAGCCAAGAATTTTGTATCCAGCGAAGCTAAGCATCATATATAAAGGAAAGATAGTCTTTTTCGGAAAAACAAATGCTGCGTGAATTCACCATTACCAAGCCACCACTACAGGAACTGCTAAAAGGAGGTCTAAATCTTGAAACAAATCCTGGAAACACATTAAAACAGAACCTCTTCAAAGAATAAATAGCACAGGACCTATAAAACAAAAATACACCTTAAAAAGCAAAAACAAAGTACGCAGGCAACAAAGAGCCGGATGAATGCAGTGGTACCTCACATATCAATACTGACATTGAATGTAAATGGCCTAAATGTTCCACTTAAAAGATACAGAGTGGCATAATGGATAAGAATTTACCAACAAACTATCTGCTGCCTTCAGGAGACTCACCTAACACCTAACACATAAGGACTCACATAAACTGAAAGTAAAGGGGTGGAAAAAGGCATTTCATGCAAATGGACACCAAAAGCAAATAGGGAAAGCTACTCTTATGTCAGACAAAACAAACTTTAAAGCAACAGCAGTTAAAACAAAGAGGGACATTATGTAATGGTAAAAGGCCTTGTCCAACAGGAAAATGTCACAATCCTAAACATATGCACCTAACACTGGAGCTCCCAAATATATAAAACAATTACTAATAGACCTAAGAAATGAGATAGACAGCAACATGATAATAGTGGAGGACTTCAGTACTCCACTGACGGTACTAGACAGGTCATCAAGACAAAGTCAACAAAGAAACAATGAATTTGTACCTTGGAACAAATGGACTTAGCAGATACATGCAGAACATTTTATCCAACAACCACAGAATATGCATTCTATTCAACAGTGCATGCAACTTTTTCCAAGATAGACCATATAATTGAGGCCATAAAATGAGCCTCAATAAATTTAAGAAAACTGAAATGATATCAAGCCACTCTCTCAGACCACAGTGGAATAAAACTGGAAATCAACTCCAAAAGGAACCTTCAAAACCATGCAAATACATGGAAATTAAATAACTTGCTCCTGAATGAGCATTGGGTCAAAAACAAAATCAAGATGGAAATTTAAAAATTCTTTGAACTGAACAACAATAATGACACAACCTACCAAAACCTCTGGGATACAGCAAAGGTAGTGCTAAGAGGAAAGTTCATAGCCCTAAATGCCTAAATCCCTAAAAAGACTGAAGGAGCACAAACTGACATTCCAAGGTCACACTTCAAGGAACTAGAGAAACAAGAACAAACCAAACCCAAACCCAGCAAAAGAAAGGAAATAACCAAGATCAGAGCAGAACTAAATGAAATGGAAACAAAAACAATGAAAAAGATAAATGAAACAAAAAGCTGATTCTTTGAAAAGATAAAAAAATTGATAGACCATTAGCAAGTTTAACCAAGAAAAGAAGGGAGAAAATCCAAATGACCTCACTAAGAAACAAAACAGGAGATATTACAACTGACACTCCTGAACTACAAAAGATCATTCAAGGCTACTGTGAACAACTTTATGCACATAAACTAGAAAACCAAGAAGAGATGGATAAATTCCTGGAAAGATGCAACTCTCTTAGCTGCTTACATCAGGAAGAATTGGATTCCTTGAACAGACCAATAACAAGCAGTGAGATTGAAATGGTAAGTTAAAAAATTACCAACAAGAGAAGTCCAGGACCAGACAGATTCACAGCAGAATTCTACCAGACATTCAAAGAATTGGTACCAATCCTTTTGATACTATTCCACAAGATAAAGAAGGAGCCCTTCCTAATTAATTATGTGAAGCTAGCATTACCCTAATACCAAAATCAGGAAAGGACATAACCAAAAAAAGAAAACTACAGACCAATACCCTTGATGAACATAGATGCTAAAATCCTTAACAAAATACTAGCTAACCAAATCCAACAACATATCAAAAAGATAATCCACTATGATCAAGTGGGTTTCACACCAGGGATGCAGGTATAGCTTAACATATACAAGTCAATAAATGTGATTCACCACATAAAGAGAATTAAAAACAAAAATCACATGATTATCTCAATCGATGCAGAAAAAGCATTCAACAAAATCCAGCATTCTTTATGATTAAAACTCTCAACAAAATCGGCATACAAGGGACGTACCATAATGTAATAAAAGCCATCAATGACAAACCCACAGCCAACATAATACTGAATGAGGAAAAGTTGAAAGCATTTCCTCTGAGAACTGGAACAAGATAAGGATACCTACTCTCCCTACTCCTCTTCAGTATAGTACTGGGAGTCCTAGCCAGAGCAGTCAGACAAGAGAAAGAAATAAAGAGCATCCAAATTGGTAAAGAGAAAGACTGTCAGTGTTTGACAATATGATCGTTTACCTTGAAAACCCTAAGGACTCCTCCAGAAAGCTCCTAGAACTGGTAAAAGAATTCAGCAAAGTTTCCGGATACAAGATTAATGTACACAAATCAGTAGCTGTTCTATACACCAACAGCGACCAAACAGAGAATCAAGTCAAGAACTCAACCCCTTTTACAATAGCAAAAAATAAATAAGTAAGATACGTAGGAATATAACTAACTGAGGAGTCAAAGACCTCTACAAGAAAAACTACAAAAGACTACTGAAAGAAATCATAGATGACCCAAACAAATGGAAGCACATCCCATGCTCATGAATGGGTAGAATCAGTATTGTTTAATATTACTCAAATCAGTAAGAAAAAAACAATCCCATCAAAAAGTGGGCTAAAGACATGAATAGACAATTCTCAAAAGAAAATATAACAAATGGCCAACAAACATATGAAAAAATGCTCAGCATCACTAATGACCAGGGAAATACAAATCAAAACCACAATGCAATACCACCTTACTCCTGCAAGAACAGCCATAATCAGAAAATCAATAAACAGAAGATGTTGGCATGGATGCAGTGATCAGGAAACACGTCTACACTGCTGGTGGGAATGTAAACTAGTACAGCCATTATGGAAGACAGTGTGGAGATTTCTTAAGGAACTAAAAGCAGAACTACCATTTGATCCAGCAATCCCACTACTGGGTATCTACCCAGAGGAAAAGAAGTCATTATTTGAAAAAGACACTTGCAAACACGCATGTTTATAACAGCACAATTCACAAATACAAAGTCATGGAACCAACCCAAATAAATGCCCATCAACCAACGAGTGGAGACTATTATTCTAAGTGAAGTAACTCAAGAATGGAAAACCGACCATTGTGCGTTCTCACTGTTTTGTGGGAGCTAAGCTATGAGGACACAGAGGCATTAGAATGATACAGTGGACTTCGAGGACTTGGGGTGAAGAGAGGGAGGGGGTGAGGGATAAAAGACTACAAATATGGTGCAGTGTATACTGCTTGGGTGATGGGTGCACCAAAATCTCACAAATCTCCACTAAAGAACTTACTCATGTAACCGAATACCACCTGTACCCCAGTAACTTATGGAAAAATAAATATGTTAAAAAAAAAAAGTAATAGCCAAATCTGTTAACTCTGTGATTCCTGCTTTGGTTAATGTAGATTATTATCACATGATATTAAAGAGTCAGGATTATGGAGTTAATGTTTTACTGGTGCTTTTTTTTTTAAAAAAAGAAAAATGTTTATTATTTAAGGCTGTGTGCAGTATGTGCTTATATTCAAACATCCCTTATGCTGTTAGTCACAGAAATACTAACTATGTGTATATGAATGGCTTTTCACAGTCTATATAATGATTGGAAAAATAACTAATATAGTATATTCTAAATGATGAATCTTTATCTTCCTATATAAAGGACATCATATTACTAATTTTCAAATTTATCAGTAAGACACTGAACAAAGCCTAAAAATTAATGGATATTGTTTTAATGTGATGTATGATTTACTAAATTAAGCTTAGGAGCATTTCTGTCGATGTATTCCTATCTTTCAGTATGTGCTTACATACAAATAACAACTTTGTAAGTATTTTCTTTTTACAGATTTTCAGTAATTTATATCAGAAGTATATAATCAAGAAACTTTAGTGTTTCTGTCCGTTAAATATTTAAAATATTTTATTCTAAAGTAAACCCTTTTGGCATTTTTTAATGTGGGGTTGCCTCATCAAATTTTGCATAGCCTACATTACAATCATAGAATCTTGAGTTTTGGAAGAGACTGTAAAGTTCATTTCATTCATTCAGCATCCATTTGGTGGTAGTGTGCTTTGAAGACTTACTAAGAAATTAACACCTAGGATAACATTTTTTACTTTGCAAAATGTCATTGTATTAATATTTTACGCAAACAATACATGAAATTACAGTACTTTTTTTCTGTTTCTTGCCAAATTGTAAGTAGAGTTGAAAACAGAATTATTTTTTGGAGATATGATCTTGCCCTGTTGCCCAGGCTGGAATGCAGTGGTGTGATCTTGGCTCACTGCAACCTCTACCTCCTGGGCTCAAGTGATTCACCCACCTCAGCTTCCTGAGTAGCTGGGACTTGAGTGCCACCAAGCCTGGCTAATTTTTATTTTATTTTATTTTTTGTAGAGACAGGTTCTCACTATGTTGCCCAGGCTGGTCTCAAACTGAGCACAAGTGATCCATCCCCCTCGGCCTCCCTACGTTCTGGGATTACAGGTGTGAGCCACCGTGCCTGGCCCCAGATTTTTATTGTCTTTGAAACAGAAAATTCATGAAAGGATTCTGCCATTTTATTCACCTTTCTGACACTGCAGTAAAGTGCAGATTAAAGTATAGTTCCCTGTGAAATAGCCAGTTACCCTTTGAGTAGACTCCAGTTCACATAAAGAAGTACAGGGAGATTACATGACTTGCCTAGGTTATATATTGAGTCAGTAGGAGAAGTAGAAATACTAAGTGCAGATTCACAGTTCAGTTTAGCCCAGAACTATGGATGCTTTCCTTATGGTTATTACCTGGAAGGCTTTACAATCACTGATGTACCCTCCCTGCTGTCTCCTCTCACTTACACATATGCAGTCTTGATTATTTTGATAATTTTTCTACATTTATACACACTTCACACATAATTTTTGTTTTTTTAAACCTCAGTTTATAGCCTTAAGTTATACTCAGGAATGTACATTGTACTCTTAAGCAGAAAGACCTTAATATTAGTTACAGCTGAAGAGTGAGCTTAATTTCTAAGTACATTTTGGTTTTTCCCTTTTTGTATGCCTTTTATAGGTGTTCACCTTTAGCAGCCAGTCTCTTGACTTTGCCTAATACTATAAAGAATAGCAAACATTGTATTGACATAATTGGTTGTTATGGAAGTCATTTTTAATAGAATGACCATACCTTATTTATTAAAAAATAATAAACTTTATTTTTCAGAGCAGTGTTAGGTTCACAGTAAAACTGATAGGAAGGTATAGAGATCCCCCGTATATTCCCTTCCCCTATGCATGCATAGCCTATCCAATTATCAGTATCCCCTATTAGAGTGATATGTTTGTCACAATAGATGAACCTATATGATTATCACTCAAGACCCTAGTTAATATTAGGGTTCACTTTTGGTGTCATACATTTCATGGATTTGGACAAGTGTATAATGACAGTACATCCACCACTGTAGTATCATATACCATAATTTCTACTACACGGAAAATCCTCTACAGTCCTGTTTTACATTTTCAGAAGTGTCATATACCTGGAATCATACAGTATGAAGTCTTCTCAGGTTTTCTTCTTTCACTTATTAGTATGCATTTAAATTCTCCATGTCTTTTCATGCATCGATAGCTCATTTATTTTTAGTACTAAATAATCTCTTGTCTGAAGGTACCACAGTTTATTTATTCATTTACCTACTGAAAGACATCTTGATTGCTTTCCAGTTTTGCTAAGTATAAATAAAGCTGCTGTACCATCCATGTGCAAATTTTTGTATGCACGTAAGTCTTCAACTCCTTTGGATAAATACCAAGGAACATGTTTGGTGGATTGTATGGTAACAGCATGTTTAGTTTTGTGAGAAATTGCCAAACTGTCTTTCATGGTGGTTGTATCTTTTTGCATTTCCACTAACAATGAAATGAGGGTTCTTGTTGCTCCTTATCCTCACCATCATTTGGTGGTGTCAGTGTTCTAGATTTTGGCCATTTTAGTAAGTGTGTAGTAGTTTCTCATTTTTGTTTTAATTTGGATTTCTCTACTGACATACGGTGTGGAGCATCTTTTTATATATTTATTTGGCATCTGTGTAACTTCTTTGATGAGGTTTCTGTTTAGGTTTTTGGCTCACTTTTAAGCTGTGTTTTCTTATTGTTGAGTTTTAAGAGTTCTTCATATATTTTGGATAACATTCCTTTATATCAGACATGTGATTTGCAGATATTCTCTCCCAGTCATCTTTAGCTTGTCTTTTTATTCTCTTAACAGTGTCTTCCCCAGTATAGATTTTTTGTTTTTAATTTAATGAAGTCCAGCTTGTCACTTCTTTCTTTTATGGACTGTAGCTTTGATATTGTATCTAAAAAGTCTGTTTGTTCAAAATAGTAATGATTTGGATCTGTTAGATCAATTAAGAATGAAACAAAGTTATTTTACCATTATGTATTCTTTCCCTAATGCTCCCTCTTTATGTAGATCTGAGTTTCTGACCTGTCTCCTTTAACATCTTTTAAAGAACTTTAAAAAACATTTCTTGTGAGGCAGGTCCACTAGCCTAAAATTTTCTTGATTTTTATTTGCCTGAGAAGATATTTATTTCTCCTTCAGTTTTAAAATAAACAGGGTCTCGCTATGTTGCCCAGGTTGGTCTTCAACTCCTGGGCTCAAGCAATCCTCCAGAGTATCTGGGATTACAGGTATGTAGCACCATGCCTGGCTTTCTTCTTCACTTTTAAAGGGTGATTTCAAAGGGCACAGAATTTTAGGTTGTTGGGTTTTTTCCTCAACACTAAATATTTTACTCTACTCTTTTTGTATTTTCAATTTTTGTGGATACATACTAGGTGTATATATTAATGGGGTACTTGTGATGTTTTGATACAGGCATACAATGTGTAATAATCACATCATGAAGAATGGGGTATCCATCCCCTCAAGCATTTATCCCTTGTGTTACAAATAAATTATATTATTTTAGTTATTTTAAAATGCACAATTAAATTATTATTAACTGTGGTCTCCTTGTGCCATCAAACAGTAGGTCTTATTCGTTTTTTCTACTATATATACTTTTTTGTACCCATCACTCCACCCTTTTTGCTTGTACTGTTTCTGAGGAAAAATTGGATGTAATTATCTTTGCTCCTCTGTAAGTAAGGTGTTTTTTTCACCACTTTGGCATCTTTCAGGATTTGTCTTTATCTTCGATTTTCTGTAATTTGAAGATGGTATCCTTAAGTGTAGTTTCTTTGGCATTTATCTCTTTTGGTGCTCTGTGAGCTTCCTGGATCTATGGTTTCGTATCTGACATTAATCTGAGGACATTTTTAGTCACTATTGCTTTACATTTTTTTCCTGTTCTTTTCTCTTTCTTCTTCTACAATTTTTATCACACATACGTTATACCTTTTGTAGTTGTGCCACATTTCCTCCTGGGTTTTTTGTTTTGTTTTGTTTTGTTTTTGTCTTTGCTTTTCAGTTTTGAAGTTTTCTGTTGAGATATTTTCAAGCTCAGAGGTTCTTTCCTGAGTTTTGTCCATTCAACGGCATTCTTGATTTCTGTTACAGTGGTTTTTTTGGTCTCTAGCATTTCTTTTGGTTATTTCTTAGATCTCTCTTCTTGTACTTCCCATCTGTTATTGCTGTCTTCTTATCCCTTAGAGCCCTTAGCATATTAATCACAGTTGTTTTAAATTCCTGATCTTATGATTCCAACATCCCTGCCATAGCTGTGTTTGGTTCTGATGCTTGTTCTGTCCTCTTCAAACTCTGTGTTTTTATGTTGGGAGAAGAGAAGTGTTCTGTTGTCCTATGATTAGGTATCACTTTTTTAGTAAGCCTGTGCCTCTTGACTGTGAATTTCACAAGTGCTTCTCAGTTTTTTTATCCTTCTCCAGTTGGACAGATGGCTAGAGTGAGCTGGAGTTGGGTATTTTCTTTCTCCCACCTGGAAGGCTAGTGCCAACTGGAGTTGGATATTTTCCTTCCTGTAAGTCAGTTAGGCTCTGATAGAACTCCAACAGGTTAAGCTCTGTTTAAATAGTTTCCTCTATGGGCAGACCTTGGTAAGAAGCACAGAGTGATCCGGCATATTTTAAAAATGGCGTGTCCTTTCCTTTGCTGGAAGCATGAGTGGATTTTTCTCCAGTATTCACTGTGAGAACCAGATCAAGTTTCTGGAGGTTAAACTCAACAGAAGTGAGGAGCCTCCTTATGGCTGGGTGCCCCTGCATTTTTCAGTTTTTACAGTTGTCCACACTGACTCCAGCAATTAATTGCTGTTTAAGTTTTCTTACACTGGCACTAGCTCCCATGGAGGTTTCTACTTCTGGGTTTCTACTCCAATAAGTTACAATTCTCTGTATTTACATCTGTCTCTCCAATCTGGGGGGCAATGGTTTACCCTATGACTTGACTTCTCTTATGGATCCGAGAAGAATCGTTGATTTTTCAGTTTGTTGAGATTTGTATTTGTTGTTAGGATGAAATGGTGACTTCCAAGCTTCTTACATGCCAGACCAGAAACCAGAAATCCCAGCTTAATGTCACAGACTGACATGGACTGCACTGCAGCATTAAAGAGAATAAGAAGTTGTCGTTGGGTTTCAAGTCTGTGAAACAAAGTAAGGTTTTTAATTTATCCAAAGTTACACACCCTGCAAGTGACACAGGTGGGAATAGAATCTAAATATTTGGACTCCCAATTAAATTATCTTTCTTTTTATTTTATTTTATTATTATTATACTTTAAGTTTTAGGGTACATGTGCACAATGTGCAGGTTAGTTACATATGTATACATGTGCCATGCTGGTGTGCTGCACCCATTAACTCGTCATCTAGCATTAGGTATATCTCCTAATGCTATCTCTCCCCCTCCCCCCACCCCACAACAGTCCCCAGAGTGTGATGTTCCCCTTCCTGTGTCCATGTGTTCTCATTGTTCAATTCCCACCTATGAATGAGAACATGCAGTGTTTGTTTTTTTGTCCTCGCGATAGTTTACTGAGAATGATGATTTCCAATTTCATCCATGTCCCTACAAAGGACATGAACTCATCATTTTTATGGCTGCATAGTATTCCATGGTGTATATGTGCCACATTTTCTTAATCCAGTCTATCATTGTTGGACATTTGGGTTGGTTCCAAGTCTTTGCTATTGTGAATAGTGCCACAATAAACATACGTGTGCATGTGTCTTTATAGCAGCATGATTTATAGTCCTTTGGGTATATACCCAGTAATGGAATGGCTGGGTCAAATGGTATTTCTAGTTCTAGATCCCTGAGGAATCGCCACACAGACTTCCACAATGGTTGAACTAGTTTACAGTCCCACCAACAGTGTAAAAGTGTTCCTATTTCTCCACATCCTCTCCAGCACCTGTTGTTTCCTGACTTTTTAATGATTGCCATTCTAAGTGGTGTGAGATGGTATCTCATTGTGGTTTTGATTTGCATTTGTCTGATGGCCAGTGATGATGAGCATTTTTTCATGTGTCTTTTGGCTGCATCAGTGTCTTCTTTTGAGAAGTGTCTGTTCATATCCTTTGCCCACTTTTTGATGGGGTTGTTTGTTTTTTTCTTGTAAATTTGTTTGAGTTCATTGTAGATTCTGGATATTAGCCCTTTGTCAGATGAGTAGGTTGCGAAAATTTTCTCCCATTCTGTAGGTTTCCTGTTCACTCCGATGGTAGTTTCTTTTGCTGTGCAGAAGCTCTTTGGTTTAATTAAATCCCATTTGTCAATTTTGGCTTTTGTTGCCATTGCTTTTGGTGTTTTAGACATGAAGGCCTTGCCCATGCCTATGTCCTGAATGGTATTGCCTAGGTTTTCTTCTAGGGTTTTTATGGTTTTAGGTCTAACATTTAAGTCTTGAATCCATCTTGAATTGATTTTTGTATAAGGTGTAAGGAAGGGATCCAGTTTCAGCTTTCTACATATGGCTAGCCAGTTTTCCCAGCACCATTTATTAAATAGGGAATCCTTTCCCTATGAATGAAATGAAGCGAGAAGGAAAGTTTAGAGAAAAAAGAATAAAAAGAAACGCAGAAAACCTCCAAGAAATATGGGACTATGTGAAAAGACCAAATCTACGTCTGATTAGTGTACCTGAAAGTGACAGGGAGAATGGAACCAAGTTGGAAAACACTCTGCAGGATATTGTCCAGGAGAACTTCCCCAATCTAGCAAGGCAGGCCAACATTCAGATTCAGGAAATACAGAGAACGCCACAAAGATACTCCTTGAGAAGAGCAACTCCGAGACACATAATTGTCACATTCACCAAAGTTGCAATGAAGGAAAAAATGTTAAGGGCAGCCAGAGAGAAAGGTCGGGTTACCCACAAAGGGAAGCCCATCAGACTAACAGCGGATCTCTCGGCAGAAACTCTACAAGCCAGAAGAGAGTGGGGGCCAATATTCAACATTCTTAAAGAAAAGAATTTTCAACCCAGAATTTCATATCCAACCAAACTAAGCTTCATGAGTGAAGGAGAAATAAAATACTTTACAGACAAGCAAATGCTGAGAGATTTTGTCACCACCAGGCCTGCCCTAAAAGAGCTCCTGAAGGAAGCACTAAACATGGAAAGGCACAACTGGTACCAGCCACAGCAAAATCATGCCAAAATGTAAAGACCATCGAGACTAGGAAGAAACTGCATCAACTAAGGAGCACAATAACCAGCTAACATCATAATGACAGGATCAAATTCACACATAACAATATTAACTTTAAATGTAAATGGACTAAATGCTCCAATTAAAAGACACAGGCTGGCAAATTGGATAAAGAGTCAAGACCCATCAGTGTGCTGTATTCAGGAAACCCATCTCACGTGCAGAGACACACATAGGCTCAAAATAAAAGGATGGAGGAAGATCTCCCAAGCAAATGGAAAACAAAAAAAGGCAGGGGTTGCATCCTAGTCTCTGATAAAACAGACTTTAAACCAACAAAGATCAAAAGAGACAAAGAAGGCCATTACATCATGGTAAAGGGATCAATTCAACAAGAAGAGCTATCTATCCTAAATATATATGCACCCAATACAGGAGCACCCGGATTCATAAAGCAAGTCCTAAGTGACCTACAAGGAGACTTAGACTCCCACACAATAATAATGGAAGACTTTAAATTATCTTTCTATTTCACTAAATTCCACTTTTCTGAAAGGTGATATGAATGGTTCATATAGGGAAATATTACAGTGAGGCTTGTTATTGTTTGTAATACCATATTCATTTAGATGTTTTCTCCATCCTCCTTTTTTTTTCTTTTTTTACCTTCTTTATAATTTTCCTTTTAGTTCTGGTTCCTGATGGTACTGAATATTAAGAAGATTATCTGCCATTTTTGAGGAGGAAATATCTAATAGTATAATCTTTTTCCTCTATGTTACAGGCAGAAGTATAACTGCAGCAGCAATCTGCCTTTCCCCTTTATTTGAATTTACAGAATATGTTAAAATCAATAATAAGATGCAAATAAAAAATCACTCATTGACACTTAATATGCTGAATACAAATTCAGCACCATAATTAAATTGCAAAGTTTAACATTATACTCCATTTTGATATTAATATTTGATCTTGCAATGAATGTCTGCTTGTCAACCTTTTATTTACTGTGGAGGTCGTGGTATACGGTATTAAAGAAGACATTCAACTAGAGCTCAATTTTTCTGATGAGCTCCCAGGTTCCCATCGCAATTTTAGACAACACATGCTGTTTTACTGGAAGAGTATCTAAAGGATATAGTCTGATCACTCTCTACCTCCCATGGTAAACCTTCTGTTTGTTTTTTGAATTTGGTAGTTAAAGGTGCATGATAAAACTTGCCATCTCTGTTAGATGCTGCTAAATGAGACTAGTAAAATGACTGCCAAGCTCCAGCCGCTCTTTATTTTATTGCTTTAAACATAGATTTCCTAGATGGTCATGATCTGGTTTGTCCAAATCCACCTTAACTCTTAAAGCAATAATAAATATAAATTTTAAATTCTAAATGAAAGAGAGGAAGGGGTCTCTTCATAAGTGAAAACATTCCTTAAACAAATGAAAGCAAACAGAATTTTTTTCATGGACCTGTATTTTCATTTTTCTGACCATTATACGATTTTCCTAGCAATATAAAAGAATTCTGCAGTCCCTCCCTATTTAGTTGTTGGAAGAGAAAAATACATTAAATCTTAATTAGTATACTACCTATAGTAGCATCTGGTGTTACTGAATTTTTACCATCTTCTGAAAGCAGTAATCATTCTTTACCTGGAGGAAAAGATTCCAGTAATCTGTTTTATTAGGAAACTTTTCTAGCCTTCCTTTCAGTTACGGGATTTATTGAAAACTACCTCATATACATATGCACATATACCCATATATGCATATGTATATATACATGTGTGAATACATATATGGCTATAGATCTGTGTGTATGTACACATATAGACACGTGTGTATGTTTTTGTGTGTATATGTTTTTATGTGTATCTGTATGTTCCTTTCTAAATAGCATTCTATTTCATACCTTGGAAAAATATAAAATTAAAAAATGAGGTCAAGATGGCGCCTTTTAAGAAATAAGTTGTTATAACAGTTCCTTTCAGCTTCACATCATAAGTGTTAAGAACACTTGAGTATTTTTAATGTAAACATATTTTAGCATCTATTTGATTTTTACTTTATTTTCTTGATACTTTCAGATATATATTTGCTTTACATTATTCTCAGGGTTTCTTATTTCCCGAAAACACTTTGAATCATTTCCACTGATTCTTTTTCCTCCCTTGTTAGTTTACATGTATCATTTGTATGATAGTGTCTGGAAGTAAAAGGGCACTTGAGAAACAAAGTTGAATAAAATTTCATCATACTTAATTCTGAAAATTGTTTTCTGAAATTATTAGCTCACTGCTGAAATATCTTCAGATCAAACGTTCAGAACATCAGCTCCCAAGGAGCTTCATATTTAGTTTATGGTGGGGTATGATTGTGTATTTCACAAAATTCATGAAGGAAATTTGTACAAATTTATTATGGATTTTAGGCCAGCGGAACTGTTTAAACTTCCTACTCTATTTGTTCCATTGAGTAGCCTTAGAGTTGAAACAGCAGTTTCCATTTTTCTCATGGGTAGATCAACCCATATGCACATTTATCATTGATTTCTAGCACTGGAAAAGCATAGACATTGGAGACGGTGGTCGGGCACGGTGGCTCATGCTTGTAATCCCAGCACTTTGGGAGGCCAAGGTGGGCAGATCACCTGAGGTCAGGAGTTCAAGACCAGCCTGGCTAACATGGTGAAACCCAGTTTCCACTAAAAATACAAAAAATTAACTGGGTGTGGTGGTGCACGCCTGTAATCCCAGCTACTTGGGAGGCTGAGGCAGGAGAATTGCTTGAATCCGGGAGGCAGAGATTGCAGAGAGCCAAGATAGTGCCATTGTACTCCAGCTTGGGCAACAAGAGTGAAACTCCATCTCAAAAAAAGAAAAAAAGAAAAGAAAAAAATTGGAGACAGCTGTTCACGTATTTAAAGGAGGGAGAATATTCTTGGAGAATATAATTGGTGAAATAAAAATACAATTCATATGTACTCTATGGAAGATAAACTGCAATAAGCAAACCTCTTTGGCAGATTTTAAAATCAGAAATATATTCCAGCCAGTGTGGGATATTCAATCTAATTTCCTTTGAGAACCTGATTCTGTTGGATTGGTAGGCATTAGGAAGCAACAGCTCTTCTCTCTCCATCTCCTCAAAAAATTGTAAACGGAAATGTTGTATGAAAAAAACTTCAAAGATACATTCTAATTTTTTTCTTTTGCTATTTTAATAGGCTTTTTTATTTTTTAAGAACTGAGGTTAGTGAACATGTGAGAGAATCTGAAGTACTTTTCATATGTTTTTGTCCTTGAACTGAGTTATTTGAATCTGGCAAATTTCTCTATTAATAATTACAATTATTATATCACTATGTCAGTATGTGTGTTATATTCAATCTAGAATATTTGCTCTTTTTACTCCCATGGTTTTGAAATAAGCATATAGGCATTTAATTTTTAGGAGTTATAAATGTCCAATAGCTATGTTTTATATCAATATGAACTGCATTGTGTTTTATTACTAATAGTTTAGATAAATCTGTATATCCAAATTGTGAACCACTGAAATGAATAATTCCCTTTCTTAGAGAAGGACATGAATATAGTGAGAGATCTGTTACTTTCTGGATTCTTCTTTTTGGTCCTTCAAGAAGTTGTACAAAGATAATATCGATGTTCTCTTTTATTCATCAGTTTCTCTCAACTGGTTTCAGAACATTGCAGTATCAGAGAGGGGAAAAAAATAAGTATTTCAGATTTTTTTTTCTTGAGACAAAGTCTCACTCTGTCACCCAAGCTGGAGTGCAGTGGCATGATCTGGGCTCACTGCAGCCTCCGCCTCCTGGGTTCAAGCGATTCTTATGCCTCAGCCTCCCAAGTAGCTGGGACCCCAGGCATGCATCACCACACCCAGCTAATTTCTGTGTTTTTAGTAGAGATGAGGTTTCACCACGTTGGCCAGGCTAGTCTCTAACTCCCAGTGATCCACCTGCCTCAGCCCCACAAAGTGCTGGGATTACAGGTGTGAGCCACCATGCCCTGCCAAAAATCAGTATTTTCTCTGTATCACACTCCCAACCTTTAACATTGCCTCCCATTCTTTCTTTTGGCTGTTATTTAATGAGAGACTACTATGGGTAGGACATTGTGTTAATCTCTGGGAATAAGAGACCTTCATATTCCTGCTATTATGGAGTTGCGGTTTAGTAGAGATGGTAGGTAAGAACATGGGCTCCTGAATTGCAATGCCTGGGTTCTGTTCTTGGTTGTGGTTGTACTGCTTACTAGAAAAGTTGAAGAAATCACTTCATTATTTGTTTGAGTTTCCTTCTTGCTGAAATAAATATAACTCTATCTTAAATAAGATAATGTATGGGTTAAACAATGCATGTAAAACATTTGGCACTGATGTTAGAAAAGGGAACATACAGGTTAGTATCTCTAACCATGTTGTAAAAGTGATTTGACCAGCTGTATTCAGTTATAAACATTTTATTGCACTTTTGGAGCCTTTTCCAAGTCCTGTGTAACCTTTGGAATACCCTCTGTTCACCTCCCCCCACCAAAAAGGCTCCTGTAAGTCCATCACTTCTTGGAAGCTTCCTCATTTAACATCCCCTGTCTAGCCATTCCTATACATGAAGCAGACACGACTCCTTGGTATGCACTGTGCAGTAATGAACAGTTATTCCCTCCTTGTACATGTTGCTAATGTGGATTATTTATTTGAATTCTGACTCTTTGGGATCCCTTTGTTTATAATTTTAAGTTCTTAGAAGGATAGGGACCACAGTAATCTACCTTGGTCTATGTGACACTTGCACCTTTAGTATTCAATAATTGAAACACATAAAAGTGATTTCAGTGGAGGTGAGCACAAGCTTCCTTTTTTCACTGTGTGAATAGACATAGAGGTGACCACACGTTTTTTTCTTGTCTTGCTTTTTCACTAAGCTTTCTCTGTGATTGAGAACAAACAGGGAAGTCTGAACGGTTCCCTGTTATTTTATCTTTTGGATGTAGAGGCATACATACAAATTTCTGTTGAATGCTTTGTAAGGGTTACCTCATTTATTCTTAAACTTTTACACAGTTACTGCTGTGTATTTATGGGATGCAGGTACTGTTTATCCATTGTAATTATAGTTCGTTTGTTAGACCAAACATTGGGAAAATCTTTTGTTGTGAATGGTGATTTTCTAAATTTTTACTTTTGTTTTTTATTTGCCAGATTCTGTCTCTCTTTTCTTTGTTCTTGGTGTACTAATCTGATTCCTCTTCCATGGCTATTCCACTTTTTCCAAGTCTTACCCTAAAGCCTTTTAAAGCGATACGTTTAGATCAACTTTTTTTTTCTTTTTGTTTGTAGTTTGCACATTATATGCTGTACTTTGACTAATTTAATAATTTTTTCTTATAATTCCATGTGGAAATTTTAATTTTAGTTTTGTTTTCCCCTGACCTTTATAAAAACAAGAGATTAAGTGTAATATTTTCTACTTACTGCTTCAGGCTTTGTAAATTTGGCACTTAATGGTTTCATTGTTTTAGAACAGAAAAGATTATCTTAACTGACCACTAACAACATAGTTGCCAGTTTGGCGCACCAAATCTGTAGTTAATACTGATTTCAAAATAGTGTTTCTTGGCAAATCACAACCAAAAGCTTAGAATATTCTGTATGACTTTTAGTTCTAAAGTACCTTGCAAGTATTACTGTTAATCTCATTTTGTAGCAGAAATAATAGACCAGGAGCATTAAAAGGACGTATTTGTTTATTCATATGGCTAGTATGTGTGGTACTACTGAACTGAACCCATGCTTCTGCCTAGTTAAATGGTCTCAAAACACTAAGAAAAAAAGCCAACGTATAAAATTCAATAGCGGTTAGTAGCAAGGAATGAGTGTTATCTGAAGTCATAGCGTGCTTGTTAAAGTATTTTCAATTAACTTTCTCCACGCGTCTCTTAAATATATGTTTTTGTATATATTTACAGTTTTTTTGGACAGATCTATTTGGCAGTCTTCTTTAAGATATTGTCAGCTACTCATTCACAAGAATGGTGACATCTTAATTTTAAAAAACATTTTATATAGTTACTCTCTTTATTCTGGTGCAATAATAATACTACACACTGGGTAAATTGTAAAGAATAGAGATTTATTTGACCCATAGTTCTGAAGGCTGAGAAATCTGAGAGCAGGATGCTGGCATCTGGTAAGGGCCTTCTTGCTGCATCATTATGTGGCAGAAGGCATCACATGAAGAGGAGTTGTGCTTAGAAGACAGAGAAAAAATCGGGGCCAAACTTATTCTTTTTATAACTACCTACTTCCTTGATAACTAACTCACTCCTGCAATAACAGTCTTAATCCATTCACAAGGGTGGTATCCACCTGACCTAATCACCTCCTAAAGGTCTGACCTCTCAATACATTTGCAATGGCAATTAAATTTCAATGTGAGTTTTTGAGGAGACAAACCATAGCAGTTATGTATTTTGTTAAACTTAAGCATTTTATTCTGTTAAATTATGTATGTATTTATATATATATATACATATATATACACGCAAGCACACATATACAGGCATACTTATGTGTTTATATGTGTGTTTATAGATCTTTTTCTTAGGAAGATAATTATATTTTAAAAGTCATTGATGGTAGGGATGATAGCAGAGGAAGTTGTGAAATACAATCTAAGTAATATTATAGAGCATACGTTCAGTATTTTGAAAACTGCTCAATAAGGGTATATTTGTTGACAAGTAATAGATCACATTACAAACTTACTATTAGACATTGTTTATCTAGTCAGCATTTATGAATAGTCTGTGGTGATCTGTGTGTTTATATTCCACATACAGTCTATCAACAAATCCTGTCATTTCTACTTTCAGAATATATGCTAAATGCAACCACTTCTTACTACCTTTATCACTGCCACCTTATTTCAAAACCAGGTTTTACTTATTTACTATACGATCTTGTCCAAGTGTTTATAGTGTTAGGATTTTTCTTTTCACAATCATTCGTCATAGGTAAAGAACTTATTTTTCTCTCACATGGTACATTAAAAATAGAAGCAAGCAAGTAATTGTCTTTAAAAATTTTTTGCTTTGCCTATTATTATTCCTCTAGAAAAGATAATAATAATACATAGTTACAAGAACATTTACATTGAAGAAGGTGACTTAATATTTGAAATTATTGTGTTTAATATTATTTCGGTTTTTATTAATGCTTGGTATATTTTGTTAATAATTTAAATATTGCTAAATTTTGGAAAAAATTATAATGGAATCATTATATTAGAGTTCTTCAGAGAAATTCAACCAATAAGGGATGGTTATATCTCTATATAATTATGTTTATGTGTGTGTTTATGTATATGTATGTATATTTGTATGTATATGCAGTCATGCATCACTTAATGACAGGGATACATTCTAAGAAATGTGTTGTTAGGCAATCTGATCCCTGTGCAAACATCATAGAGTATACTTACACAAACCTAGATGGTATAGCCTACTACACAGCTATGCTATATCATATAGCCTGTTACTCTAAGACTGTAAACCTATACAGCATGTTACTGTGCTGAATACTATAGGCAATTGTAAAACAGTGGTAAGTATTTGTATATTTAAACATAGAAAAGGTAATGGGTTGCACTACCACATTATGATGGCTACAGCATCACTAGGCCATAGGAAATTTTGGTTCTATTTTAATCTTATGGGGCCACCATTGTATGTGCAGTTCATCATTGACCAAAACATCATTATTCAGTGCATGACTATATATATATTTGTCACTTATTAGCACATTAATATGGATTTGTATAAATAAATTTCTAGTAACGCTCAAATAACATACATGGATGCATTTTCAATTGCTTCTCAAATATATGGAGTATTTTAAATAAGTAGATTCCAAAAAGCAAAACAAGTTTAATAAATGTCTATTTGCAGCTACATTACACACTCATACACACACATGCACACGCACACTCTCTCACAGAGGCAGTCAACTGTTCATGAAATATTAAGATTATATTTTACAATGATATTTAAAACTTGAAACATACATACAAAACAATGAAGTGTGATAGCTAACAGCACAGACTTGGATCAGATAGAATGACATTTGACTTCCAGCTCTGACTTTCTGAGCCTTGGTTTTCTTATGTGTCAAGTAATGATAATACCTGCTTCTTTGTGTTGATTAAATGAGAATATATGTAAACTACTTGCCATGGTGCCCTGTACACATCATACACAGTAAACTATTACCATCTGTATTTTAATTCTTAATTCCTTCCCCTGAACACAACTTGATAAATATTCTTTAGGTTTCTGTTCCTCCTTTCAAAAGTTGATTTAATTCATAATGTAACTTAGCGTAATATAAATAATACCATAGAAATAACCATCTGTAGCAGTGGTTTGATGGGAAAATACAGTCACAGCTACAATTTGATAAGCCAGGAACTGTATTTTTCCCTCCTGAAGTTATAAAAGTAGAAGTAGTAATCCTCTCTCCAGGCATCCTTTTATCTTTTGAAGAATAGAAGTAAATATATCTACATATCCAAGCCAGTGGTAGTCCTTCTGTATTGGGGCTTTTTGCAGAGGATTGGGGCTTTTTGCAGAGCAGGCCTGCAAGGGGAATGAATATCAGAAATGAGGTTCCAGTGACAGAAGGTACTGAAATGCTGTGTGTGTGTGTGTGTGTGTGTGTGTAGAATGTGAGGGGGGTTGGATAGGTTCATGTGGGTGTAAAGTGAAGAGATAGGCCAGGGTGATAGATGTATAGAACTTCTGATTTTAAAATAAGCATGTAAGCTGTATACTATTTAATGAAATTACTATTGACATTTTATTGAAATTAAATAATGAATTCATCACATTTTATGAGACCAACTTTAAGAAAACTAGCTGGATTTTTAATGGTTTGCTTCAACTTAATAGTGGTATATAACTTAGTACAAACATCGAAGGCTATCAGAAAATGTATGTTAGAATTTTAATGATTATAGAAACTGTGGAATATTCTGTATATATCTGACACTTAAAATTACTTGTTCTGGGGTATCCATAATAAAATTTATGTCATGTGGTTTTTTGGGTCAGTATTTTCAGGTATAAGCCTGGTGTGTAACAGTGAATGCTCTTAGAAGATTGGGTCTGTATCTTTTGTCTCTGTAAATTACACAATGATAGGAAGTTAATATGTTAGGGATTTAATAAGTATGTTAATGATTATCTATAAAGATAATATGCTTTATTTTTTGATTGGTTTGTCATATTTTATTGGCCTGCTTTCTGCTAGAATACCATTATGATATAACTTGCCAAGGAGCCCTAGGGTATGAAAAAACAGTCTTCCCTTTTTAATTATGAGAAGTTCAGAGACCTTCTGAATATATTAATGATTACTACTAAAGCAATTCTTAATAATTTTTCCACTAATAGGAGTTGTAAAGATGCCAGACTCAAACAGATGTGAATACTAGGCTCCCTTGCTAGTTGAGTTCTTGTTACTTCACATCAGTCTTACAGCTTTCTGTTAGTGTGAGTCACATGTGGGTCTCAGCAAAATGATAAATTAGCATAGACCCTGGACCTCTGGGTCATGGTAAAAATAATCACTGAATATTAAGGATCTGTGTAAAGATTCTTAACCTGTATAGGGTCTGTGTTCAGAAGATCTGTGAAACTCCTGAAATTGTCTGCCACATTTTGTGTATACGTGCATACACATTTTTTCTGTGAAGGATATATGAGTATTTTCAAGTCTGTAACCCATGAAAGGTTAAGGACCAACGGATTTATAACCTGTTCAGAAGTCTTTTACATTGAGTTACCATTTGCCATCTCATTTCCTCACTAATTGCATATTAGTGAGGAAAAACTTAGATACCATATATTTTTTTATTAGTCTTATTTTAATTTTCCAGAAAATTTGTGACCTTTTCATAATACAGTGTTATTTCTTCTTTATGTGATTCGTATTTTAGTACAAATACCATGTTAAGGTGCTTGATAAAATGTGAATGATTTATGAAATTTTACTTATATACCCAAATTTGTTGTTAAAAGGGACAAAAAGGAATTTTTTTGTATTTTACATTCAGTCCTTTTCATGGAATAGAATATTTTAAAACAACTTTGGCTTGAATTTTTAATTATCATATTTAGAAATCCTGCTTTTATGAAAATACAGAACCCTCACTCTGTGGCTTACAGACAATAGTAGTATATTATGTAGGGTAGCCTAAACAATGGTTGATTATTGTGTTTGTGTATATTTCATTCTCTCTGAATTGGACTTGAGAGGCAAACTTTGTCTTTAAACCTTTAGCTGTTGCTTTCTGGACCTTTGTATTGCCTAAGGGATGCAAACTTCTTGGAAAGTAGAACCATAAAGTTGTAAATGAACAAGGGAAGAAATAGAAAATATAATTTTTGTCTTCATTAATGTTTCTAAAGTAGACAGTAATTTCACAATTACAGTATCCACTCTCATGAAATTTACTAACTACATTAATGAGCAAATGTGAAGCTGTTTTGCTAATGTGGAAATTAAATTTTTTAAAACAAAACTTTTTTATTCTGTCACCAAAGAAAGAAGCACATTGGTTATGTTAATAAAAATAATAGAATAAACAGTCATTCATTGGATGTTTAATTGTTACAGGCACTTTTACATATTACCTTACTGGATCTTAACCACTGTAAGCATTAAATGGTATTGCCATTTTGATGAGGAAACTAAAACATGTAGAAGTTTCTTCAAGGTGTTCTATGTGACCTTCAAAACCAGGCAATTAATGGGTGCTTAATATTTGTTAAATTGAATTGCATTGAAATCTCTTTTTACTCTGATCTTTTCATTAGTATTATCATTTTTTCATTTATCTGCGGTTAAATTATGGCCTCAATTTTGGGACTCCAGGCCTCAGTATACATTAACATAGGAAATATACCCATTTAAATGTCTGCTACATTGTTTCCTGCAGTGATTCTTCTTTTTATAATCAAAGCAGTGTGTAGCAAGCTTTTATCATAATATTTTGGAAAAATACGATCTCTTTTATAATCCTAACTGTTAGCTAAGTGAAGCAGATTTTCTATACTTTCATTCCCACTTATTAGTCACAAATTATGGGGCTGGAGATGAGTTGAGATATTGGAGGTCTTTTCTCCCCAGCCTTCTATGCAAATAGAGGATTTTCATTTTTTCTTAATAGTTTGTGGTGTTTTTCCTAAAAAGTAATCCTTAATATAGTTTTTACCCATATTGGTTTAGTTTCTTTTGAGAGAAAATATATTTTATTGATATATAATAATTATACTTTTGGTATCTCTCATTTTAAGGTATTAGCCTCATTTTTAAATAGTGTTTGAATCGGCAAATGGGTAAAAAATTTGGGTGTTATGGAATATAAGAAAAAGAAATGAATAGTTGTATAGTCAACATTTTATACAGATGTAAGTATATAAAGTTTATATCAAAGAAAATACTTCAAAATATTTTAAGTATTATAGCTAGTATTGATGCAGTATGGTCAAATTCATTTAGTGAGGGAGTCATTACTGCTACATCTAGCTTTTATAAAATTTGAAAAATTCATGAATATTATATTAAATATTTTACCACTTTGGGAGGCCAAGGCTGGTGGATCATGAGGCCAGGAGATCAAGACCATCCTCGCCAACAAGGTGAAACCCTGTCTCTACTAAAAATACAAAAATGAGCCAGGCGTGGTGGCGTGTGCCTGTAGTTCCAGCTACTCAGGAGGCTGAGGCAAGAGAATCGCTTGATCCCGGGAGGCGGAGGTTGCAGTGAGCTGAGATCAGGCCACTGCACTCCAGCCTGGGCGACAGAGTGGGAGTCCAGCTAAAAAAAGAAATATATATATATATATATATATATATATATATATATGTATATATAATTCATATAAATATAGTACTTTATTTAAAAATAAATAGCATTTTCTCCTCTTCTCATTTGTTTATACTTTTAATATGTTCTGTTTACTTGTAATCAATGTGGAGTCTTCTTTTAAAAAAAAATTAACATTGCTGTTGTGAAGAAAATTTGCAGATGAATATTGGAAAATATACTGAATACCTAGAAGGAAAATAATGTTTTTTGTCCTTCTTAATATAGAGGTCAAAATAGAAAAGCTATTTCTAAAGTTGCCATTCGTGGGAAAGGAAAGGCCTTATCATTTATAGAATTTGATATCAGGGAACAGTTGTTCTGAAGTAAAACAATCCAGACCATTACCACATTGATAATTTTCTCCAATTAGACAGATTAGAGGTTTAATCCTAAAAGAACCCCAGTATCCAATATTTTTGCCTACATCTTTAACATTAAGGAAATCCTGTTTTTAAATTTATATTTTTAACCATTACACAAGATCTTTATTATTGGAAAAAGGACAGACGCAAATTAATCAGAAAATTTCTCATTGAGGAAGATTGAGTTTTTAAATGTATGTTAACAAAAGGTAGAAAAACTCATCACACTTAGCATGTATACAGTACTTATATGGACTAGAAAGTTTGTTCTTGTGCTTTCAGTAGAAGCATAAAACAAATCTGATGTTGTCATAGAGATAGTTTCATAATAGGTTATGTTTTTGTACAAGTCCCATATTTTCACTAGAACTATTACAAACATTACAGTCATCAGCAGATGTTACACATGTCTAGCATAGAAATTTCTTTTTTTGTTTTTGTTGTTTGTTTGTTTGAGACGGAGTCTTGCTCTGTCACCAGGCTGGAGTTCAGTGGCGCGATCTCGGCTCACTGCAACCTGTGCCTCCCGGAGGTTCAAGCAGTTCCCCTGCCTCAGCCTCCCGAGTAGCTGGGACTACAGGTGTGCGCCACCACGCCCAGCTTATTTTTGCATTTTTAGTAGAGATGGGGAATTTCACCATGTTGGCCAGGATGGTCTCGATCTCTTGACCTCATGATCTGCCTGCCTTAGGCTCCCAAAGTGCTGGGATTACAGGCGTGAGCCACTGCACCGGGCCCTAGCATAGAAATTTCTAAAGTGGATATAAATTAATCATATCAATTCTAAATTACAGTTTAGTTAACATTTTTTAACCTGTTCTTCAGTTATTACACTGTATTTTTAGTCCAAAAAAAGATGAAAGGATTTATCAGGATGTTTTGAGGGGATAGATTTTTAAATAGGTCATTTTGAAGATACTTTTGAGTAGACATAGTCATTACATAGTCATTAAAAAACCAGAGCTTTACATATTTTTATAAAATAATTTTTAAATTCTAAAAGTAATAAATGACCTTAGGGAAGATTTGGAAAATACAAACAAGTATGAAGAAGAAAAAAAAAAGTCCCCGCAATCCCACTGTGCAAATCAACCACTCTTTTTTTTTTTTCCAAGCCAAACTGTATCCAGCTTTATTAAAGATACTTTCCATAAACAGTCGTGGTATTTCAGGCAGAACATGGGCAGACAGTCATTAACAGTACACAACAACTTTCAAACTTAACTACCTTCTTCAATGGACTACCGAAAATCAGAAAGCCACTATAAAACCCAATGAAGTCTTCATCTGATGCTCTGAACAGGCAAAGTTTAGAGTGAGGGTTGACATGTCACATTTAGCATGTTGTTTAACAACTTTTCACAAGCTGACCCTGACTATCAGGAAGTGAAATGAAAACGGCAGAATTTATCTGAAGATCCACAATCTAGAAACGGAACCACTGCTCTTTTGACAGGTGCCATCTCAGTGGCATCCCGGAAAAGTCCAGATTGCCTGACACACTGGTAACCAATGACTGGAGGTCAGGTCCCAACAGATGTCTGGGCTTAAGGGAGTTAAGTCTGTGCTGATAGATGGGAAGGGAGAAGAGAGATAAAAATGATTTTGTTTTTCCATACCACAAGGCTTTTGTGCCAAGGTGGCCATATGTGTCAAAGTCGCGGAATCCCTCCTGGGAGCCAAGAGTAAGTCTCTCAAAACTAGAAGGGAAAAGTGTTTTCCCCACATCAATCCAGCTTCGAAGACACCCTATTAGTGACATATGCCCCTTCCCCACAAAACAACAATGAAGTGTTCTGTGTGCTAACAGCATAGCTCAAAAAAAAAAAGTAAAACAAAATTTTGCATTTTTATAAAACTTGGTAAAAATAGTATTTCAAACTGTTCAGTCACCAGAAGTACACAGTTATCAAAAATGCACACACTTCTCTTGGCACCTCCAGCACCTTCAGCTTTCTGTGCCTGATCTGTTTTGACATCTCCATTTTCTGCAGGGTTATTCCCCTCCTTGCCAGCATCAGCTTTTCCCTTTCTCCCTTTGGGTACCTTCTCTCCCTTCTTTGCAGGGGCCTTTTTAGGCCTGGGCTCTGGCTTTGGAGAAGCAGGTTTAGCGGACAACCTTGCAGATCTTCTCTGTGGTTCGTCCTTTACCTTGGCTTTATCTCCTTTAGCATCCCCTTCAGCCTTTCTCTTGGGCATGGTGGTGGCAGTGATGGTGGTGGGACATAGGCACTGGGCGTAGGATGCAGAGGCATGTGGGCTTTGGTGAGTCCAGGGGTCGTTCTTGCCTCTTGTTCATACTGCTCCAAATCAACCACTCTTAATAGTAAATTCTTTATAAATATTGACTATTGTGTACATTTAAGTTGTTTATTACTTTTCACTGTTAAAAATAGTTTTTCCTCACACAATTTCTAAGGATGCTTCTTAATGACAGCAAAATGCAATTTTCTAAAGAAATTTATCCAACTTGATAAAACCAAGAGTCCTTTACTTAGGACAGGTATATGGGGTAGTGGTAAGAGCTTCCCTATTCCCTGTTTGACACAAATTTTCTTGGAAGCAAGGAAAGTAGAACCATATTCCCAAGAAGCATTCTCTTGGTGAGGCAGAATAGAAGAAAGAATAAATACTATGAGAACATTTTAGGGACAGTCCTGAATAGTAGTCGAGTAGTAAGGGCTCCAAAAGAACTTACATTCCTTCCTTTGTCACTGGAAAATCCCAGTTAGCTTTGAATAGGGCGTTGACTCTACCCCCATATTAATATTTTTAGACAGTGTTATAGATTGAATTGTGCTTCCTCAAAATTTGTATGTTGAAGCTGTCACTCCCAATGTGTCTGTATTTGGAGATAGGGCCTTTAATGATGTAATTAAGGTTAAATGAGATCATAAGGATAGGGCTATTATCCAGTATGACTGGTGTCTTTGTAAGAAAAAGACTAGCTACCAGGTGTCTGCTTTAATAGAGAAAACCTATGAGACAAGACCATCTAAAAGCCAAGGAGGGAAGCCACAGGAGAAACCAGCCCTGCGGACAACTTGATCTTGGACTTTCAGCTTCCAGAACTGAAAGTCTGGAGGCTGTTGTTGAAAATCTGGAGGCTATTGTTGGTGGCTGTTGTTTAAGCCACCCAGTCTGTGGCATTTCGTTAATGGCAGCCCTAGCAAACCGATACATACAGTTTTCTCCCTTTCCCTTCCCCTTCCCCTTCCCATTTTAGTAGTAGTGCAGTAGGCGGAATAACAGCTCCTCACAGATAGAAACTGCTACTCTGTGGACTGTGTAAGCATTACCTTAAAAGGAAAAAAGATTGGGAGACTATCCCGGGTTATCTAGGTAGGCCATAAGCACAATAATAAATGTCCTTATAAGAGAGAGGCAGAGGGAGATTTGACACAGACATACATAAGAGAAGGTGGTACGATCACTAAGGTAGAGACTGGGATAATGGCCACAAGTCAAGAAATGCTGGCAGCTAGAAGGAGGAAGAGGCAAAAAGCAGATTTCCAAGAGGGAATATAGCCCTGCTGACTCCTTGTTTTCTGCCCAGTGAAACTATTTTGGACTTTGTGAGGGAATATATTTCTTTTTGTTTAAGCTATTGAGTTTGTAGTAATTTGTTTTCAGCAGCCATAGGTAACTAATGCAAATAGCTGCTGAAAATACCAAATACTTTTCTGTGTCTAATGATGTAATCTTATGGTTTTGAATCATATGATGTTTGCTTTCTAATTTGTGAAAAAATCATATCGATTACTTTGCTATTTTTTTGTAAACTGCCTCTTTCTGGTATTTTTTTCAAACACTGATGGATTTGATAATATTTTGATAGAGTTTTTTATTAAGGAATTAAATAGTCTCTACTTTTTCTTTTTTATACTGTCTTTGTCAGGTTTGGGTCATAAGGTTATATGTTAAATTGTTTTGGATACATAGTCGGAGCCCAGGTTATTCTAACCTTGAAAGTCAGTTATCAAAGCTGAAGCTTTCTATGATAGACAATTGGGAGATAATTTTGGTTCTTAAGTAGAAGAAACCATATTAAAGTGTGTTTTTTAAGATAATAAGACATAACAGTACATCCAAAAATTGTTTGTAGGTACCTAGGGAGCAAAATCAGGCATAAAGTCTCAGATAACAATCTAGGTACTGAGTTTCTCAAACACATTCTGTCTCATTCATGTTCTTCAGGAGTGAAGACTACGTGAATTGAGTTTTGGGGGATTTAATCAGGAAGTAAAGGAATTCTAAGCCCCTAGAGAATGTCACAGTAGATGACTGAGAGGTGATCATGTTTATCTTTTCCCTGTAATTCTTTCATTCCATTTTTTTTTTCTTTGGAAGAGGTGAACATCGTAGATAATAAACTTTGGGAGTGTTAGGGGATGGAAGGGAACATGTCTGTATAGGTCAGAGTTTCTGAGGTTGGTAGCCTTGGACTTTTTGTGAGAGAAAGAAGAGTAGAGTTATAAGGATCCAGGGATACATATGCAACCCAAGCATTGTATAAACACTGGAAAAATAATATAACTCACACGTCTGTTATTCCACATTTTCAAATGTACTTAATTACTTTGTAAATCTAAATCATCAACTGAAAAATTATGTTTCTAAATTTGTGGCACCTGTAGTTAATGCTTTCAAACAACAAATAATAACAGCTTATACCTATTACCCTATGGGAATCTGTAGAGTGGGTTTAAAAAATTATTTTAAAGGGACCATCTTTTAAATGAAACCCTCCCTATAAACTTATAAAATTAATCAGGGAAGAAGGGATGGGGAGAAACAAAAACCAAGCTTGCAGCACATTCAGCGTTAATCACTAGGTGAGGCTTGCTCTCTGGTCTGCTTCTTCATAGTTGTTTGGTGCCTATTGTCCTACAATCACAAAGACCTTAGATTATAATTCTCCTTAACTGCTCCATAGAAAACAACTTGAACATTATGAAACATTAAGTTTTCCCTTTGAGATACTCTTTTTTTTTTTTTTTTTAACTGTTCCAAAGGCACATTGGCACCTTTGAGATACACTTTCAGGTCCTGCATACCAGTGAAACTACAGGCACCAGCTGGTCTGACGGTGAGCTGTCTCAGCAAATGCACTCGGTATCTTCATGATTTCATCTCCCTTATTCCAACCAATCAATGACCCCAAATTTCCAGCCCCTTGCCCTCTACTATCTCCTTAAAATCCCCAGCCCAGAACTCCTCTGGGAGATGGATTTGAGGGTCTCCTCCCATCTCCTTTCTCAGCCACCCTGTGGTTATTAAATTCTTTCTGTGTTACAAACCCTGCTATCTCAGTATATTGGTCCGTTACTGTAGATCAGGCGTACAAATTTGTTGGTCTTGAATCTAAACACCAGTCCCTTAATCTTATTACTGAGGATACTCTTGGCTATGTAGTTACTCATGGTTACATTGCTAGTTAGTTACAGAACCCTGGTGAGAGCCTGTGTTTTCAAGATCTCTTAGAAATGCTGTGAAGAAAAGGTCTTAGGTTTAGGTCTTAGTAGTAATTATTTGGTTTGACTTTGGAAAAGTGTAGATACCTGCATCTCCTCACTGTGGGCTATGCACAGATGAAATGTAGCATTATTACGTTTTGAAAGGTGCAGGATAGCTTCTGTTTTTCAACATTATGCTTTAGTTGTTCTAGCCACCATTCTTTATTTAAATGAGTAGGAAGCCAAGAGCAAAGTAAAGATGGATTTTTGGAGTCCTTTGCTTATTTTCCCACATTTTTTCTTACCAGAGAACACATAACATAGACAGGTAGATAGGAAGGGAGGGAGGTAGATAGGCAGGCAGTTCAACCAGAAAAAAATCAAGCCTGTTTTAGCAGGTTGTGAAAAGATGAACTGAATCTGTCAATGTCCGCATCTTCTTTAGTTACCAGGAGTGGATGTGGGTAAGCCTTGGTGCAGCAGATAATACTGATAAGTGTATATGTTCCAAATAGAGATGTGGTCATAGGAGGAAAAAGAATGTTAATGCCATCTGGGATGTTAAGAAGTTAGGGAAGGACACAGAGCATAATTGAGATGAAATTGTAACTTCTTACTCTCTTCAGTGATAGTCAAATCTAATTTAAGTCTGTTACTCTATTCTCATGAAAACATTCTCAAGAGTTGAAGAAAATAAATAGTAAGGCAGTCTGTATGGACCTTAACAAAACTTAGTTTTGACTATTGGAATTAAATTTTAATATTTTAATTTGGAAATCTCATCCTGAAATCTCTTTTGGTAAAAACATGGAATCTTTTTAGTATGAATTAGAATTATTCTGGTCAACAATTATAGTTTCTGTACCCATTAGGGTATCAAAGTCTTATATTCAAATTATATTAAATTGACTCATTGACTCATCTAGTTCAGTGGGAATATGATTTTAGAAGTAGAATAAAGTCTACTTGTATTTGTAAAGTTGACACTATGTTTTATGAGGGAATTTAATGTTCTTTTCAGGAACATGAGGCTGGACAGAAAGATAATCTTACAAGAAATTATCTCAGTTTTTCATTTTGGCCTTTTGTTCACAAAAGAGCTAGAATTCAAAAGAAAACAACATTTAGCCTATTTATTTATTTGTTTATTATTTTTTGAGAGGGAGTCTTGCTCTGTTGCCCAGGCTGGAATGCAGTGGTGCCATCTCGGCTCACTGCAACCTCTGCCTCCCAGGTTTAAGCGATTCTCCTGCCTCAGCCTCCCAAGTAGCTGGGACTACAGTTACATGCCACCACGCCTGGCTAATTTTTTGTATTTTTGGTAGGGACAGGGTTTCACCATGTTGATCAGGCTTGTCTTGAACACCTGACCTTGTGATCCACCCACCTCAGCCTCCAAAGTGCTGGGATTACAAGTGTGAGCCACTGCGCTCAGCCGCCCTTTTTAATACTATGGTTATTTTAGTTGATATCTTCAGATTGCTCTTGATTGGAGTATATAAAATATGTCATAGATTGTGTTATTTTAATTTTACTTGTCTATGTTCTTATTTCTTTGAAGTTGCTATTTTTCACTATATTTTGCTGTCACCTATAAATTATAAATATTAGTCTTAACAGAAGTCAGATATTTTCTATATTGGATTTTTTTTTGAAAAAAAGGAGATAGGATAAAATGTAAGGAAATCAAATCTAGGAACTAATTTAGAAAAGTCAGAGGATTTTTATTTAGTATTGAGAAGTATAAGATAAGTTAAATGTATACACCAGAGAAAAAAAGTTCTTATTACAATGTAATATGTGGAACAAA
Organism: Homo sapiens; assembly: GCF_000001405.40. Lineage (NCBI taxonomy): Eukaryota > Metazoa > Chordata > Mammalia > Primates > Hominidae > Homo > Homo sapiens. Next base: position 116,223,363 of record NC_000005.10, read on the forward strand.
AAAAAATAGTAAGGATATGGCTATCTATATTTTATTTTAATGTTTATTTAACAAATATTTACTCAGCTCCAAATTAGGTACTAGAAACTGTCTCAGACTCTGGGAATATATTTCCACACATCCTGGTCAATGAAACATTAAATTTCTAATTAGAAATTTTAGAAGTTCTAAGAAAGCAAAAAGCTCATGGTGCTTTTGGAACATAGTCCAGGGAGATTTAACCTAATCCAGAGAAGCTCGGGAAAAATTTGTGCCAGACTATAAGGTGAGACCGTAAGGTTGAGTCAGAGAGGGACAGAAGGGGTTTGGAGAGAATGTTATTGGAGTGTAGGAATAGTATGTTCAAAAACTCTGAAGCGACTATAATGTATTGTAAGATACCCTGAAAGAAGTTCATGATCGTAGGAGTGGAGGCAGTGAGAAGAGGTGAAGCCAGACTGGAATGGTTCAAAGGCAACACTTGAAATTACCTGATTAAAATAAGGCACTCAACATAGCCTTAAGAATGAAGGTTATTCCATTTGGTATTCTTTGCTGAACTGCTTAACAGTATTTTTATGTTTCCATGTGCTGAATTCATTTTATAAATTTTTTTAAAAGTAATGCATGTGTTTGGAGCAGCATTATAAGACCATGGAAATGGTTTTACTGTTTGTCTCTTTTACGTTTTTTAAGAACAAAGCTTCCATTTTCCACTTCCATCTCTTGGACTATTCATTTAACGGTGATCTTTCTGTTTCTTAATCCAGGTTCTAAGGATTCTGGGGTTGGTAGTTTAACTCTTAATCCTTTTAAAAAATTGAACCAATGTATCTTTTCAATGAGAAATAGTTCATAAATCTTGCTACTCAAATAAATCATGAGTCTATATGAGGACTTCAGTTGGGAATTCGTTTATTCCTGTTCACTAGAATTAGGAAACTCTATGTAGATAGGAGCCATCTCTGTGTTTACTTACTGTCTCTACAGTTCCCAGCCATTGCCTAGTATATTAATCCATTTTTGTTGGTATAAAGGAATATCTGAGACTGGGTAATTTACAAAGGAATGATATTTATTTTGGCTCATGTTTCTGCAGACTGTACAGGAAGTGTAGTGCTCTCATCTGCTTCTGGTAAGGCCTCAGGAAGCTTACAATCATGGTGGAAGGCAAAAGGGGAGTTGGCATATCACATGGTGAGAGGAGGGAACAAGGGTCCGGGGCCGCGGTGCCGCACTCTTTTAAACAACCAGATCTCATATGAACTCAGAGCGAGAACTCATTTATTGTGAGGACAGCACCAAGCCATTCATGAGGGATCTTCCCCCAAGCCCCAAACACCTCCCTCTAGGCCCACCTCCAGCATTAGACATCCTATTTCAACATGAGGTTTGGAGGGGACAAAACATTCAAACCGTATCACCCGGGATATTGTTGATGAAGTATTTGTTGATTGAATTAATACTAAATTTTGTTGGCATTACATTTTATTTTGACTTTAAATGCTGATGAGTATTTGATAGTTCATGGTTCTGTGATAACATTTAGGCTTGTAGTGAATAAAACATTACAATATTGTTTAAATCTTTTCTTTTACATTTAAATAAAAGATGGATAAGAATGTTACTTTAACATTTTATATAATATCCTTTAACAATCTGTAGGCTAATCTTTAGTTTATGGGGCTTCTAACCCATAATGCAGTTGTACTGATTCTTTTGCCATTTCCAATTTGTTGCTGTGACCATTTGGTGAATATTTTATTTCACTTATTATACTTTTTAGATCTAGAGTTTTCTGTTTTTGTTGTTTCTTTTTTTCTCTTGAGATTTATTCTGTGTTCACTCACTGATAGCATATTTTTCTTCAGTTCTTTGAATATATTTATAATAGCTTTTTTGAATTACTTTACTTGCTAAATTCAATGTCTGAGCCCAGTTAGAGTCATTTGTATTGAGTGTATTTTTTCTTAAGTAATTTCCTGAAGACTTTCCTGTTTGTTTTTTTGGGGATTTTTTTTTTTTTTTTTGCATATGTAGAAATTTCTGGTTGAAAACTAGACATTGGGAAACATATGGTGAAATGACTCTGGGTTCTGTCATATTCTTTTGAGGACCTTGGTTTTTTGTTCTAGTAGGCAATTAACTTCCTTGGGTTGAAACCACAAACTGTCTCCTGTGAGGTATTCAGCTTACACCTTTCCTCTGCTGCTTTGTTAGCCTGAACACCTATAGGTCCCCCTTGTATATGCACAGTGTGGTAGCCCAAAGATTTTGGCAGATGCTCATCTTCTTTGTTGTTTCTTTGTGTCTCAGAATTTCCTCCTAATTGACAGTAGCCATGCCAGCTTTGGGCCCTATACTCTGACACATCAAGCCTGTCTAGATTCATCTTTCTACCACTCAAGCTGTAAATGATTGAAAAATGTTCTCAGTTAATAAAAGAATCACAGATTCTAAAATCTTGTTTTTTTTTTTTTCTCTTCCTGCTTTTTCACTAGGCTTCATAGGCCTCCCTTGCTCATGTGTAAATTTTGTTGTCAGCTAGGAATTTGTGTAGCTTGTGCTCTGAATTTGAGTCTCGTGCCTTCTGTGATTAGCTTGGTGCTAACATTTTTCCTTTAAATTTTCAGCTCTTTTTCCAGCTCTCCACTCCAAGTTCTAGCATCTTTAGCCAGTGCGATGCCATTTTTTTCTTCTCCTTTTTTGTAGCTGTAGCTATGGAGTTTGGTCAGTGCCTTGCAGCCAGTATGAACTCTCAATTCTTACCCCTTCTAGTTTTCAAAATAAAACTCTCTTCAGCCTTATGTCTGCATTTGAAAGTTTGAAGTATCTTCAAGTAGTTTGTTTGCTTTAATCTAGTATCTTATTATTGGTATCTCTGGGGTTTTGTATGACCACGTCAGTTTTTCAGCATGATCAGAAGTTAAACTACTTCATCCCTATTGATTTCAAATAGTACATTTAAAACAAGGGCTTCTAAACATTCAATGAAATTCAAATGATGTTTTAGACATTAACTTACACCTCAACTCTTCCAAATTTGTAAGTTCATGTTTGCACTTTGTACTTCCCTTTTTTTTTTTTTTTTGAGAACAGCAAATTATATTTCAGCTGATGGACTTTCCTCAGTTTCTGTTAATTACATGTGTGTCTCTATTTAGTAGTGCATTTAGAGTCACTATTTTTCACTGCTGCAGATATCTAGACATTTGATTGGAAAATAGTTCGGCATTGAACTTAGTAGCAATATTGGGGGACTTGGGACTAAAAAGCACCAATCAACTTAGAAAACCAAGCCCTGTAGTAACACAAGGGAAAAAAAAAATTCCTGAAGCCAATACCTTGGGAAATAAAGATAATAGAAATGAAATCATCTAAGTAGATGGCCTTAATATTTCTGGACATGTTCCATAACCCTCACAGGTAACAGTGGACTGGCATCTGGGAGACAGGACAAAACATAAATGTGGAATTTCAAGGATATTCCTATTTTCTGTTAAAGTTGCAGGAAGTATGAATTACTAAAGACTTTACATATGGTCAGATTGCTGAGTTTCAGTTTCAAATATTAAACACTCTTTTTCAGACGTTCTCCCATTTCACTCTCATTTCATATGAGTTCATATTATTTTATGCCCCAGGCCCGAAGTGTAGATAAGTTTACTGCTCCATTGTATACTGTTTATCTGATTCACTCTCCCCCTCTTTTGCCTTCTGGTGTTACAGAGTGGTAAGCAGGAAAGCAGGGTCTGTATCTATCTGTGCTATAGGTTCACTATCCTTGCCATAAATTAAGTTGATCGCTTAAAAAGTATCACTACTTTAGCACTAGATTTAGCTCGCTTTTAACAGAAATTTCATGGTGATCTTTTCTCATTTCAAGGCCCTTGAAATAAGGGCCTTGTTTTCTCGTTAATGGAGCATCTCATTCTCCTTCAACAGGGCTTGATTTCCTTTGAACAAACATTATTCTTACCAATAATTCTGATAACTTTCTGGTAATTTAATTGTGGTTATCCAGCCTCTTTATTCTCCATCAGTTCATTTTAGATATTCTTCTGATTTCCTTTTGTCTTTCACAAGATCTTTGAAATCCCATTTTCTCTACATCTTTAATATGACCTGAAAAAAATGTTTGTTCAATTTATACATCCTGCCACAAAATAGTACTCTGCTTCAAATTCCACATTTATGTTTTGTCTCCTCTGCCACAGGTAATAACCCGTCCACTATTACCTGTGGGGGTTATGGAACATGTCCAGAAATACTAAGGCTGCCCACTTAGGTGATTTTATTCTTATTATCTTCATTTTCCAAGGCATTGGCTTCAGGATGTTTTTTCTCCTTGTGTTTTCTGACTTGATTGGTGATGCCGAGCATTCACACAGCTTTTCAGTTTCTCAGCTTAGAAGCAAGGAATGTTAAAAAGTTACTATCAGTGCCTTTAATCATGAAAAAGACAAGTAGAAGGAATTAGTTCTCTCACCCAGGGACATCAGTGTGTATGTATACCAGTGGGAACCAGACATCGTGTCTAGGTAAAATCACTTATCACACTGCAGCTAATTTTTTCACCTGGTAATTTTAGCCAAACTAGGTCATGTTATAAATGTCAGCAAGGCAAAAGAGAGAATAAAATGTCATCAGAATAATGCACATACATTTCAATGGAGGTTAAAATCTTTTATAGGAAACAGGATTATGAGGTAGGAGATTTTTTTCATTGCAGCAGTGAATGTGAATACAGTTACTATGATTCTTAAGGTATTCACTTTGGCCTCATTCCTGCTTTCTTTAAATTAGAAAAAATATCTCAAGTTTGCTTACAGGTAAGAGTTTTAAGCCAAATAAATAACAGTTATTGTAGTGATTTGGTTGAAAAATAAACTTCTAATTCCCCTTTAAAAACTGAGAAGAAATGAAATATAGTGCAACGTCAGCCACAAAATCATTATTTTGATAGCTAACATCATTTGTATTCTAGGCTAGAATTTTAAAATTTAAAGTTCAAAAAATAAAATTTTATTCACATTGTTGATTTTGCCCAATGACACAAGCTATATGTTAATATTAAATTAATATAGACAAATTAAAGAAAGTACCACATTTATCACTTTCATATGTAGTAATTTTTATTTCAATAACCAGAATTGTAGGTTTCAAAAAATGTTTGAAAATTTGCTTTAATTAATAGTTTTGACAAAGAACCTTTAATAGACCGCTGCTTTTCTTTTCAAAGTTTCAGTTAAACCTGAAGAAATAATATGGTCCTGCTGTGATTTTTGAATGAATGCTTTTGTGGTTGCATAAATTGTGTTTTTTCATGAATATTAGGATTGTAAATGAAAATTAAGTCTGGATTCTGATCCTTTTCCTTTCAAGCTTATTAAAATAAGATCTTTTAGGATCACTGTGACTCTCTCCTTGTTAGTTTTATGTCATAACTTAGCCCTGATTATAAACAAACTTTAACTGTTTCTTAATTCAGTTTTTTCTTTTGTCATGAGCAAAGAAAAATTACTGAAATAAATAAGCATTGAGACATATTCTTGTAGTTGAAAACTTAGTGTGGGAATCATATTTTTGACTCCCAGCTCAGGATAGTATTAGGTAGGGTAGATTATTTTATCTTCTTGTAAAATAGTGTAAAATAAATATTTGCCTATAGACATTACAGTTTAGAGTAGAGAAGTTTCACATTAGAAAGATGCTGATTCGTCTTTACATTTAGGCATAAAAGAGGGAGTACATAGAGAGCATTTATAATTTATCTACTTTAAACATAATTATTTTTTATTATTTCCCTTTGCACTATTTTTAATCCTACTCATAGAATGAAAGATGAGGCATTGAACTTGTATCTAAGATTGATGATTTGTTTTGAGTCTGGGGCAGACAGACACAGTAATGGCTTAGTCTGATACAGGCATTTTGGGTTCAGTCTCTAGGGACAGGTATTCATATGTAATAAAACCACTTGAACTGGCATTGATTGCCATTGTTGATAATCCTAGCAGGATCAACATTGATTGAGTAAATAAAAAGATCGAATTTACCTTCTTCTGGCAAGGCAGGCAGAGAAGCAGGACAAAGCATAAAGACTTGACAGCACTGTAGCATTACCTCTATTCAACTGTGCTTCAGAGAAAAGAAGTGGCAATGATTAAGGGTACTGTTCAATTCAGCAAGCAATTATTGAGCAGTTCTGTAGCGCAACACTGTTAGCTGCTAAAGGACTCAAAAGGAGAAGACAGTATGATTTTGCACTAAAGTAGTTTATCATCTAAATTGGAAGACAAACGGTTCATATGTGAAACAGCTAGAAAACAAATTATGACAGTATATAATTGAGTGTACAGTTGTTCATGCAACAGAATACAAGCACAATTTATTTGTCCAGCAAGTGAAAAGATATATCTTTATAATGTTTATAATGTTAAATTTTGTGTGGCAACATAAAGTAACATAGCCTGAGTTAATTCAGGTCTTTGGTTATTTAAGATGAAAAAACCCCCAGCAATTTAAATGGTATTTATTTAAAATATCCTTTATTTTATTTATCGTCCTTTATTTAGACCACCTAAAAACACTAGATATATGATTATTCATACCTGAGCCCCCCCAAAAAAAAATCAAGACTAGCTTACTCCCTGTTAATGATTCAATCAATTGAGTATAAACTTTATTAGGTTTTGTTCACTATTGATTCTTTGCCTCATATATCATAAAGGTTCATTCTGTCTATTTTGCAGTATTTTCCAATGTCTAGGTATTCTGAATTATGTTCACTAAAAAGTAGGTCTCAAAGAGCATCGTAATCTCCTTAGCTTTGTATAAGGAAGCCATGTAACAAAGCAGCCTTACTACGTTTCTGTTTTTGCTTTTGTTTTATTTTTATCTCCATTACTTGTTAAGTGGTAATGGTGTAGTAGCATCTTAAAATACCATACTATTAAGATTGAGCCGGGGAACCTTCTCCTATTCTTTGCTCTTCAGATATTTCTCTACTGTAACCCCATAGCTCTTGAACATCTCATGACATATATCATTGTATTTTAATTTAATAAATTCATTTTTCTATGCACTAGACTGGCTTCTTTGCATTATAACCAGGACTTCACATAGATGCTGGTACCTCATAGATTTCTAATAAATACCTGCTGAATTAAGGAAACACAAATTTATGTTCTACATCACGATGTTAGTGAAAATTTGTTGCTGTGTTTATTTCTCACAATAAATAAACATGGGGTGCCTCCTGTAGTAGTGTCCTATGGGAATCAATTATTGATACCCAGTGATGTAGACAAGTTGTTTTAAAAAAGAAAAGATTGAAGGAAAGCAGTCTCCTCTTTTACCAGCCCCCACCTCAACTATATAATTTTAAGAAAATTGATATCAAAAGCTGTGATATCCGTTTCTCTTTACCATCCAAAGTTCTTGAAGTTGCCTTGACAAGCAGAGATTCCTTGAATCAGTCCAAATACATGATATATAGATAAATAATACGTGTGTGTGTGTAGACATCTTTAGTAGAAACAGCTTTTCAGATACTGATTTCATACTGTCTTCCTCCTGGCTTTCCATTGACTTACTGATTTCAGATACAGTTTCAAATTGCATCTTAATTGTGGGGAGTGGGGATAGTAGCTAGCCTCTGGCTCCTCTTTTTTAAGGTTATTTCTGAGACTGCCTTGGAGTGGTTCAAACCAGAATAAATGCAGTTTACTGCCTATCACTCCATACTCTTAAGATGGTTTTGCCAGCTTTTAGAGCCTCTCAGATGTTCTAAAATAAGGTCAAGCTGATTCTACATCCTATTGGTGGTAGGTGTTAGTGATGTCAATTTGGCACAATGTTTTTGACTTGAGATAGAATCATTAATCCAGGGATATCTTGTTAATAAATTTACCGACTACTCACTTGGAATTTTTGATGTAGCAGTTTTTAATAATATAGCTTTTTCATGTCAACAAGAGTACATTCTGACTGATTCTATTTATAAAAGTATGCAATACTAATGTTTAATATTAGAACAGTTAGCAGTAGTTAACTTTGGAGAACAAAAATGGTAGAGGTAAGGGGTCAGTAAGAGGACTTCTGAGGATGCAGGTAATGTATTTATTCAGCGAGTCGTGGTTATATGGGTGTGTTTATTTTGTAGTAACTCATTGAGCTGTATGATTGCTATACTTCACTAAAATCTATGGAGATCAAAGGCTACTTTGGCAGCTTTAGTCTAATGACAAACTTATTATTTTCTTAAACAATGGGCAAAATTTTCTTCTGACTTTCAGATTCCTACAGTCTAAAGGGAAAGATAAAACTATTTTAGTATGATAGCTAAAATGCTTTTGCTCTTTTAAAATTCTCATTATAAAGTGTATTGTTTATTTTAACTTTTATATGACTGTTATTGGCTACTTAAAAGTCTTTAAAGAAATTAATTGGGAAATAACAGTTGAACATGAATATGGGAGTACTTACTTCAAGACAATCCAGAAAAAAAAACAACAGAATATAAAATGTAATGTTTAACAAAAAACAAATGTCATTTTGTATTTAAAGAACAGTTTAAGGTATGTTTAAAACAACTACTTCTGAACTGAATGATACTACTTCTCACCCCCTCCATGGCAAAGGGGTCATCTAAATTAGTTGTAGTCAGCTGCACCAAGCTGAAGAGCCACTTTACACTGAACTGAATTTTGTATGGAAGCTGGAAAGAACCACAGACTTTACTACCACATTCTAATTGGCAGGAACCCTGCTTCTGATGCTAAACAGCATGTCAGGATTGCATACTGTATCAATTTCAGAAGTCCAAGTTACATTTGGGTTTATTGTTTATCCAGCCACAAGTAAGCTGCCTTCTGTAACTTACCCATTGGCTTACTGGGTTATGATTTTCTAATTAGAAATGGAGGACTTTGAGATGTTAAAAGTGGGGGCCCAATAATGAGTATTGCACTGCAGATACACAGACTGAATATCACTGTCCTAAAAAAAAAAAGGCTTTTAAATTGAAATATCAAAATCATGATTAAAATCGAAAGGTAAACAAGCAAGATAGGATAAATTCAATCCATGGTGTTGGTACCAGTACTCTTCACGTGAAAAGGACCTCGGCATAAGTGTTCAGAAATAACAAAGATCAACCAGCTTGGCCAACATGGAGAAACCCCATCTCTACTAAAAATACAAAAATTAGCTGGACGTGGTAGCGGGTGCCTGTAATCCCAGCTACTCTGGAGGCTGAGACAAGAGAATTGCTTAAACCCCAGGGGGGCAGAGGTTGCAGTGAGCCAGGATCACACCACTGCACTCCAGCCTGGGCAACAGAGCAAGACTCCGTCTCAAAAAATTAGCAAAAATAACAAAAATCAATAAGCTGAAAAATGTTATAAAATTTGACGTTGAATAATTCATTAGACATGAAATTACAGAGTGCTTACATTTGTTGGGTACTCTTTTAATTGCTTTACATATATTAACTTGTTAAATTCTCAAGCAACCTATGAGATACAGGACAAGACAAAGAGAAGTTAAGTACATGTAGAAGGTCACACAAATGACATTTAAATCCAGGCAGTCTGATTGTAATTCTATGCTCTTACCCTTAAAAGGATTCGTCAATTCCGGCTAAATGGTGTGCCTGAATAAAATGTGGAGCACGGTAGCATTTATAATATTTATTCATTCAACAAATATTTATTGAACGCTTACGATTGGGCCAGGCACTATGCTAGGTATTTATGGTTATAATATTCCCCCACTTATTTTTGGGGTTTTACTTTTCATAGTTACCTTTGGTTAACTGTGGTCTGAAAATAGGTGAGTACAGTACAATAAGATAATGTATGTGTGAGAGAGAAAGACTACATTCTCATGACTCTTATTACAGTATATAGTTATAATTATTCTATTTTATTATTAGTTATTGTTAATCTTTTACAGTGCTTAATATACAAATTAAATTTTATCATAGGTATGCATAATAGGAAAAAACATAGTATATATAAGGGTCAGTGCTATCAGCAGTTTCAGGCATCCTTTGGAGGACTTGAAATATATCTCCCACAGATAAGGGGGAACTATACATAACAGTTTATGAAAGTCCTTGACCCTTGTGAAGTCTGTATTCTAGTAGAGGTCTACAGACAATAAACAAAAAAGTAAAACAACTAGGTTGTCTAATAAAATATTTACATAGAAGCTATGAAGGGGACTGTAATTTCATAAGGTGGTCAAGGAAGACCTCACTGATAAGGTGACACTTGAGTAAAGATTTGAAAGATGTGAGAGGATAAACCACGAGGAATGTTCTGGAAGCAGAACATTCCAGGTAAAGAAATCAGCAAGGACAAAGTCCCTGAGAAGAAAGTGAGCTTGGTATCTTCATGAACAAGGAGAGAGTTTTAATGAAGCACAGTAAGCAAGAGGGAGATTGGAAGAGGAGAGGTGAGAGGGGTGTGGTAGGACAGATGATGTAAAGCCATTGTTAGGATTTTAGCTCTCGTTTTCAGATGGGAAGCTATTTGAGGAATTTGCATAGAAAATCAAACCTCAAAATGTTGAGAGAAGGGTTCTAGAAGAATCCTTGATAACTGGAAAGGTGAAGTTTTTACATTAACAGAAGAGGTAAAGAGTAATAATCAAAAATAGGAAGATCTTCAGTCAGTGATGCTAATGTGTCTGAAGAGTCAGGGTCCCCAGTAGGGGAAGGAAGAGGAAGAAAGTGAAAGGAGGCTAAAATTTTCACTGGCATTGTAGGTAGAAAGACTAGGGTTTGAGTGGACATCTGCTATGGAAGTCAGGTGACAGTGGAGGCCAAAGTAACAAAAGCAGGCAGGGAAATTCTCAGCAGCATCAGAGTAATACAATGAAATTCCTCATAGAAATACTATCAAGGAAAGACAGAGAAAGCCATTGGACACCTATGTCAATCAACTAGGGCAGCTTTGCTAACGAACACACTCTTAAATCTGGCAATCGAAAGCTGCCTGTTTAAAAACAAAAAAGTAATGAATAGCAATGAAAAGAAAAAAATTTCAATTTTAGAATAATTATTAGCACAAGGTCACATGGACAGGAACAATTACCCATTGTTTACATAAATTCTCATGGTAGCAATAATGTAATGCATATGGCTTTGAAGATGGGTAAAATTATTACTTTAATACAGTAAAACAGGTAAATCATGAATGATGTAGACTGCTTGTGCCAGTATATTTGAAGTAAAGTAAAATTCAGTGTTCAAATGGAGAAACCATTGAAGTGTCCAGTAATGATGCATTTAAATAAGGTGATTTGGCTGCAACTGCATTCATCTGTAAATAATTTACACACAGATCGAGTTAGGAACTTCCGAAAAAATAGTACTCGTTCTAAAAACATCCAATTGGATAATTTCACTTATAAGGGTAAAGAGTACTGATTTTAAAAGGTTCTCAGAGTCTGTTTTGTGAAGAGATCCCTTAAAGTATAATGGTGGCGGAGCACAGGGAAGAGCTCACATGCAGCCGCAGGAGAGCTAGGGAAAAAGGGTGACAGCTCTGCTAAGCCGCCACTTAGAAAAGAGTTGGATAAGAGCAGTCTCTTCAGAGTCTGACACCTTTCATTTTACGGAAAACCTTCACCTAGTCTGTCTATCTCTTACCAGTGAACTTCTTCAAATGTAAAGGTGTTTGTAAAAGGACATAAAAATCAATCATTTGTATAATATAATTTCAGATCTGTGCCTTTTATATATATACTTTTACCACTTATTTTTTCCATCTGTGAAATGTGCTGACACCTACTTTAACAAACTGATACAATTGAGAAGAGAGAGTGTGGGCTGCTAATAAGAAGCTCTCAGTCAAAACATAGTCAAAAACAGAGAACAGATTGATAATGAATACTTAATTCTTTTTAGGAGTGTTTTTGGTCCTACAGGATTCAGAATTATAAAAGCTGTAATTCCCTTTGGCTGCAAATTGTAGGCATGTTGCTTGCTTGTTACATTTCGAGTTCCAAGTTGAATCAGTTGCTTTCTTGAACAGTTGAAAAGCTGTCATTTAAGCATTTCAGGTATTTCATTTTCCTGTTACAATCCTGGGTTAGATTTGCTGTTACTTAGCTCTCACCTCTTCATCTATTACAGTTTTCTCCCTCATTTAATTGGAGTATATCCTCAAAGATCTTCCACAGAAAAGGCATACTGGAGATACAATTTCAGAGTTCTTGAAGGTCTGAATTATCTGTTTGCTTTCATATTTAATAGATAGTTTGGGTATATAGAATTCTGTTTTCAAAATCATTCTCCTATAGAACCTTGAAGACATTTCCTCCATTGTGTCCTGGAATTTAGGGTTGCTGATGAGAAATAGAATTCCAATTTGATTCACATTCTTGTGTTGGTAACATCTTTTTCCCTCCTTGGAATCTCTTAAGGGTTTTCTTCTTTATCTTCGATGGATAAAACTTCAAGAGAATATATTTGGATTCAAGTATTTTATTCATTCAGTTCGCTTGATACTTGCTCAGCCCTTCCATCTTAAAATCAATAGTTTTCTTCAAGTCTGGTGGTTTTTAAAAATTACTTGTCTGATTTTCTTTCTATAGCATACATACATTATTTGTGCCCACCTGTTATCTTTGGTTATCTTTGAACACTCTTTTATATGTTTTATTTGCGGCATTATGTTACTTAGAAATAAGAACATCATATAGTTTGTTAGAAAAGGATACATGTTATTGTAACAGAAGAAGTAGAGCAGAGGAGGAAATGTAGATAACCTTGGGTATGGAAGCATCCAAGATGTCTTCCAGAGGATAAGTAAACTTGGTACAACCAGACAATGGAATATTATTCAGTGCTAAAAAGAAATGATTCGGCTGGACCCAGTGGCTCACACCTGTAATCCCAGCACTTTGGGAAGCTGAGGTGGGTGGATCACCTGAGCACAGGAGTTCAAGACCAACCTGGCCAACATGGTGAAACTCTGTCTCTACTAAAAGTACAAAAATTAGCTGGTCATGGTGGCAGGCACCTGTAATCCCAGCTACTAGGGAGACTGAGGCACTAGAATAGCTTGATCCCAGGAGGCGGAGGTTGCGGTGTGCCGAGATCACACTACTGCACTCTAGCCTGGGTGACAAGAGCAAGACTCCGTCTCAAAAAAAAAAAAAAAAAAAAGAAGTGATCCGTTGGGCCGTGAAAGGACATGGAGACCCCTTAAATACACATTACTAACTCAAGCCAATGTGAAAAGACTCTATACTGCATGATTCCAACTATATGACATTCTAGAAGAGACAAAACTGTGAAGAGAGTAAAAAAGATCAGGGGTTGGGGGTGGGAGATGAGTAGATGGAACACAGATGATTTTTAGGGCTCCAGTAAATACCATGTATGATACTATAATTTATTCAAACTCACAGAATTTACAACACCAAGAGTGAACCCTAATGTAAACTATGGACGTTGGTTGATTATGATCTGTCAGTATAGGTTCATTGACTGTAACAAATGTACTACTCTGGTGGGGGATACTGATAATAGTAGGGGTTATATGGGAAATTTTTATATCTTCCTCTCAATTTTGCTGCGAAACTAAAGCCGATCTAAAATAGATTTTTTTAAAAAGTAGAGCAGAGTAAAGGGGTTAATGTATTGGGGTGGGGGTATGCAAATTGCAATTATTGAATAGAATGATCAAGGTAGGCCTCATTGAGAAGCTGACGTGAGCACTGAGCAAAGACTGTGGCTATCTGAATGAAGAATGTTACGGGCAGAGGATATAACTAGTACAAGGATCCTAAAGCAGAATGTCTCTGATATGTTTGATGAACAGCAAGCAGGTTAATGTGGCTCAAGTGAATTGAGTGAGGGAGAGAGAATGGTGGGAAATAAGATCAGAGAGGTAAATTGAAATGGGCTGCGTCACTAGTCTAGACTTTGTAGGCTAGTGTAAAGATTTCTTAGTGTGACAGAGATGGGAAGTGTTTACAGAGTAGAATAGTAATGGTTATATTTGAGTATTTTTCTCTTTGGTAGTTTTATTAAAACAGATGTAACATTGCAGTTTTACAAATCACATGATTTTCAATTTAGTTCTATCATAAGTTCATAAACTTGAAAAAAAATACTACATCAAGCTTTTATTTTAAAATGTAGATAAACGTTACAGAAAAAAAATTGCCAAGCGCAATGGCACATGCTATATAGTCCAGCTACTTGGGAGGCTGAGGTGGGAGGATCACTGGAGCGCAAAAGTTTGAGGCTAGCCTGGGCAACGTATTGAGACCCTGCTTCTAGAAAAAAAAGAGGCAAGATTTTTAAGCTGAAGTACTCTTAGGAAATATTTCACATGAGCAGGTATTATCTTTAATCTGCTTTTTATTATCATGGTTAAATTATGAGCAAAGCTCATAAAATGCAATAAATGCATTTTGTATTTCTTGCAAGTTAGCAGTGGTGTTAAATCTTAAATCTCTGATCTGTACTAATATCATCAACTCCTACTGAGAATTAGAATAACAGTAGAAACTTTGGGAAAGATTTTAAATGACAACAAAGCTAAAGGGTCAGAATGTCGTCGTTTCAAAGCAATTTTCTTAGTTGTAATAAAGGTAAATTTAATAAAAGTAAAAGCAATCTGCTCCCAGAATGTTACAGTATTTTGTTTTGAATAAATTTATATTATCTGGAAATCAATATGGCTCATGTTGCACAAAAAACAAGGTCTGAAAATAGTAATGCCCTAGAGTTCCAGTAGGAGGCCATCGCCTTGAACTGTTTAGACCAATATGAAAGGCTACTTCCTGGAAGAAACAATGCTTCTCAGCAAGATATTTCTTAAAATACCATTTTCAGAATTATTTGTAGCCACTATAATAAAACTATCAGTAAATTGTCAGATTGTTCTTGGCATTGGTGACAGAAAAACTGCACATATTTACTGGACTGCATGACAATTAAGAACAGAGTTTTTCATGATTAATGGGTTAAAAGGCAAGAGTTTTGAATGAACTTAAATTGGGCAATTCTCAAATCTTTGATGATTTTATTATATGTCATCCTGACCACTTTTAGCTGGTTTAATGTAATTTTGAAATGTTTCCCTAAATGTTACATCTGTTAATAGTTAGAAACCAGCTTAAATTCCCATTAAGTTTTATTCAACAAACCTAAAGCTTCTGTTCTGAGAACCTCATAAGTAAGTACCCTCTGTGCCATAGAAGGACTAACAGTATACTTCAACATTTTACAATTGGTTTTGAAAATTAAAAAATATGTAGGCTCCCCAGGAGTTCATATTCAATTTAACAACATCAATTCTACTTAAGACATAAAAATCTATTTCTACTGGCAACAAGATGAAAATCTCCAGCTCATACTCCTTATATGGGGTAAACACCCAGGGAATGATTCCAGCAAAGCACAGAACCAGGTTTGTGAGGGAGAGACTGGGCTTTGACATAGTACCACTGGATAATACATACATCAGTAATTGTTTCTGTCACTTACAAATATGTATCTGTTTAATGTCTTCAGTTGTTTAGACGAACGATTTGGATGATCCTAAATTTCTTTGAAACTTTTACATTTAGAGTTCCAAAAATTTGTTTTTCTCCAAGATTAAAGCAATTCTAGCATAGTAGCAGCATGCTGCATCAACAAGTTGATTTTTTTTTAAAGTGTATGTCTTCTATTGAAGAGCTCGATGAAGTTCTTAACTGTTGTCTCTTTAATTAAACAGAGAACAGCAAAGCTTGTTTTTTTGCCAATCGCAAATTTATACTCAATTTAAACCATGGCTTTTAACAAAATTCCTATACTAAAATAACTCTTCACACAAGAATCTTAGTGGATTTTTTATAGGTTCTTGGTTAACCAGCAAAACTCAACAAAATTTGTTGGCATTAGTAACAAATACTTTTTAAATATGCTTCTATTTCTCCCATCAGAACTTTGATTTCTCTTCAAAGAAGCCTCATCATAGACTTACTCACACATTTGTGAGAGTTATTAGAATTGCCATAATCAATGGATACTGAAGAAAAGGGAAGATTTGAGGGTTGGTTTTTGTTTTTAATTTTTAAAAAACTCGTATCATGATTCTGGAGCTAAAAGCAGCTCACATGGGCCTTATATGAGCTTTGCCTCTCTTTGAGCAGTACATTTTAAAAGTCAGGAAGAAAATAAAATCTGACTCTTGTAGCATTTAGCTTTGTATTGGAGTGGCCTTTGCAGGTAATGCCAACTTCCACGACATTTAGAAGATTCATAAAGTGCTGGTCAAAATAATGGAAAAAATAGCAGCTGTCATTTGATCAGAATCTGTGTGCAAACCAATTAAAAGCCCTGTCATAACTATTTAAGCATGTAAGGTGATTTATGATTACCTTTCATAAATTAATGAATTCTACCAATAAGAGCAGGGTGCTACATTGGGTGCTCCTGTTCTCGCAGAGTTTACAGCTACACATTACATGAGGACTGCTCCAGGTTTGCTGTGTTTAAATGATTGACAAGGCAGAAACTTTGTCTTTTCTTCAACTGATTGGCACTATCTACTTATAACTTATAACTTAGCTTATTTTTCACTCCCCCCCAAGGAGAGTAGAGTCCAGAATGGCCGGTGGTAGTCTCAGAGTAGAAGAGTTGAGGTGTCATAAGATAACGACACCCTTGAATTTATTTCTCCTATACTTTGCTTTATAAAAGTGAGCACAAGGACAGACAGGCAGAAAATAGTAGATCACTATGTGAGGCTAGAGAGAGTCCTCTTTCAGGTTCAACAAAGGAAAGACAGAAGAAAAGTGAATAAGGTACATAAATATAAGAACATAAGTGTAGACAGGTAGATGATGAAAAATGGGAGAAATGGAAGACGTAACAAAAAAGAAAAAAGATGAAGAAAAATATGGGAAGAGAAAGGTAAGGTGAGATGAGGAGGGCAAAAGAAACAGAATGGAGAAGAGAGAAAAGAATGGAGGCAAAGGAAAGAAGGGAGAATACAGCAATCTCCTCCTGAAATCTGCCTGTCCCAAGCATAAAGATTAATTGTAATATTTTAATTACAAATTAGCTTTTCCTGAGAAAACTTCATAAGCACATAATTCTTATAAAATTGTGTTACCTCAAATATTTAAAATGCTTTCTAGTCAAATATTTAGGGGGTCATCATTCTCCAAAACTAGCTAGCCTTATGCAGCTGGTAGGAGTTCTTCACAGCTGTTCTTTAAGCCATGTTGCATGAGAACTTCATAGAGAACCTGAGAAGTTCCATTTTAAGAGTTTCTCCTGCTTCGGTATCCTAGGCAAGAAATCAGGAGAAAGGAATGAGAAGGAAGAATCACTAGTGTCAAGTGACACATGAAACTCCAGTAAATCTGGGTATTACTTAGGTCAACTAGAGTAATTCAACATAAAGGTAGAATAGTTGTTAAGATTTTAAAAGCCAAGTGGTGATTTCGAACTTGTAGCTATTGTTCTAATATGATGGGTAATCACTTCCTGCAATGGTGAACTATTTATAAACTGCTGGCTCCTCAAAATGTAAATAAAGAAAAATTATTCCAGGCTACAAGATTAATTTTCCTCTATGTCTTTAATCTGAGGTAGATCCATTTTTTGTTAAAACACACTTGTTTTATTTATTTAGTCAAATTCTTCACATTAAGAAGGAGGAATCTGAGACCCAGTAAGATTAAGTGACTAGTTTATGGTCCTTGGGTAGAACAGGAATGAAGCAGAGGTTTCCATTCCTAGGTCACTTCAGAACTACTAATTGAGGTTCATCAGAAAAAAGACATAAGCCAAAGAAATTAGAACATGAAGTTGAGTATCATCTTTAGTAAAAAGGATCTAGTCATTGCTTCCTTATAATATTGAAAATTAGTTTAACCGTAGGTGGACATTTCTTTGAAATGGTTTCTACCACTAAAAATAAAACTGAAGGTAGAGGATTAGGTTAGACCCTGGAGCAAAATCAAAACAGCTTATTTCAGCCTAAGAACTTTTTTAAAGTAAATGGCAAGCCCCAAATACCTACATATCTGTAATTTTCTGAGCCACCATAAAATCTGCATACTCTGTACCAAAGTAAAAAACTTCACTTACTGACACAACCTTTACTAAAAAGTGCCACAGACTGTACGTAAGAATACTTTTATTTAGAGAAGAATAAAATACAAGCTGTCTAGTTCTTAATATGGTAAAACTCTCTATCCTCTTACACTCTGCTTTCTTATTTATTTATTTATTTATTTATTTATTTATTTATTTATTTATTTTGAGATGGAGTCTCGCTCTGTCGCCCAGGCTGGAGTGCAGTGGCGCAATCTCAGCTCACTGAATGCTCCGCCTCCCGGGTTCTCGCCATTCTTCTGCCTTAGCCTTCTGAGTAGCTGGGACTACAGGCGCCCGCCACCACGCCCAGCTAATTTTTTGTATTTTCTTTTTAGTAGAGACGGGATTTCACCATGTTAGCCAGGATGGTCTCTATCTCCTGACCTCGTGATCCACCCACCTCGGCCTCCCAAAGTGCTGGGATTACAGGCGTGAGCCACCACGCCCAGCCAATTTGTCTTTTAGTTAGCCTGAATAAATTTAACCTCTCAGAGGATCCCTCAACTCATGTGAAAAAATCCTTAATAGTTTCTGTCTTACATTAAACAAAAAGGCAGACCTATGTCACCTGGAGTCATAGGACCCTGAGTTATCTCCTAAGGTAACTCTAATGTACATTCCTTAACTCTGAAGCTAACAGCTATGAAGGTGAATGCCGATAGCTGCTGTAGGTTTCACAGAGAGACTCAATGATTATGAAGATTCTGACCGTATCTAATAACAGACAACAGATAATTGTACAGTAAGATTTAGGAAAAAAAAGTCATTTCAGTTTTGAAAGTTTTGTTAAGGTATATAAATGCATATCTGTTGCCTATTAGTATGATGATATGGTAGACAAATTGCCTTTGTCAGGTTTTAGTTTTGGCTCTGCCATTAATTAGCTATGTGGTTTTTGAGAATTTCAGTCACTTTAACACATGTTTATAGATGGTTACATACCAGGCACCGTGCAAGTCATTTTAACAGTTATCTTAGGAAATCCTCTCAGCAACCCTGAGGGTTTGACATTATTATTATCATCATCTTACAGGAAAGAGAACTGGGGTTTAGATTGAGTTTTTTCTCAAGGTTCAGTAGCTAGTGGCCTGCTTCCAAAGCTTGTATTATTTTGAAAAGCAGCCAGTTTCTGGAACTATGTCCTTAACAAGTACTTTTGACCCAGTGGGAATGAAAGGGGAGTGCAGAAAGAGGTATATAGGATTCCAGCCCTCCTACTTCTGCTTCAGCCAGAGCAATTGCCTGTTCATTGTTTTAATATATTGAGCTTTTCAGGTAAGATTTTAGAGGGGAGAGGGTTCTGTAGCATTAAATGCCTGATCTCACAGTATTATGCTTCACTAGAATGAAGGGGTAAAAGTGGTATTAAGCTAATATAAGAAAAGTAAATAATAATCGTTGGATAGGCTTCAAAAAAGAAATGCATTTGAGATGGACCTTGACAAGCAGATAAAATCTTGATTTAGTTGAAGGACTCCATCTGGGGAAACATTAATGAAAGTGCTTAAATTTTCAATGCTAATTAAAATGTTTATTTTTAAAATGTTTCCTTTGATCCTGTTTTTCTTTATTAAATAATACCCTGGACAGGAATTAAGAGCACAGCCTGAAGTGATTGTGATGTCCAAGAAGTACTACTCATGGAACAAATAGACAACTTGTCATATTTCAAAATTAAATGCTGACTGCACTATGAATATAGAAAAGTACAGTTGTAAACACTATATTCTGTACCATGTAACATCTTATGTATGATTTCAGTTCTTTTTAAGACCACCAGACTACAGTTACAAGAAAGCCAAGATCAGACTGACTCAATTTGCATTACATACATGTTCAGGGAAAGCCTAATTAGGGAAAACAGAAACTTCAAATTTCACTCTTTTAAACTGAATAGGAGAGTATCTTACATCCACTGCCAGAAAATATCACCCCAGAAGTGAAAATTTACATGTTTTAATTTCTGAAATAATGACTTTGAGGAAAACAGTTAGAAATTATAAAACATACAAATTCCTATTTGTCACACTATGGAGACTTTGGAGAATATGATTCTCCAAGTATCTTGGTGTTTAAACAAATAAAAATATAGTTCAGCCAAAAATAAACTAGCTCACATGAAAAAGCTGTAGTATTAAAAACTGCTACATCAGAAAGTCGAAGTGAGTATTCAGTAAATTTATTAACAAGATATCCCTGGATTAATGATTCTATCTCAAGTCAAAAACATTTTGCCAAAGTGACAGCACTAACACCTACCACCAGTAGTATGTAGAATCAGCTTGACCTTATTTCAGAACATCTGAGAGGCACTAAAAGCTGGCAAAACCATCTTAAGAGTATGGAGTGATAGGCAGTAAACTGCATTTATTCTGGGCTTGAACCACATCAAGGCAGTTTCAGAAATAACCTTAAAAAAGAGGAGCCAGAGATTAAATACTATCCCCACTCCCCATAATTAAGATGCAATTTGAAACTTTATCTGAAATCATTGAGTCAATGGAAAGCCGGGAGGAAAACAATGTTAAATCAATATCTGAAAAGCTGTTTCTACTAAAGATGTCTATACACACACACATATTATATATCTATATATCATGTATTTGGACTGATTCAAGGAATCTGTGCTTCTCAAGGCAACTTCAAGAACTGTTGATAGTACAGAGAAATGGATATCACAGCTTTTTTCTTAAAGAAAATATAGGTTGAGGTAGGGACTGGTAAAAGAAGAGACTGCTTTCTTTCATTTTTTTTCTTTTTTAAAACAACTTGTCTACATCACCAGGTATCAGTAATTGATTCCCACTGGACACAACTACAGGATACACTCCATGTTTATTCCTTGTGAGAAATAAACACAGTAACAAATTTTCACTAGCATCATTATGTAGAACATAAATTCATGTTTCCTTAATTCAGTAGGTATTTATTAGAAATCTATGAGGTACCAACATCTATGTGAAGTCCTGGTTATAATGCAAAGAAGCCAGTCTAGTGAATAGACAAATGAATTTATTAAATTAAAATACAATGATATATGTCATGAGATGTTCAAGAGCTATGGGGGTACAGTAGAGAAATATCTGAGGAGGGGTAAAGAATAGGAGAAGTTTCCCCGGCTGAATCTTAAAAGTAAGGTATTTTAAGATGCTACTATACCATTACCACTTAACAAGTAAGGAAAAAAAAAATTACAAAAAAAAAAAAAAAAAAGAAAACAGCCATATGATTACATGAAAATTGAATACCTTCTCCTGAATGATTTTTAGGTAGACAATGAAATTAAGGCAGAAATCAAGAAGTTACTTGAAACTGCTGAGAACAGAGATACAAAATACCGGAATCTATGGAATCCGACTAAGGCAGTATTAAGAGGGAAATGTATAGCACTGAATGCCCATATCACAAGTTAGAAAGATCTCAAGTTAACTTACAACTTAACATCACAACTAAAAGAACTAGGAAACCAAGAGCAAACAAATCCCAAAGCTAGCAGTAGACAAGAAATAACCAAAATCAGAGCTGAATTGAAGGAGATTGAGATAAGAAAAATCATTCAAAACATAAATCCAGGAGCTGGTTTTTTGAAAAAAAAAATTAATAAAATACATAGATCACTAGCTAGACTAATAAAGAAGAAAAGAGAATATTCATATAAACACAAAATATTCAAATAAACACAATCAGAAATGATAAGGGGCGATTGCAACTGACCCCACAGAAATATAACCATCGGAGGATATTATGAATACTTCCGTGCACATAAACTAGAACATCTAGAAGCAATGGATAAATTCCTCAACACAGCTACCCTCCCAAGAGTGAACCAGGAAGAAACTGGATCTCTAAACAGACAATATCAAGCTTGGAAATTGAGACAGTAATAAATAGCTTACCAACCAATAATGTCCAGGACCAGACGTATTCACATCTGAATTCTCCCAGATGTATGAAGAAGAGCTGGTACCATTTCTACTGAAACTATTTCAAAAGTTGATGAGCAACTCCTCCCTAACTCATCCTGTGAGGCTAGCATCACCCTGATACCAAAACCTGGCAGAGATAAAACAAAAAAAGAAAACCTCAGGTCACTATGCTTGGTGGACATTGATACAAAAGTCCTCAACAAAATACTGGCAAAATAAATCCAGCGGCACATCAAAAAGCTTACCCACCCCCATCAAGTAGGCTTTATCCCTGGGCTGCAAGGTCGGTTCAACATATGCAAATCAATAAATGTCATTCATCACATAAGCAGAGCTAAAGACAAAAACCACATGATTATCTCAATAGATGCAGAAAAGGCATTTGATACAATTCATACCTTCGTGTTTAAAACTCATAGCAAACTAGGTATTGAAGGAACATACTTCAAAATGAGAGTCTTCTATGACAAACCCACAGCCAACATCATACTGAATGAGCAAAAGCTGGAAGCATTCCCCTTAAAAATTGGCACAAAACAAGGATGCCCTCTCTCACCACTCCTATTCAACATAGTATTGGAAGTACTGGCCAGGGCAAATAGGCCAGAGAAAGAAATAAAGGGCATCCAAATAGGAAGAGAGGAAGTCAGACTATCCCTGTTTGCAGATGAAATGATCCAATTTCTAGAAAACCACATAGTCTCAGCCAAAAGCTTCTTAAGCTGATAAACAACTTCAGCAGAGTCTCAGAATACAACATGAGTGTGCAAAAATCGCTAGGATTCCTATACATCAACAGCAGTCAATCCAAGAGCCAAATGAGGAACATACTCCCATTCACAATGGCCACAAAAAGAATAAAATACCTAAGAATACAGCTAACTAGGGAAGCAAAATATCTCTACAAGAAAAACTACAAAACACTGCTTAAAGAAATCAGAAGTGACACAAATGGAAAAACATTTCATGCTCATGAACAAGAAGAATCAATGTCATTAAAAATGGCCATACTTCCCAAAGCAATTTATAGATTCAGTGCTATTCCTATTAAACCTCCATTGAGATTCTTTGTAGAACTAGGAAAAAAAAAAAACTATCTTAAAGTTCATCTGGAACCAAAAAAGAGACTGAATAGCCAAAGCAATTTTAAGCAAAAAGAGCAAAGCTGGAGGTATCCCATTACTTGACTTCAAACTATATTACAGGGCTACAATAATCAAAACAGCATGGTATTAGTACAAAAAAAGACACATAGCCTAATGGAACAGAATAGAGAACCCAGATATAAGGCCATATACCTACAACTATCTGATGTTCAACAAACCTGACAAAAGCAAGCAATGGGGAAAGGATTCCTATTAAATAAATAGTGTTGGGATAATTGGCTAGCCGTATGCAGAAGGTTGAAACTGGACCGTTTCCTTACACCATAAACAAAAATGGATTAAAGACTGTAATGTAAAGCACAAAAGTATAAAACCCCTGGAAGACAACCTAGGCAATACCATGCAGGACAATGGCACGGGCAAAGATTTCATGATGAAGACACCGAAAGCGATTGCAACAAAAGCAAAAATTGATAAATGCGATCTGATTAAAGAGCTTCAGTACAGCAAAAGAAGCTATCAACAGAGTAAACAGAGAACCTAAAGAATGGGAGAAAATCTTTGCAAACTTTGCATCCAACAAAGGTCTAATATCTAGTATCTATACGGAACTTAAATTTCCAAAGAAAAAAACAAAACAACCTCATTAAAAACTGGGCAAAGGATATAAACAGATACTTTTCAAAAGAAGATATACATATGGTCAACAGTCATATGAAAAAAAGCTCAACATCACTGATTATTAGAGAAATGCAAATCAGAACCACAATGAGATACCCATCTCAGTCAGAAAGGTTATTATTAAAAAGTCAAAAAATAACAGATGTTGGTGAGGTTGTGGAGAAAAGAGAACACTTATACACTGTTGGTGGCAGTGTAAATTGCTTGAACCATTGTGGAAGACAGCGTGGTGATTCCTTGAAGACCTAACAGCAGAAATACCATTCAAGCCAGCAATCTCATTGCTGGGTATATACCCAAAGGAATATATTAATAAACCATTTTATTATAAAGACACATACGTATGTTCATTGCAGCACTATTCACAACAGCAAAGACAGGGAATCAAGCTAAACGCCTGTCACTGGATAAAGAAAATGTGGTACATACACACCATGGAATACTATGCAGCCATAAAAAAGAACGAGATCATATCCTTTGCAGGGACATGGATGGAGCTGGAGGCCATTATCCTTAGCAAATTAATGCAGGAACAGAAAGCAACAACCACATGTTCTCCCTTATAAGTGGGAGCTAAATGATGAGAACACATGGATACATACAGGGGAACAACACAAACTCTGGGGTCTATTGGAGGGTGAAGGTGGGAGGAAGGAAAGGATCAGGAAAAATAACTAATGGATACTAGGCTTAATATCTGGTTGATGAAATAATCTGTACAACAGATCCCCATGACACAAGTTTACCTATGTAGCAAATATGCACATGTACCCCTGAACTTAAAAGTTAAAAAGATAACACAATATCAAAATTTTATGCAATACCTACAAATTTAATAAAAGTTGTACAAAGAATTACTGACAGAAATTTCAAGACCTAAGCAAACAAAAGAATCATATTCACTGACCAAGAATACCACTTTTACTGCTGTGAGTAGAAAATATTGTGCTAAGCCAAAAAAAAAAAAATAACTGAGCATTTTTCTTTAAGCTCTATACCAGCATGTGCTCACATCAGAATATTTATTAAACAGTCATCCTTCTATGACCTTGAATTTCTCTTAATTACAATTTAGGAGTGCATAAATTGACTTAAGTGTAGCTTTTGGACAGCATTGAAAGTTTCAGATACAGATGGATACAGATGGAACTACAAGGCAGCCCTGTGAGGGATAATTAGAAAAAGTATAATATTAAGAGTTAGGCATTTGTAAAGCAGGTAACCTGTTTGACAGAAAAAGAATTAAGGTTATTTACAACAAAGACTCCGGAAAGGTAAAGGAAGATAGGAGAGAGTAAAGCCCTTAGTGCTGATCTATGCCAGGTGTGCGAGACCCTAGTTAGGTATCAAAATAGCCTGTACAGTTCTGTTTTTGTTGTAATTTGGTTTTGTTTTGTTTTAATACATTTGTCCTGGTCTAAAGACTTGCACAATTTCTGGGAGTGGCCTTCTGTATAGCAGTTATTCATACAGGTCTCTGTTGGTTCTGTTAGAGACAAAGTTGAGTTACTGTGGCCTGGCTGTGCAAATACTCTTGTTTTCCTTTTCTACCAACTTTAAAAACAACACTAAAATAAAAACAAAATGTGTCATGTGAAGCAACTCATGTATGTTGCTATCTCTTGGATCCGGAAATATACTGACAAAATTGAAATGGAAGACCAGAGACAGAAAAAAACAAAAAAGCAATTTCTCACCATGCATATTATTTGAAACAAAAGAAATTTAAGTTACTGACATCTTGTTTGAACATCTTGTTTGGAGATTTCTAAAATCAAGTAATAATAAGTAACAGTAAATGGTACTGTGCCCATTATTATACTTTTAAGCTGTGTTAAATGTTAATGATATTGTCTTTAGCAATTTTTATTGTTTTTAGTGAAAGAAAAATATATTCACATCAGAGCATGGTTACCATTCATATTCTTCCTTTAAAGTCATATTTTTCATCATAAATTCTTATTACCTTGGTATATTTGGGACTGCTATGGTTGGGGCTATTTCAGATAACAAATAATTGCAAAGAAGTATTTACTTTTCATTGAAATATTCTTTAATTTTGTTTTATGACAGGATTGAGGTATGCCCTCAAACATTATTTCAGTGATTATTGTAGATAAGTATTCGAATCTTTCATCTGTTGGATATCTGGATAAATCAAATGGCCTGGCCATGGCAAACCACAAAATCCAGTTTCGTAGAGCTCATTTGTTTCAATGAAAGATTTTAATTAATCATATTGGTTGCATCACAATGATTTTGAAGTTACTTTGATATTAAATAAAAAAGAATTCTTATATAAGCAATGGTAATAAAGTACTAAAGTATTAATAAAGTATTGAGAATTTGAAATTGACTAGAGAATTCAAAAATGAGAAGAGACAAGTCAAGGTAAATTCCCTCATATTCACATCTACACCTTATGGGTTACAAACATTTGAATTCTGAAAGATAATGCTGGCACGACTGTGATGGTCAATGGGTTTATATCAAATAAACTATATTGTAGTTTATAAAATGGTTTTCTCTTACTATAGCCAATTAAAATCTTAAAAATAGAGTGTGTAATGTAGTACAGATTTTAAGTTGCCTTTATATGGCTTATGCTTCTTGTTATATTTGTGTTTTGGGGGGAATTCTTGGCAAGAGATTAGGTCCACATCTGATTTTATGAAATGAATCAACAATGACAGTAAAGTAATAAAGTCAACATAATGATTTAATTGTCTATGATTCACATAAGTCACTTAACAATTATATTTGTTTAGTGGTATGTTTATCATAAAGTTAATATGTTTCCAGATTGTTCAAGTTTTATATTGTTATATTTTTCAAATTTCATTTTATGAATAATGATAATTTATATTCCCTCAAACTTCCATGTATTACCATAGTTGATCTTTTCTGTTCATTCTCTGTTTTGAAAGAAATCTGACTTTTTACTTTCAAACATCTAGTTTTCATTATCTTGGAGCTAATTCAATCGCTGTGATACCTGGAAAAAATTACATTTTTTATCTTTTAGTTTGTAAGGAGACTTTTGAACCTGAAACAGAAACTGAATATTTTTGAGATTCACTAGATGGATTGGTTTTCTTAATATGCATTTGGTATAGTAATAATAACGTGTTATCTTTCAGGTATAATTTTCAATTCATATGAATATGAACAATTTATATTGAAATGCTGTGGCGTTTTTATTTGTTTAGTTCTTAGAAAGGGTAGCTGTTCTATGGGTTTACAGAGACAAGATTTTTATACATAATTGGAGATACTAGATGGAAGTAGTTTGGCTAAAAAGGAAAAAAAATTCTATTTGATTGAAGATGGAGGGCTGAGCATACATGATGACTTCTTATCCTTCCTGACACCTCACCTCATAGAGGCATATACATAAAGGAATAGATCCATGCAGCAAAGAAAATCAGAGAGACTTACTAGCACTTGGTATGTTTTCAAGAAATTACTAGGAGAAGGAAAAATGGGAATGAGCTAACTGATGGAACAAGCAGTGCAGAGGAGGAGATGGGAGGGAACTGATCAGCCTGCCTGAACCTTGGAGAGTCTCTCTTCTGAGAATCTGCAAGGATGAAGATACAGAGCTCAAAACAGGAGACTCAATTAAAGGACCATATCTGCAACTGGGACAATTGGCTCACCTACTTCACTTTTACAACCCAGATTAGAAACCAGTCTGATTTCAGTTCTTCTGAGCAATGAACCATATGGGAAAGGGTGACGTTTCTGTTGTGCCTCTTGGCATGCCACTACTAAGCCTACATTATTCTGGCTTGGGTTGGGGGGTGCAGTTTTCCTACCAGTTCCTGCCTTAAGTGAAATTCCTGCCTAAAGTGAAGCTTGCCCGTATCCAAAGCTACCCATGTGCACAGAGCTCCTAGTTAATGCTACCAAGTAGGCAAGAAGATAGGTGCAACCTGTTTTTATTATTATGCTTGTTCATTGTTTTCTGAAGCTGTCATTTCAAATGCTTGATTTTTCCATTATGTTCTTACCTTCAGTTTATTGTTCATTAAGTATTTGTTCCCCATTACACAGATTTTTCAAAAATTAAAGCAGACTCTTTTCTTTTTATTTATTTATTTATTTATTTATTTATTTATTTATTATTATACTTTAAGTTTTAGGGTACATGTGCACATTGTGCAGGTTAGTTACATACGTATACATGTGCCATGCTGGTGTGCTGCACCCACTAACTCGTCATCTAGCATTAGGTATATCTCCCAATGCTATCCCTCCCCCTTCCCCCCACCACACAACAGTCCCCAGAGTGTGATGTTCCCCTTCTTGTGTCCATGTGATCTCATTGTTCAATTCCCACCTATGAGTGAGAATATGCGGTGTTTGGTTTTTTTGTTCTTGCGATAGTTTACTGAGAATGATGATTTCCAATTTCATCCATGTCCCTACAAAGGACATGAACTCATCATTTTTTATGGCTGCATAGTATTCCATGGTGTATATGTGCCACATTTTCTTAATCCAGTCTATCATTGATGGACATTTGGGTTGGTTCCAAGTCTTTGCTATTGTGAATAATGCCACAATAAACATACGTGTGCATGTGTCTTTATAGCAGCATGATTTATAGTCCCTTGGGTATATACCCAGTAATGGGATGGCTGGATCACATGGTATTTCTAGTTCTAGATCCCTGAGGATTCGCCACACTGACTTCCACAAGGGTTGAACTAGTTGACAGTCCCACCAACAATGTAAAAGTGTTCCTATTTCTCCACATCCTCTCCAGCACCTGTTGTTTCCTGACTTTTTAATGATTGCCATTCTAAGTGGTGTGAGAAGGTGGCAAATCTCATTGTGGTTTTGATTTGCATTTGTCTGATGGCCAGTGATGGTGAGCATTTTTTCATGTGTGTTTTGGCTGCATAAATGTCTTCTTTTGAGAAGTGTCTGTTCATGTCCTTTGCCCACTTTTTGATGGGGTTGTTTGTTTTTTTCTTGTAAATTTGTTTGAGTTCATTGTAGATTCTGGATATTAGCCCTTTGTCAGATGAGTAGGTTGCGAAAATTTTCTCCCATTTTGTAGGCTGCCTGTTCACTCTGATGGTAGTTTCTTTTGCTGTGCAGAAGCTCTTTAGTTTAATTAGATCCCATTTGTCAATTTTGGCTTTTGTTGCCATTGCTTTTGGTGTTTTAGACATGAAGTCCTTGCCTGTGCCTATGTCCTGAATGGTATTGCCTAGGTTTTCTTCTAGGGTTTTTATGGTTTTAGGTCTAACATTTAAGTCCTGAATCCATCTTGAATTGATTTTTGTATAAGGTGTAAGGAAGGGATCCAGTTTCAGCTTTCTACATATGGCTAGCCAGTTTTCCCAGCACCATTTATTAAATAGGGAATCCTTTCCCCATTGCTTGTTTTTCTCAGGTTTGTCAAAGATCAGATAGTTGTAGCTATGTGGCATTATTTCTGAGGGCTCTGTTCTGTTCCATTGATCTATATCTCTGTTTTGGTACCAGTACCATGCTGTTTTGGTTACTGTAGCCTTGTAGTATAGTTTGAAGTCAGGTAGTGTGATGCCTCCAGCTTTGTCCTTTTGGCTTAGGATTGACTTGGCGATGCGGGCTCTTTTTTGGTTCCATATGAACTTTAAAGTAGTTTTTTCCAATTCTGTGAAGAAAGGCATTGGTAGCTTGATGGGGATGGCATTGAATCTGTAAATTACCTTGGGCAGTATGGCCATTTTCATGATATTGATTCTTCCTACCCATGAGCATGGAATGTTCTTCCATTTGTTTGTATCCTCTTTTATTTCGTTGAGCAGTGGTTTGTAGTTCTCCTTGAAGAGGTCCTTCACATCCCTTGTAAGTTGGATTCCTAGGTATTTTATTCTCTTTGAAGCAATTGTGAATGGGAGTTCACTCATGATTTGGCTCTCTGTCTGTTATTGGTGTATAAGAATGCTTGTGATTTTTGTACATTGATTTTGTATCCTGAGACTTTGCTGAAGTTGCTTATCAGCTTAAGGAGATTTTGGGCTGAGACAATGGGGTTTTCTAGATATACAATCATGTCATCTGCAAACAGGGACAATTTGACTTCCTCTTTTCCTAATTGAATACCCTTTATTTCCTTCTCCTGCCTAATTGCCCTGGCCAGAACTTCCAACACTATGTTGAATAGGAGTGGTGAGAGAGGGCATCCCTGTCTTGTGCTAGTGTTCAAAGTGAAAGCTTCCAGTTTTTGCCCATTCAGTATGATATTGGCTGTGGATTTGTCATAGATAGCTCTTATTATTTTGAAATATGTCCCATCAATACCTAATTTATTGAGAGTTTTTAGCATGAAGCGTTGTTGAATTTTGTCAAAGGCCTTTTCTGCATCTGTTGAGATAATCATGTGGTTTTTGTCTTTGGCTCTGTTTATATGCTGGATTACATTTATTGATTTGTGTATATTGAACCAGCCTTGCATCCCAGGGATGAAGCCCACTTGATCATGGTGGATAAGCTTTTTGATGTGCTGCTGGATTTGGTTTGCCAGTATTTTATTGAGGATTTTTGCATCAATGTTCATCAAGGATATTGGTCTAAAATTCTCTTTTTTGGTTGTGTCTTTGCCCGGCTTTGGTATCAGAATGATGCTGGCCTCATAAAATGAGTTAGGGAGGATTCCCTCTTTTTCTATTGATTGGAATAGTTTCAGAAGGAATGGTACTAGTTCCTCCTTGTACCTCTGGTAGAATTCGGCTGTGAATCCATCTGGTCCTGGACTCTTCTTGGTTGGTAAGCTATTGATTATTGCCACAATTTCAGATCCTGTTATTGGTCTTTTCAGAGATTGAACTTCTTCCTGGTTTATTCTTGGGAGAGTATATGTGTCAAGGACTTTATCCATTTCTTCTAGATTTTCTAGTTTATTTGCATAGAGGTGTTTGTAGTATTCTCTGATGGTAGTTTGTATTTCTGTGGGATCGGTGGTGATATCCCCTTTATCATTTTTTATTGCGTCTATTTGATTCTTCTCTCTTTTTTTCTTTATCATTCTTGCTAGCGGTCTATCAATTTTGTTGATCCTTTCAAAAAACCAGTTCCTGGATTCATTAATTTTTTGAAGGTTTTTTTGTGTCTGTATTTCCTTCAGTTCTGCTCTGATCTTAGTTATTTCTTGCCTTCTGCTAGCTTTTGAATGTGTTTGCCCTTGCTTTTCTAGTTCTTTTAATTGTGATGTTAGGGTGTTAATTTTGGATCTTTCCTGCTTTCTCTTGTGGGCATTTAGTGCTATAAATTTCCCTCTACACACTGCTTTGAATGCGTCCCAGAGATTCTGGTATGTTGTGTCTTTGTTCTTGTTGGTTTCAAAGAACATCTTTATTTCTGCCTTCATTTCGTTATGTACCCAGTAGTCATTCAGGAGCAGGTGGTTCAGTTTCCATGTAGTTGAGTGGTTTTGAGTGAGATTCTTAATCCTGAGTTCTAGTTTGATTGCACTGTGGTCTGAGAGATAGTTTGTTATAATTTCTGATCTTTTACATTTGCTGAGGAGATCTTTACTTCCAAGTATGTGGTCAGTTTTGGAATAGGTGTGGTGTGGTGCTGACAAAAATGTATATTCTGTTGATTTGGGGTGGAGAGTTCTGTAGATGTCTATTAGGTCCGCTTGGTGCAGAGCTGAGTTCAATTCCTGGGTATCCTTGTTGACTTTCTGTCTCGTTGATCTGTCTAATATTGACAGTGGGGTGTTAAAGTCTCCCATTATTAATGTGTGGGAGTCTAAGTCTCTTTGTAGGTCACTCAGGACTTGCTTTATGAATCTTGGTGCTCCTGTATTGGGTGCATATATATTTAGGATAGTTAGCTCTTCTTGTTGAATTGATCCCTTTAGCAGGATGTAATGGCCTTCTTTGTCTCTTTTGATCTTTGTTGGTTTAAAGTCTGTTTTATCCAAGACTAGGATTGCAACCCCTGCCTTTTTTTGTTTTCCATTTGCTTGGTAGATCTTCCTCCATCCTTTTATTTTGAGCCTATGTGTGTCTCTGCCCGTGAGATGGGTTTCCTGAACACAGCACACTGATGGGTCTTGACTCTTTATCCAATTTGCCAGTCTGTGTCTTTTAGTTGGAGCATTTAGTCCATTTACATTTAAAGTTAATAGTGTTATGTGTGAATTTGATCCTGTCATTATGATGTTAGCTGGTTATTTTGCTCGTTAGTTGATGCAGTTTCTTCCTAGTCTTGATGGTCGTTACATTTTGGCATGATTTTGCAGCGGCTGGTACTGGTTGTTCCTTTCCGTGTTTAGTGCTTCCTTCAGGAGCTCTTTTAGGGCAGGCCTGGTGGTGACAAAATCTCTCAGCATTTGCTTGAGCAGACTCTATTTTCAAGAGAAGTAGTTGAGTCTTAGGAGTCTGCAGAAACTACTTTTACCTCTGAAGACATTTGCTAATATGTTGATGGGATATAATTTAGGAACAATTAGTGTTTACATTTTATCATTTTAGTTTGAATTTAATAATAGCATAAGCTAACACTGTTATTTAATAGTGTACGTAAATGCTAACTGAATATATATGTATTCAGTTACTTATTCTTTATATCTTACAGGCAAAAAAGATACAACCCATGAGTGCTTACTTTTTCGGGTTGTACCTTTTTTGCCTGTAAGCCATAAAGAGTATTTTATTAAAACATTAAGAAATGTTAGTCTCATTAAGTAGAAGAGAAGAACATAATTCTTATTTTTAAGCCATTTAGTAGTGGGAATTGAATGTAGTGTTCAGAAACGTTGCAGTTAGATCCACTCTTAATTTTTCTCATTTCCTTAAATTTCATGGATATGCATATTGAGCTATTTTCGTATTCAATCTCAGCTAAATAAAGTAGCGCAAATATGCATGACTGAAATTACCTTCTATAAAAAGTTCCAAAAGCATTTGAAAAATATCCCACGGGTGATAAGTCTGTAATATTTTACTTTATTAAAATGCTGTACCTGGCTTCTGAGTGGTTATCTAAGAAGAAGAAAAGAATCTACAGTATAATGAGAGTTAACCATGTTTTGTCCAAAATGATTTTGAATCACCGTTCGGACAGATCTTGAAGACTAGTGGAAACTTCAAATGGCAGTATCGAACTTCTGTTCCTTTTGGGGTTGTTGAGTATATGAAGAATATTATTTTTCTGTGTCTGACAGTCGGTAGCTTTGACATGATTATAGTGAAGTATAATTTAGATGTTAGTTTTAACTATAATAGACTGTAACTCCTTGTATTTTGGGTGCTGTAGAAATTACCTTTCCCTTTGCATGTACGTGACAGTTAAGATCTGAAGAATCTTGATTAATGGTTCTTGGATTTATGTTTAAAGAAATCAAGGATGGGCATTTTTCTCATCTCCGTCTTTGGCATTTGAAACAGTATACAGGTTGAGTATTCCTTATCCAAAATGGTTGGAACCAGAAATGTTTCAGATTTTGGATTTTTTCATATTTTGTAATGTTTTCATACACGTAATGAGATATGTTGGGATGGGACCCAAGTCTTAACGTGAATTCATTTATTTTTTATGTATATCATAAACATATAGGTTGAAGGTAATTTAATGTAATATTTTGAATAATTTTGTGCATTAAACAAAGTTTGCATACATTGAATCATCAGAAAGCAAAGGTATCCCTGTCTCAGCCAGCCACGTGGATACTCTGTGGTGTTTGGCATCACTGTCATTCCTGACTCTGAATTTGTATGCTACTGATAAACAACTCTTTTATTAGACTTACTCACACATATGTACTTAACAGTGAAAAAAATGAGTTCAGAGTAACTAAGCAGCATAATAGCATCAAACAATGGCAGGCTTTCATACTTTACCTACAGTGCTGTTTTTGTTAAAAGGTTACTCTACTCTGTATTTTATTTTTTTTAGGTAAGAAGAAATATTGGAAACATTTGAGAGATCAAGAAATGGGTCCTCTAGGGATGAGGAGACCTTCTGAATAAACTATGTCCTGTGTTCCTGCATTTTGACAGCAACCCATCACATAAGGCCACTTACGGAATTTTCTACTTGTAGTGTCATGTCAGTGCTCAAAAACTTTCAGATGTTGGAGCATTTCAGATTTCAGATTTTCAGATTAGGGATGCACAACCTTTACAAAGGGCCTTTATAGAGATTTTAAATATATAACTTGTTGTCTACTGAGTAAAAGATGGGCTGCTTCTGTTTTTCTCCTAACAGTATTTTCAGCTTCTGTACTAACCAGTTCCAGATGTTCCACGATAAAGAAATATTTAATTTTCATATGAAATTTATGAAAGGAAAATGCATAGGAGGGCATTTTAGCAAAACAATAAGACAAAACAGCTTTTGACAGTTGGTTTGCTATTAATAAGTACATAGGAGTACACAGTAAATGGAAGGCTCATTTAGACCCTTAGAATTTTTCTTAGCAGGGGGCCCTTTACCTGAAATCATGGTACTAGTTTTAAACTTCATGTTCTTTTTTGTAAAGACATTTAAGGCGATCAGCTCTTTTCAAAATTAGGTTAATTTTTCAGAAAGAAATAATATATCAAATAAAAGGAATATTATGGTGGGTTCAGATGAATTTTAATTGAAACATAAGCAACAGAAAATTTTAAGATTCTTATATGTGGACCACTTTGTATAATGTGCCTACAAGGTAAAGATTTTGTGGTCATCTGAATTTTGGGAGAAGTAATTTTCCAAGAATTAATACTTAAGCTTTTTGAATCACAGTTTTGTATACCCAATTTCATTATTTGGTTCTGTGCGATATAGAATGTTCAAGGCTAACTATAATCATTTTTGTCCAATTTGTTTTAAAGAGGGTTCAGCAGCTCCAGGAATGGTATAATGGTGAATGATGTTTCCATATCAATACAGATCTACAAATATGAGTATATTTGAAGAAAAGCAAATTCATATTGAATTTAAAGGCATATAAATTGGATTTCTTTTCCATTCATGGACATCTACTTGTATAAAGAATAAAAATTACAGTTTGAATACATCCAAAACCTTTTCTCTTACCGAATTTCAATACTCTTTTCTAACAATGTCTTAGAATTTTGTAGTATATCTATTCCTCCCCTAGATAAGATCTGTAGCACACTTACTCTCTTCCTCCCTGTTACTATCCTAGAATGCTTTTGTATTTTAATTTTAGATTATTTCCTTTTAAAATTATGCATAAATAATTATTTAAATTTAGCTTCCTACTTTTTGGACACTACTATTGGACACCACCACATCTTTTTTTCTCTGGATTGATTTTTTTTTGTTTTACTGGAGTTGATCATTTAATAATTCTTAGATTGTATCTGAAGGTATTAAACTAGCCTGTTTTTGCATGACTGAAAATGTATATTTATTCTCACTTGATTGCTGATTAGACTTGACATAGAGTCCTATGTTTAAGTCATTTTATCTTAGATCTTTGAAAATACTATTCTATTGACTTTTCTGATATTGCTAAAAAGATTTCTGATATCAATATAATTTTTGTACCACTGTAGATGACCCTTTTTCATCCCTTCGTCCTCTTTCTTTCTCTTTGGAAGATTTTGGAATTTTTATCCTTGGGGTTTGATACTACGCTAGGATGCCATATTATTAATGCTTTGCCTCATCTGCCTCTCCCTGCACCTCTGCTTTTGTCTGAAACCCGAATCTACCTTTAGCTAAGGGAAATTTTCTTCTTTCATTTCTGTGATTGCTTTTTCTACTCAGTTCCGTTTTATTCTTTTTTTCAGTAGCTACTAGAACTTCTAGATCTATCCTCCTTTTCTCTTACTTTATATTTCCTCATTTTGCAGGGGATTCTGAATAATCTTTTGTCTTTGTCTTCTATCTCAATAATTTTATCTTTAGCTACGTCCTTTAATTTTTTTTTTTTTTTTTTTCCTGAGAGTCTCGCTTTCTCACCCAGGCTGGGATGCAGTGATGCAATCTTGGCTCACTGCAACCTCTGCTTCCTGGGTTCAAGTGATTCTCCCACCTCAGCCTCCAGAGTACCTGGGATTACAGGTGCACGCCACCATGCCTGGCCAATTTTTGTATTTTTAGTACAGACAGGATCTCACCATGTTGGCCAGGCTGGTCTTAAAGGTCCTTTAATTTTTCATTTTCTTTTTTAAGGCTTTGTATTGTCATTATTTTGTTAGTCATGTTTTTAATTTTGTAGCAGTCTTTTCCATAATTGTTTTTTTTTGTCTGTGTGCTATCTTTTCAAATCTCACTGAGAATTACAATTATATTTAACGTTTTCCTCTGTTTCTTTTACTCTGCTGAGTGTTATTTCTTCAATATGTTAAGTTTGGTGACTTTCTTGCTAATTTTTCCTCAAGTGTTTGGTGATTTTTGGTTGTTTGTTGTTTGTTGAATAGTTGAGAGCCTAGGCTGAACAGTCTTGGTGGCTGGAGGGTATTTATTTCATCAGCCCAAATGAGAATCCCTTTTTACTTCTTGTACTATGTAGATTCTCATTACAGAAGCCTTCATCCAATAACTGCAGGGCAAAAGAAGTGGGTGTGGCTGGGCAGGGTATTCCCGGTTGTAGAAGTTTTTCACCTGGGTTTCGGACTACATTTCCATAAATTGGCTGCTACCTTGTTCTGTTTCTCTAATCTGGGACTCTCCATAGTCAGAAATTGCATTTGGGAGAATGTACTCCTGCTTTTGTTATTTATTGACCATGAGCTTTGAGTTTCTCTGAGCCTCTATAGCAGACTCACACTTTCTTGTTTTAGCTGCAGGTTTCTCCAATGTGATTTTGCCTTTAAACTAATCACATCTCCTCTGATTTGTGTTTGTTTACAGAGCTTCTTCAAAATTTTTGGTCTGCAGTGGTATTATTTTCCTGCACTATCATTCTTTCTTCTTTTTAGTAATATATTTTATATGGAATTTGAGGGGAAAGGAAAGAGGTAAATGTGTCCTCATTGGCCATCCATTCTTTTTTAAAGTAAAATGGAAAAATACAGATTTTGAAATTAAGAGAACTAAGAGATGATGAAACCATTTCAATGGAGACTTATCAACATATTATGAAGGGAGGAAAATGTGCTGAATATTGCTGATGTTTAATGAATTTAGAAAGGACATTTATTTAGCATTAGCCTCTGTCACCAATTTATTATTTTTCCCTGTGGAAACTAATGACTTTGGAGAAATTTCTTGGGTAATGTTTATTGTTAGTCATCCTGTTTAAGAACAACTTGCTTAAGGTGATATTTTTATTTCATGGTAGCAAATGGATTGTTTTGACATATTCAGTGTGGACCCATTTAAAGTAGGCATGTTATTTTCAAAAGTGCCATGGCATGTCAGTATCTTGTAAATTCTAACTTAACCAATATTAAAGAAGTAAACCTTCATGTACTTTAATGGAGATCACAAAAGGACTTCACTGT
Source organism: Homo sapiens (assembly GCF_000001405.40). Classification (NCBI taxonomy): domain Eukaryota; kingdom Metazoa; phylum Chordata; class Mammalia; order Primates; family Hominidae; genus Homo; species Homo sapiens. The sequence continues at coordinate 116,260,591 of NC_000005.10, forward strand.
CTTGTTCTATGCAAGATTTAGTAAAAACAGAGTATTAGGTGTTATAGTAATGGTCATGCAAAGCAGTAGCTCATCTGTACAAGAAAATTAATGGTCTTCTAAAATGGCCAGAGATTTGTTTATAACTTCATTTTAATTAATTACATTTTTGGAAAATGAGTTGAATTTAAGATTAGACCCCAGGCTTGAATTTGTCATATTTTTTATAATGGTATTTTGAAACAAAGTTTGCTAATAGATGTTTAAAAGAGAGTAAGAAAATATTTACATAGGGTTTATTTGTGGAGTAAGTATTGTGTCTTTGTCATTATTCAAAAATAGAAAAAAGTTGTGAAGCAACATGTTCTCTTTGTGAATGTTGAAAATTACTAACAGATCTGTGCGATTGGTTTTGTATGCCTTGTGAAGACTTGCCAAATTTGATTTTATTTTTCTCTTTTACTTTTTTCTAGTAAAGCCAAGTCCTACTTGAGAGACATCAGTAGCCTATGGAAATTTGTTGCTTTTCTTTGAAAAGTGCACCTGCATCCAAAACTGAGTAAAAACATATTTCAGGAAGAAAACTATAACTAATTAAATTTCTCAGTACTACCTAATTTGCCAATATAACTAGTTTTGGTTAAAAAGAAGTTGATTATAATGTTCATAACTGTATATTGAACAGAAAAACTGGATGCAATCAGAAATCATAGGTGTAGTCAAGGAGATGAAAATTGTAGATGTGACCGTTGCTATTTGCTTTTAAGGTTTCCTAATCTTGCCTAGCGTAATGACTGAGTTTTATGGGTATTTGGAGGATTTTCTTGTTCCAGGTGGTGGTCGTCCTCCTTATTTTATTTTTTGGTAAGGCTAGGAGTAATGTAGATGTGTATTCTTCTCATAACTTAGTAAAACTCTTTTATCAAATTGGTCAGTGCAGCCTGCAGCTGGGGACTTCTAAAAACATGTTACCATGACTAGAAATTTTTATTTCAGTGCACTTACTTGACATCTTTCTGGTTATTATTGACCAAAACACTTGACTCCTGCCTCTTCTTTCTTTTTATCCATTTTGTTGTCCTTATTTTGCATATTTTTGCATATGTACAGATTTCTGGCTTCCTCATTCCTATCAACAACCAGAATAACTTTTAGTGGTCTAACTTGTATCTTCACTTATCAACTTAAACTGTTCTTTTTGAAATGTTACCAGTGGGTTCAGTGCTCCTGTCTCTGTTCTCTGTCTCTGGATCTCTCTTCAACCTTTGGTTCCACTGGCCAGCCATTCTTAACTGTTTCGGTTTCAGAAATATTTTTTCCCTTTAGTTTTATAATAATAATTAGCTAATTTTTCTTGAGCACTTACTTTGTATCTTTGACTATTCTAAGCACTTTACATGTCATATGATCTTTAACACAATCCTTAGAGATCTAAGTTTGTATTATTTTTTCCACTTTCAGATAAAGAAGGTAAGGCACAGAGAGGTTAATTACTTTGTTTGAGGCCACACTAATAAGTGGTAGAATCAGGATTCAGACACAGGCAGTCTGACTAAAGAGCTGGTACTTTTCCTCTTTAGATGCTATACTATTCTGATGAGTGTCTCCTCTCATCTTTTTCTGTTTGGATCTAGTTGTGTATATTTTCATTTGCCCTACACTTACCTGGTTAGGTTAAAATTTCTACATCCCTCAAAACTGCTGAAGTATCAGTTAAAAATATAGTTTTCAACAGAATAGAAGTTTAATACATGTTGTGAACCAATTTCTTCGTGTTGCCTTTTGAAATTAAATTTAAAGAGAGCAGTCATTAATGGCTCAAAGTTAGACCTAAGAGGATTTATAGGTGATGTGTATATGTGTTTTTGTTTTATCCATCATTCTTCAGTTTCTTAATTACCAATACTATACCAAGACAAATGCCTGCATTTCATCATTAACCATTAAAATATGATTTTCTTAGAGTTGAAGATTGAATTTAGGGCCAGTTTTTTCAAGTACATTAATTATGTTTAAATGTGTAAGTCTACTCATTATAAAAGTGAATTATTTTGTAAGTGTTGGTTATTAAGTCTGTGTATTCCCAAGATTTTCAGTCTGAAGTGAGCTGCAGATACAATGCCTAAGCATTTTGTCCTTTGTATTTTGTACCAGCAAAATGAAAATCATTTTTTATAGCCTCATTACTCATTCCCAAAATGACCTGAGGTACCAGTTAGGTCCATTTGCACAATATCTGGCAATATTTCTATGTCAAATATGTTACAATCTGGTATTTAAAATGGCCACTGTAAGTATTATCAGGCACTATTGTTCCTTTTTAAAAAACAGTATAAAATTTGAAAACAGTGCTTTGGAAATTATGTCTTTAGTGGCTGTAATATAAATGGTTAACCTTACAAAGGGAAAACATGAAATTGTTTGAAATTGGTTTATATTGGTTGTCATGCTAAACATATTTTTTAATAGTTTGCTTATTTGGTTTGATATTGGTTGTCATGATTTAAAATGCTATGGTTGTGTAGAAGTTCTTCACGAATATATAAGCCGTTTTTACTTACACATATATTTTAGAAAATGAATAGTTTATATTTTTGCTGTTGGAGGACTTTTTAAAAACATCTATGAAACACTAAGATACGTCTGAATTGGAGCTGAGGACTAAGCTCTCATTTATCTTGCCCAAATTCCTACATAAGGGATCTAGAGAGTCATGCCCTACAAACCATAAATTCTCATCAGATGGGTTTTATTTGACCCTATGTATCATGACTTACTTTTCAATCTGACTCTGGCATAACATTACGAGACAAGGAAAAAATATTTAACCCCAAAATATATTTCCTTGCCATACCTTGAAATTGCCCTGCAAAGTCTCTTGTGGGAAAAATCCACATCTTATAGAGAATCCCCTTTCCTCTTTGTTTTCCTTCCTTTCTTTCCAGATCCAGGCGATAATCAACTAAGAGCCAGGCACCCTTTTAGGTCCGATAAGAAACATTTTACAGCCTGCTCTCTCTCTGAAGTCTGCTCTCTGAGAGATTCCTCTGCCCAATAAAACTTGGTCTCCACAATCGTTTTTCTTAACTTGAACATTCCTTTCCATTGATCCCAGGTCTTGAGATAAACTCGACCAATTGTCAACTAGAAAATATTTAAATTTACCTATAGCCTGGAAGCTCCCCGCGCCCCTACTTTTTGTTCTCCTGCCTTTCTGAACCAAACCAGTGTATTTCTTAAATCTATTTGATTGATATCTCATGCCTCCCTAAAAATATATAAAACCAAAATGTACCCCGACCACCTTGGGCACATGTTCTCAGGACCTCCTGAGGGCTGTGTCACAAGCCATGGTCGCTCATATTTGGCTCAGAATAAATCTCTTCAAATGTTTTACGGAGTTTGACTCTTTTCGTCGACAGAGCAAACCGTACTTCCTGAAAAGATTAAGAGTTAGACAGCTAGACTTTATTCAGAGTGTGAACCTATGTACCTACTATGTAAAATGCAAGAGCTTTAGAGCCTTTAACTAAAGGAGTGGCCCCTAAATCAAGTCAAACTCTTCTGTTTCCCAACTACCTCTTGCTGTATAGGAGCCATCTGGCTCTGCTTTCTCAGGTGTACATTCTTAGAGGAATTTTAGTGATTAAAGTACAGGCCTTGGTGCTGGGGGAAGAAAGAGGGTTTTCTTCTGCAGGTTTGTTAAACTGTAATTCAGGTCAAATTTCGAATATACGTATGAAGGCACAAAAGTGTTTAATATTTTAGTTTATTCCCTTTAGTAGTTACAAAAATTACTGCTTAGTGAAAACTTAGCATCAGGATATCCCTTCACTAAAATCTAGGTCTGTAATTTGACAATTCATTTCACAGCACCTGACATTACTGTTACATTCACTGTAGCACTTAGCATGCAAAGATTATATTTTCTACAACTCTCAGTCTCCTCTGTTATTGGATGATGCGAGCGCATTAACTACAAAGTCACGTAAAGGTCAAGTCAAGGCTTAATTTGAAAACAGAAGCCTGAGACCCATCCGTTTACATAACAGACACAGCACTGTGGTCTCCTGTGTGACTGTTAGGTCTGAGCACTGCCCCATATTGCTAATTTCTCACATTGCTTTTCTTAACATTTTTTTTCTTTAGGAGCTTGATGGAGAGATATACCATTTCTGTCAGGTTTTGCAAAATGTCTTGAGCTCCTTGAAAAATAGATGTCATGTAAATGCAAAGTACGGTCAGTTCTTTTAGCCTAAGACATTATTTGATTTTTATAGCAAGTCTATTCCATGTAAATGACATGCAGTCATATAGCTTACCATGAATACGTTCATGTCCTAAAAATCTCAGATACTGCCTATATTCAGAGTAGCTAACATTTAATTTTGTTTTCATGTGTTCTTTGAAAAGAGTAGGGAAAATGTTTTTTATATTATTATGGCTTAATCTCTGGATTTGGTCACCAGTGAAATGAATTTCATAGCCTCATTCTATTACAGACATTTTGTCTGCTTCGCAAAATAACACAATTTTGCATTATTGGTGGTCTGTGTTCAAGAGACATTACATCTAAAGAGAGCTAGAAATTGCAATTTAATACTAAGCAATGTGATGTGGGAAAGGAGGCCAACTCTCCACATGCTCTTTCTGCTAGAGCATAATATTCTGCATATTGACTTTTTTTTCACTATCCCCAAAAGTCAGGATTTTTCATTAAGTTCTGATAATACTGTTGAAATTGACCTTGATTATTCATGTAAAGGGCCTCTCAGACAACCTATAGGTATGAGAATAGCTTTCAGAATTGTAATCATATTTAGGTTATATTTAAGCAGTGATGTTACACACTTCCCAAAAAGTAATTTATTGGGACATTTACATAACTCTGTGTACTTAAATTTATCTACTTATTGCTTATTTAAAACATTACATATGAGAGTTTGTGTTTTCCTTACTCACCATTTTCCATACGGCTTTATTTTCCTCTTAGTTTGAAAACTTAAAAAAAATTCAAGTTAACAAGCATTTATTAAACATCTGTTGTATTCAAGGCCCTGGGCTACGTACATGTGGAACATAAAAAATGATGATGATGACAGTGATTGCAAACACTTGCAATAAGTCCTCATATTGCTGTCAAGTAGGTGCTGTTGTTATGCCATATTACAAATGAAGCAGATGAGCCATAGAATATTTCATAATTTGCTCAAGGTCACACAGCCAGTGATTTGAGAAGACTGGCTTAAAACACATGCAGTTCGACACCAGAGATGACACTCTTAACCACTGTGCTATACTAAAATGAAGACAAGATCCTACCCTTAAGAACCTTTCATCCTACTAGAAAAGTGGTAATACATATTCAGAGAAAAAAACAAAAAGAAAACAGTAAGTCAGTATGTGTTAGGTGCTGCATTACTGGCTCAAATATGGAAGACATTGGTGCTCAGAAAGAGATGTATTTCTTTTGGGAGGTGGGGAAGGCCTCCTGGAAGAAGTGTTTTAGCTGACCCTTAAAAAAGCGGCAGGATTTTGTCAAGTGAAGTTAATTAGAGGAAGACCTTCTCCTTAAGGGGGCAATGAGAACAAAGGCATTGTTTTCAGGAAAATGCAGTGCCCAAAGTTAATTTGACTATATGAAAAAGAAAAATATTTATACCTATGCAGACCTTTGAATGTAATGCATGTTTTCATTTAAAATTAGAAATTTATATAATTTTTGAGGTATTATGGATCCAAATTGTAGATTTTTTAAAGGTTAAGCTGTTATATTTTTCTTTTTAACTAAAGGGGTATATTTCAATGGAAAGGAGTTGCCCAAACTGAAATCCGCAGCGATGCTAAGGAATAACATTTATTTCATATGAAAATATTGTAAAATATTTTATGGATATTGTTTTTTACATCTAATCTTAACATTATCTGTAAGCTGAACTTTGATGCAGTAGTAGTAAACCTACTTTCTACAGGAACTACTTCTATTACACTCTTTAATTTAAATCTCTTTCCATAACCTGTCAATATTTAAAGTACAACAAAAGATAGTTGCACTCAGAATAAAAATTTGTTTTCACAGAGAATTTTAGCCCATTATCCCTGATGAACATCGATGCAAAAATCCTCAATAAAACACTGGCAAACTGAATCCAGCAGCACATCAAAAAGCTTAACCACCATGATCAAGTGGGCTTCATCCCTGGGATGCAAGGCTGGTTCAACATACGCAAATCAATGAATGTAATCCATCATATAAACAGAACCAAAGACAAAAACGACAAGATTATCTCAATAGATGCAGAAAAGGCCTTTGACAAAATTCAACAGCCGTTCATGCTAAACACTCTCAATAAATTAGGTATTGATGGGATATATCTCAAAATAATAAGAGCTATTTATGACAGACCCACAGCCAATATCATACTGAATGGACAAAAACTGGAAGCATTCCCTTTGAAAAGTGGCACAAGACAAGGATGCCCTCTCTCACCACTCCTATTCAACATAGTATTGGAAATTCTGGCCAGGGCAATCAGACAGGAGAAAGAAATAAAGGGTAGTCAATTAGGAAAAGAGGAAGTCAAATGGTCCCTGTTTGCAGATGACATGATTGTGTATTTAGAAAACCTCATTGTCTCCAGCCCAAAATCTCCTTAAGCTGATAAGCAACTTCAGCAAAGTCTCAGGACACAAAATCAATGTGCAAAAATCACAAGCATTCCTATACACCAATAACAGACAAACAGAGAGTGAAATCATGAGTGAACTCCCATTCACAATGGCTTCAAAGAGAATAAAATACCTAGGAATCCAATTTACAAGGGATGTGAAGGACCTCTTCAAGGAGAACTACAAACCACTGCTCAACGAAATAAAAGAGGACACAAACAAATGGAAGAACATTCTATGTTCATGGATAGGAAGAATCAATATCATGAAAATGGCCATACTGCCCAAGGTAATTTACAGATTCAATGCCATCCCCATCAAGCTACCACTGACTTTCTTCACAGAATTGGAAAAAACTACTTTAAAGTTCATATGGAACCAAAAAAGAGCCTGCATTGCCAAGACAATCATAAGCCAAAAGAACAAAGCTGGAGGCATCACATTACCTGACTTCAGACTATACTACAAGGCTACAGTAACCAAAACAGCATGGTACTGGTACCAAAACAGAGATATAGCTCAATGGAACAGAACAGAGTCCTCAGACATAATACCACACATCTACAACCATCTGATCTTTGACAAACCTGAGAAAAACAAGCAATGGGGAAAGGATTCCCTATTTAATAAATGGTGCTGGGAAAACTGGCTAGCCATATGTAGAAAGCTGAAACTGGATCCCTTCCTTACACCTTATACAAAAATTAATTCGAGATGGATTAAAGACTTACATGTTAGACCTAAAACCATAAAAACCCTAGAAGAAAACCTAGGCAATACCATTCAGGACATAGGCATGGGCAAGGACTTCATGTCTAAAACACCAAAAGCAATGGTAACAAAAGCCAAAATTGACAAATGGGATCTAATTAAACTAAAGAGCTTCTGCACAGCAAAAGAAACTACCATTAGAATGAACAGGCAACCTACAGAATGGAAGAAAATGTTTGCAATCTACCCATCTGACAAAGGGCTAATATCCAGAATCTACAAAGAACTTAAACAAATTTACAAGAAAAAAATCAAACAACTCCATCAAAAAGTGGGTGAAGGATATGAACAGACACTTCTCAAAAGAAGACATTTATGCAGCCAAAAAACACATGAAAAAATGCTCATCATCACTGGCCATCAGACAAATGCAAATCAAAACCACAATGAGATACCATCTCATACCAGTTAGAATGGCAATCATTAAAAAGTCAGGAAACAACAGGTGCTGGAGAGGATGTGGAGAAATAGGAACACTTTTACACTATTGGTGAGACTGTAAACTAGTTCAACCATTGTGGAAGACAGTGTGGCGATTCCTCAAGGATCTAGAACTAGAAATACCATTTGACCCAGCCATCCCATTACTGGGTATATACCCAAAGGAATATAAATCATGCTGCTATAAAGACACACACATATGTTTATTGCGGCACTATTCACAATAGCAAAGACTTGGAACCAACCCAAATGCCCATCAGTGATAGACTGGATTAAGAAAATGTGACACACATGCACCATGGAATACTGTGCAGCCATAAAAAAGGATGAGTTTATGTCCTTTGTACGGACATGGATGAAGCTGGAAACCATCATTCTCAGGAAACTATTGCAAGGACAGAAAACCAAACACCGCATATTCTCACTCATAGGTGGGAATTGAACAATGAGAACACTTGGACACAGAGAGAGGAACATCACAAACCGGAGCCTGTTGTGGGGTGGGGGGAAGGGAAAGGGATAGCATTAGGAGATATACCTAATGTAAATGACGAGTTAATGGGTGCAGCACACCAACATGGCACGTGTATACATATGTAACAAACCTGCATGTTGTGCACATGTACCCTAGAGCTTAAAGTATAATAATAATAATTTAAAAAGATAAAAATGCTTAAACAGAAAAAAAATTGGTTTTTACTGTCATGAATTTTTCCCACGTTTATGTTTATTAACAACTGACACAAACAAAACCTGTACAGAAAGTACTCTTTATTATACACTTTATTTCAAAGTACTGAAATAGTGTTTTATGATCATAGTATTTCTAGAGGAAAGATTTTCTCCCAAGCCTTTAAGGGGAAAGCTAATCCACTTGGAGAAATTTTGGGCCACCCACCAAACCTGTGATTTCCTGCCCCAATTTATGAACCAAGTTATACTGAGATCGTTAAATGGTGTGATTTCTCCTTATGACTTTCACATTTTACTTTATAGGTTATATTGACTTTTAGATTTCAGGTAGTAAAATAAAAAATCTTATGCAGTTCAAGTTAGAAAAATTGGATTAGTCCAAGTGATATTTTCACCTGGTATTTTTTTTCAGGCATTTCAATGTTACTTTTTATTACATTTATAAAATTATATGTTTTAAATTGTATGGTTTTCCCTTATCTTTTTGAAAAATACCATACTGATTCATCTCAAATATTTTAGCCTCTTCTTAAGTTTCCCTTTCCCCTCAACTTTTCCGTAAGCGCACAAAAGAAAGTATTGATTTTTGCCAATTATTTTGGTTGCTGAGGTTGTAAGCCATCTTGGTTTGCTTACATGTAGGTTATTAAAGTACCCTTCCTAGTCTGACTTGCCAGTCTTACTTCTCTACCTTTTGTTAGAGGAATAAGGGATGAGGATGAGAGAATTAATATATATTTTTTACCCCATTTCTGCATATTTTAATCCCATCTCCAGAAACCAGGTTAATTTCACCTCTGTCACAAATTTGAAAGGAAGGGAAAAGATGTATTAATTGCCATTTTTATTGTTATTTTCTGACTTTCAAGCCTTCTAATCTAAGGTTAGTAAATGGACAGCATTTAAAAAAATATTCTTGTTATCTTGACATAATGAAGAATTATGTTTTTGAGTATTTTGTCCATTGTTTCTTATTTCCTACTTTACATTTTTATTTACAGCAAGGTTTTATCCTTTTACTAAAGGGAAGGAGATGGGATGAATGGCAGACTTTAACTGGATGCTTTATTTAGGCTTTTCGAAAGCAAAAAAAGTTTATACATTGTTACAGCTGGGTGTTGGGTTACAGGCTGTTTGTTATATTCATGTATTAGTTCCTGTTATTTTAACATTTTAAATATTTCATAATTGAAAAAGGAAAAATTAGACTGGGACCAGTTTATAGAAAGCTTTAACTTCTAGGCAAAAAAGGTAGAACTTTACAGTTGGTTGTGGAGAAGATATTGACTGTCTTTTGTAGAGAGTAGCATTTCGAAAAACTGAATTTGGCGTCTGTATTTAGAACGGTCTAGAGAATGGAGATACTGATGAAAAGGAATGTTAGCAAATTCAGCATTCTGATTTCTGAAAAATGAGTGCTTAGATTAGGTAGTGGCATGGGGACTAGAAAGAACAGGGATGCTGCTGCTTTGTATAATCATTCCCATTATATAAAGGTTATATATAAATTAGGACGGACACGGTGGCTCACACCTGTAATCCCAGCACTTTGGGAGGCCGAGGTGGATGGATCAGCTGAGGTCAGGAGCTCACGACCAGCCTGACGAACATGGTGAAACCCCATCTCTACTGAATACAGAAGAATTAGTTGGGCTTGATGGTGCATACCTGTAATCCGAACACTACTTGGGAGGCTGAGACAGGAAAATAACTTGTACCTGGGAGGTGGAGGTTGCAGTCAGCCGAGATCACACCATTACACTCCAGCATGGGCAACGAGCAAAACTCTGTCTCAAAAAATAATAATAAAGATTATATATAAATAAATAAAATCACACCATTTAACAATCTCAGTATAACTTGGTTCATAAATTGGGGCAGGAAATCACAGGTTTGGTGGGTGGCCCAAAATTTCTCCAAGTGGATTAGCTTTCCCCTTAAAGGCTTGGGAGAAAATCTTTCCTCTAGAAATATATGATCATAAAACACTATTTCAGTACTTTGAAATAAAGTGTATATTAAAGAGTACTCTCTGTACAGGTTTTGTTTATGTCAGTTTTTAATAAACATAAACATGGGGAAAATTCACATGATAGTAAAAACAATTTTTTTTCCTGTTTAAGCATTTTTATCTTTTTAAATTTTTATATATTTAATATATAAAATATATATAAAATATAAATATATATTTATATTTATGATTATATAAAATTCCTATATCTTTATATTATCATTTCCATAACCATTTTAGTAAGCATCCCCAAATAGAAGTTAGGGTGTATTACTAATTCTGCTTAATATACTTTGTATACTTTTGTTTCCTATCTCAAATCTAGTTTCTATTATGTAAGTATAAGTACCCTCCATGAATTGGGTTAACATTCTAAACCATGACCAGACTGAGAGCATGACGACTAATGTGGTTTTTACTCCTAAGCTACCAGTATGGAAGATCAACATTTAAGAAGGCATTAGTCATCTGTGCTGCTGAAAATAATGGTTTCACATTAGTCTGGACCAATTAGAAGGAGCCTATGTCTACTTGGAAGAGTTTGATTTGCAGCATAGTCCTTGGCTGCTTCTACAAGACTTGGCAAACTTTTGTTTAAGTCAGACCCTGCTTAAATGTCTAAAAGGAAACTCTTAGGCCATTATTTCCCCCTACTTTACATAATATTGCTCCATACAAACATTCCACTTTTACAAAATCATTTACTTTTTCCCAACTCTGTGATACAAATGAGTTATCTTTTCGTAACCACCAACCTCTCAGTTTTATATTTGTTAGCTCAGATCTGACATGAAAGTAAAAATTACTTATAACCACTTTGGGATTACACAAATTTAACCTGTTCCCATGTTGTATTCAGTCCTCTGTGAAATACGAGGGTACTTCAAAAAGGTCAAGGAAAAATTGAATTAAAATATAAAAATAAAAGATGCAAATTTTATTTCTCAACATAGGCTCCATTAAGGTCGAGACACTTTTCTAAGCGATAATACCAGCCATTTAGTCCATCCCTCATTTCTTTTGGAATTGAGGAATTTAGCCATGTCAGTGCAGTCTTTTTGTACCTTACTAACTGAAAAAAATGGGTATTCTTTATAGATATTTTTAAGATCAGGAAATAAAAAGTCAGAGGAGGCAAATCAGGTTTGTAAGGGGGATGCTTAATGGCTTCCTATTGAAACTCTTGTAAAATTGCTCTGTGTGATTAGAGGAATGAGCAGGAGCTTTGTCGTAGTGGAGGAGGACTCTAGTGAAGCTTTCTTAGGTGTTTTTCTGCCAAAGTTTTGGCTAATGCTCTCAAAACACTTTCATAATAAGCAGATGTTATCATTCTTTGGCCTCCCAGAAAGTCAGTAGGCAAAATGACTTGAACATCCCAGAACACTGTTGCCATAGCCTTTGCTCGTGACTGGACCACTTTCATCTCTTGGTAGCCATTGTTCTGACTGTGCTTTGTCTTCAGGATCATACTGGTAATGCCATATTACATATCCTGTTACCATTCTTGGAAGAAATGCTTCGGAATCTTTATCCCACTCATTTAAATTTTCATTGAAAGCTCTGTTCTTGTCTGCAGTTGATCTGGGTGTTGTAAGAGTTTTGGCATCCATCTAGTGGACAGTTTGCTGAACTTATTTCTCAATCACAATCGTGTAAGCTGAACCAATTGAGATGTCTGTGGTGTTGGCTCTGGTTTCTGCTCTTAATTTCGGTTCTCTTAGGGCATGAACAAGATTATTTTTTTCCTCTCAAATGGATGTGGATGGTCTGTCACTGTGGGCTTCATCTTCAATGTTGTCTCGTCCCTTCTTAAAACAAGTTATCCATTTGGAAACTGCTCATTTCTTTTGGGCATTGTCTCCATCAAGTCTTTATAAAACATCAATGATTTCACCACATTTCACCCACAATTCATCTTAAATGTGATGCTTGTTCTTGCTTCACTTTTAGAAGAATTCAGTTTGCTCTGATAGGGGCTATTTTTAAATGAATGTCCTATCCTTCTTAGTGCCTCAAACTAGATCCTGTTCAGACATACTGTAAAAAGTTAGTATATTTTGGTGCAAAAGAATTTTGAAATCCATGCATAGTTTTTTCATAATATGCATTTTTCATGAGCTTTTTGAAGAACCCTCCTTGTAATGTATCTTAATTCCCTATTCCATTAAATCTATGATTTTGAACCAGCCATATGTGACCTGTAATCAAAAAGTGATGTTTGATAGATGCTGTCACCATTCTGTCATTTTTCCTCATCCAAGATAGAAGATGTCTTCGAAAGCTTTGTATATGTTCCAGTCCTATAAAACAATTCTACAAAACAATTTCAAGTTCAAAATTATTATTGAGAACTTTTAAACAGGATATTTAGAAGTTTGTTTTATTAACTTGGCCTAGGTCACAAAACTCATTAATATTAATGACTAGACTACAGAGGCATGTAGCCTGTCTAAACATTAACAGATACAAAACATTAAACCAAATTGTGAAGCTTCGTTATGCTATGAGTCATTTCAGGCAAAGACCAATATAGCAAGCAAAAGCTGAACAGTCCAGTTGAAATGTTTCTGATCTAAGCCTTTGACTTCTGTTTGTAGATGAACTGGAGTTTTGAAACTGACACTCAAATTTTTTATTGACTTCATATGAATAAATGATTCATTAAAATATAATACTTGGAACTAAAGTCATCATTCAAAAAAGGCATTTATTATTAATAAACTACAGAAAAGAGAAAATTTGAGGGTACAATTTACTTTTTTTAAAGTATCTTAAAATTGCATTTATTTTCTCTTAGAGAACTTTAGATGATATCAGTCATTACTAATGTCATAAAATGTATGTAAATATGAGCTAAGTGATGTATTTTATTTACCCAAAGATATGATCTAACAGCCTCTGCAACTGTCACCAACCTTTCCTATAAAACAGCAATATATTAAATGATAGTGAAGAGGGTCTGAAATTTCAACCTTGAGATGCACTTACACTGTATTCAGTACAGCAGATTTATACTTCTACTTATATATCAACAACAGGTCTTTCTAACTGGCAAGTCTTGTGGTAAACATGAGAAATATGGATGCTTATTAGGTCACTTTTGGTAAATAGAACTAATAATTTGAGACATTTGTCTACAATAGAGTTTGGCAAACTTTCTTCTGTAAAACACCAAATAGTAAATTCTTTAAATTTGCAGACTATACAGCTCTGCTGTTACAACACAAAAGTAGGCTTAGACACTATATAAAAGAATGAGTGTGGCTGTGTTCCAATAAACCTTTATTTACAAAAACTGAAAGTAGGTCAGATTTTTCCCAAAAGCTGACAGCAGGTCACACTTGGCCTGCGGACTATCAATCCCTGAGCTACATTTGCTTGATTTTCTTACTGTATACTCATTCCTCTGTTCAGCTGGGCTTGGCTTTTCCCCATCACTGCACCAAAATACTTTTGCCAATATCAGTAACATTCTCATCATTGAATTAAAATGAACACTTACCAGTCCTTGTCTCATTTGGATTCTTGGGAGCAGTTGACATTCTAATCAATCTGTCCTTAAAATTTTTTCTTTCTTTAGTGTCCCTGACCTACCTCTAGTTTTTAACCCACCTCTCAAGGCAGTCTCTTAATTATTGGTGTGCCTTAAGGATTTATTATTGATCTTCTTGACACATTTGCCTTAAGCAGTACTTTGTGTTACTATAGCTCTAATTTCTGTCTGTTTTTCTCCCTCCTGAGCACTCTTAAGTATTAATCTGTAGCCCAGATTCCTAATTTAAATACTGAGTTTGTACATCTAATGGCCTGCTGGTATTTTCTACATGCTTATCCAAAGATACTTGGAAATACCTGTCTTAAACTGAACTTGAAATTCCCAACCTCTATTTCATCCCCAAGATTACTTCCCTCAACCCCCATTCTATCTCAATGAATGGCCCTACCCATCTTTCACTTGCCCAAGGCAGATACTTGTGCTTCATCTTTGATTCCTAACTCTTCATCTCACCCATGTCTTTCATTGAAAGAATCAGTTTTGTGGATGTACCTCCAAAATAGCTCTTAAATCTGTATGTGTTATAGTCTGTTGCTTCTATGCTAGTTCAAGCCACCATCATCACAAATTTAAATTACTAGTAGACTGCTCTGCTTTTCCCTTTCATGTTCTCTTTTGCTGGTGGGAATATCCCCCATCCTGCTTTATTCCCAATAATTTATCTTTCAGGTATCAGATTAGATATCAGTTCTACTAGGAATCCTTTATTGACTCCAGAATGTAGGTGTAGTGTTTGTTCTCTGTGCCCTATACTTTGCCTGTTAGGGCAAAGTATGTCATTTTGTAACCTCAGTTTATTTGTCTCTATTGGACTCGTAAGCTCAAGGAAAACAAAGATTGTACACATTGTCTTCATCATTGCTGTAACCCCAACACCCTAGCGTGTTGCTCGTAAATCTATGTTGAAAACAAGTGAAATTAGTCTCAATATCCATAAAATACACCATGTTCTGTATAAATCAAAGCACCAGAACATATCTGATGGCTTAATTTGCACTCAAAGTAAGTATATAATTAGAAAGTTGAATAAATTAATGAAATAAAGATGTCATACTTCACAAAGTTGTATGTAGAACATCAGATCCTAAATCATAAGGCATAAACTGCTAATGGCCAGATTTGCTTCACCATATGTTAATGAGCGTACAAGTAATCACTGTGCTTATAAGTAATATAAGTATCCCCTATTCTTATTTAATCCTGGCTCCTTTTAGAGGGAAAGTAAAGAAATAAACTGAAAAAAAAATGTATATATATATATATGGTACTACCCTTGACCTTAAGGAACACACTATGTTTTGGAAGCCTTCATTGTAAAATGATCGTAAGTACTAACACAGGTATTCTTACTGTGCTGTACAGCACCAAAGCAAGCAGCAGGTGGATAGGAGGGGGAGAGGAAATCAGGCGAGGTTTTGCAGAGGAGGTAACACTTCAGAAGAGTCTTAAAGTATCAGTAAGACATTGCCAGAAAGAAAAATAAAAATTAATTTCAAATAAAATATATATAAGCATGTGAAGCATGATTGAGAAATATCTTCTTTTTTTTCTTCTTTTTTGAGATGGACTTCTGCTTTTGTCACCCAGGCTGTAGTGCAATGGCACTATCTCAACTTACTGTAACCTCCACCTCCCAGGTTCAAGCAATTCTCCTGCCCCAGCCTCCCAAGTAGTTGGGATTACACCTGGCTAATTTTTGTATTTTTAGTAGAGACAGGGTTTTACCATTTTGCCAGGTTGGTCTCAAATTCCTGACCTCAGGTGATCCACCCACCTCAGCCTCCCAGAGTGCTGAGATTACAGGCATGAGCCACCATGCCCAGCCGTATCTTCTTAATTGTCAAAGGAAAATCAAAGTGTGTTAGTAGCATTATCATATATTATGTTTTTGTGTCATACATGATTTTTTTATTCTAAATTTTAAAATCTAACCTTAATTCAGTTATTTAAATTAAGATACAAGCCTTGCTAAACAGAATTTTTACTGATACATGCTACAACATGGATACATCTCAAAAATATTATATTAAATGAATGAAACTGGTCACAAAAGACCACATATATGATCCCATTTAAAATTGATAGGATTTCCAGAGTAAGCAAATCTGTTAGAACAAAGTAGATTGCTGGTTACCTAGGACCGGGAGAGGAGGGAGCAGGGGGTAAGACAGGAGAGTTGGTGGATAATAACTAAAGGACATAGGGTATCTTTTTGGGATGATGAAAATGTTCTAAAATTAATTGTGGTGATAGTTGCACAACTGTATGAACATTCTAAAAACCATTGAATTATGCACTTTAAGTGGGTGAACTGTGTGGGACATGAATATTTCCATAAAGCTGTTACCAAAAAATATAAGTTAAATTCTCCAGTGTTGTTATTTTCACTAAGTTATGAAAAAAACCCATGTTCCATCCTTTATTTAGGTATCATTGTACAAACTGAACTATCAGCTGTTGCTGCATTGAATTCACAGTAGTACACAATAGACATATTTCAAACATAAAATAAAACCTTATTAGCTCCAGATATACTAAGGATTATAGAAATATATCAACTCATTTAAACCATGTACTTTTTAGAATATGCATCATTTGTTCACTTGATTCCAAGAAGATTTTGTGAATCATAATCAGGTAATTAGGTTAGCAGAGAACTAATGTGCATGGAAAAATGAACTCCAGTTTTTATCAGTCATATTTAGTTGGAAGAGCCTCATTAGAGGTTAAAATTTTCTTCTGGATAGTTACTGCCTTAAATTAACCACATATCTTATCAAATTAGTTATTGTACCTGCCTGTCTTTAGGAATTTGGTTCCACAAGTGTTGGAGGTAAAATAGCATGTTTCCTATTATTATGCTGCAGTTTACAATGGATTTTCAGTTGCCTGTTGTATGATAAACTCACTGCCCTTCATAACTTGAGGTAAATGCTGAACTTGCCCTTTTTAATTTGTTGAAACAGAGCTTCCATTCACTGATAAGAAGTGTAAATTTAACTAAATTGTCAAATTAACCTCATTTAGGTGCACACATTGGTTCTCTTTTCCTTGAAGACTTACGTGACAGCACAAGATAGAGAAAAATTAAGCCTGCACATGTTTTCAGTTACCTTTTTCTTACTCTGTGAATTACATTAGGTTATTTCATTCAGGATGCCAAATACATAGTAGCTCCTGAAAGTACAAATGCATCATTTAAATTTCTGTCTATGAATCTAATGCAGTCATTTTATAAAGAAAAGAGAAACCTAAATTTGAATGTTGAGATCATAATCTTTAAAACTACACACTAGAAACAATAGAATTTCAATTTATTGTTTAAAATTTACCCAGAATCCCTCAGCCAAGATAGTAACACATGTCTTGAGAAGTTAAATAATGTACCTATTACAAATGATGTTTCAGTCATCAGATATGTACTTATCCTTAGAATAAATTATAAATACTTAGAAAAATATACCATTACCTATAGTATTGAGTACAGAAAAAGCTCCATTGTTTTTAGCTGTCAATGCTCTTTTCAACCTAGTTTCTCACTGTTAAAAAAGCTTCAAATAATCATATTCAAAACCTCTTAACTTGCTGATTATATTCAGCAACCATAGCTAAATATTTCAGTACCAAAGCTGAAAAATCATAATGGCATATCAGCACACACATAATAAATTATGGTTAATGAATACTATACAAGGTGTGTTTTGATTGGCTCCAAGTTTGTGATCTGCTCATGGATAGCACATTGTATTTTTAAGAGGAAGGAAAATATAGTGATGATATGACTGCCAAGCATATTGCTTTACACTGAAGCAAAGTGGTATTTTAGCCAAACTCAAAATGTAACATATAGACAACAAGTCAAGTGACCTAATAGCCAAAATGAATATATCTAATTAAACATTTCATGAAAATATTTCATGCGCTCTCTTATACGATTTTTATACTGAATAAAGGTTTCTGGTCAAAGACAGTTTGTTATGTTGACAGCTAAAACTGTTGTATGTTTTAGCTAAACATGTATAAAACACAAAAGCATTTGCCTTAACCAGCTTGAGGTGGGGACCTTCAAGTGTGAGGTGCTACCTTTTTAAGCTAACTACAGAATAAATACTTAGAGTGTAATTACTATTTAGCCCATATATTTTCTGAGTAAACAAGACTTATAAGACCTGTAAGACTACTACCATTGGGGTCAAATACTACAATATAATTAGAAAATATTGAAATCATTTAGACAAAATCCACTTATTCTGATATTTTCCATATCCAATATTTTTTTCCTTCAGGGGAAAAATGACTTGATGTCAACTGAACTATACTAAAAGATCTAGCTAAATGAAATCACTGGTGTATGCATGTATGCCCTAGGATGTGCATGCATGCAATTGGAAGCACTGTTGGGAGAACACAAGAGACAACATGAAAAAAGACCCAGAGAGAAGTATGTAAAACCCTACTGGTACTTCCGTACTGCCTGGACATGCAGTGCATTAAGAGGATATTGAGAGATGAGTCCGTAGGAATCATGGGCCAGAGTTTGGAAGTCTTGAATGCTATGCTAACAAGTTTAGAGTTTTTGCTGCTTACATTCTTAAATAGGTAATCATTTTGTTAAACTGTACTTTTCAAAAATTAAAAGTTATTCGATTGATTTAACACTGGGAAAATGCCTTTTGTTGTGTATTCCATGTATTTGTTGCAGTTGTCCTTTTGTAACTTTTATCAAACTTTGATGTAAGCTCAGGAGTTTCCGTTTGCCCAGTGCCCTTCTTAAAGAATGGGGACATTCCTGTGAGGTTTTGGAAACTGCTGGACTGCATAATATTTTAATGAAGTCTTTGGAATCACAGGGCTTGAGGTAGCAACAGAGATCAGCTGAAATTCAGGTGAAAATGATAATTATGTAGTATATTCACTGGACTAACTTTTTTTATTTGTTTCATATTAGAATTTTAACCTGAATGAAACCTAGCTTTTTAACTTGGCAATGGTATTGCATTGATGTTTGTAAAATGCTCACAGTGGCTGTGAAAATTTTGTTGGTCTAATTGGTGTAACAGATACAAAGAGATTTGATTACATTTTTTCAGACCATTTTTGAGAAATTGAAGACTTTAACCTTGCATTACCTCTTATTATTAAGACAGTGTGACACCCCATCCGCTATATTTATCAAAATACCCTCAGCAAAGCTTTTAAATATTTCTGTATAGAATGAGTTACTGAATGGAAGTAATTGTGCAAACTGATTAGGACATAGGTTCTATGTATTATCTTGATATACAGGTGAAAGTGCTATAGCGATCTGAAGTTACCACAGTAATGCAATGGCAAGAACAATGACATGTTTCACTTTTATGTATTTTATGAGTTATTTCACCGTTATGGGCGCCATTTTCCTCATCTATTAAATAAGAGGATTGGGCAAGGATACTGCTGAAGTGTTTTGTTACTGACATTTCGTGGTTCTACCTACTTCCATTCACTAGTTTAACTTGCATACATAGGTGTACTTTTCAACATTCTTGAATCATAGAATTGGAAAGAATCTTGGGTAGCCAGGCTGCCTCACAGAAAAGTAGAAATTTATTCATTCACTCTGCCTAGGATGCTTTGCTTGCACTTTCTCAGGCTGGTGCCCTTTGAGCCAGAGCTGGTTGTGACATCAATTATTATCCCTTTGGTTGCCAAGATTGATTTCATGGTTTGGAGAGATGGGAAGAGAATCCTATTCTCCCTCGTTGCCCCACGTACAGTTCTTCCCAAATTTGGGAGCTTAGTTATAAAAGGCAACCTGCAGACATAAAGAAGGATCTTTCTTTGGTTAAACGTCTATTCCTTGCCATGGTACATTCATCTTTGTATCATGAGCACTTTTCTCGGGCAGCACATGTTACTCTTAAATGTTTACTGAATGACTGAATATAGTGGATGACAAAAATGACTAACAGTTGTAAATGTAAGTAGAGTTTCATGGTTTATTTAGCCTATGGTGGAGCTGAAATTATATCTCTAGGTTTTTGAACAATGATGCTTAGTAAAGATTGTCAACAAATAATAATAGAGATATTGGAATATGTTTACAATCATCTATAATTATATTGTTATAGAGAATATATCTGTAGACATATTTAATAAATGGTGCCTAATGAGTTTTGTTTTATAAACTCATTCAGTAAGACTTGAAATATTATTTACATTTTATCTCTGCCTTTTATTTCTGTAACTAAGAAGAAAACTTCCTCTTTAAGTACCTACCAAAGTATTTTTACATTCAACTTGGACAAGAGTTTAGTACTATTTCTTTTACTGAAATATTCTATCTCCTGATTTTCTAGTTGAAAAGATAATTGCATCATTTCTAATTCTGATATCCAATTTAAGGTTTAAAGCTAAGCAATGTAAATTTGGTTTAATTCTTACCTAGTTTATATCTGTATTATTTAGAGGATATTTCTGCTTGGGTAATTTGTGAAGAGGTTAATGCATTTCTGTCTTGAAAAATGTATATGTGTTCCTAATTCCTAACTAATGGGAAAACAGAGGGTATTTTTAGTGTCAGCTTTCATCAAGTCAGACCTTTCTGAAGACCTTACTGAATTCTATTTCCATGGGAATTTTGCTAATGGGTATGTGCAACATTATCTAGGTACTCATAGATAGGATTACAAATTAAAAATAAAAAGGAATGGGTGGTGAACAAACACATCTTTCTTTTCTTTTAAGAAATTGACAGAATATTAATCTTTGCACTTTCATTTTCACTTTCGTTTCACTTTGCATTGTTTTTAGATTAGGTGCAGAAAGTCCAAGTTTGGTACTAATGCATGAGATCAGCATAGACAATATAAGTAATGCATTTATTAAGGAAGTTCTTAGTTGTAATCTTATATGTACAAGCAGAAGAGAGAAAGTCTTCCAGTTTCTCTATATTTAGTTAACAATATTAGTGACTTCAATGTGTTTTACAGGAAAATGGAAAATTTAAAAATAAGCCATCCAGTTGTATTGCCTGTATACTCGTTTACTGATTTATTTTGATTCATGTAATGCATGTGCACTGTACATGTCAAAATACTGTGCAGAAAACGTTAATGAAGCTGGTGATATTCAACATTTATTGAACACCTGCATACCCTGGATATTGGAATTTCCTTATGGCTCAGCCTCAGGCTACCTCTGTTTTCATACTACTACTTTTTTTTGGTCCCATGTGATCTGGGAAAATACCTTCTTTTCCTGGGCAATTTCATGTACTTTCATGGTTTTAAATATCATCAATATATCAGTGACTCCCAAATTCTCTTTTCTGGCTCTCCAGACATATATTGTCAAGGAAATCTTGCAGATATATCAAGCTAATTGTGTCTGAAACTGTACTTTGGATCCTGCCCTTCTTCAGATCTGCAGCTCTTAAGAATTTCTAATCTCACTCAGTTCCATCCCTCCAGCTTCTGCCAGAAACCTGAGAGTCATTTTTGACTCGTTTTATTTTTTCACTACCCTTCATCCCAATTCAAGTCTGTCATCAAGTGCTGTCTCATCTACCTCTAAACATTACCTCAGAATTTTTCACTTTTCTCTGTCATTGCTGCCATCACATTTGATCAAGCCACTGTGTCTTGCCTGGACTAATGTAGTTTGGAGAAACTCCAAACTGGTTTCTCCATATACAGTTCAGCCAGTTCTAATTCATTTCCAAATAAAAGCCAAAGTAAGTTCTTAAATATGTAAACATAATTATATCACTCTTATATCTAAAACTCTATAATGCTTTTACATTGCTCTTATGATAAAGATCTCTTTTATCTATCCCAGAAGAGGTGTTTGGTCTTAAATTAGCTTCCTAGGGCGACCATAACAAAGTAACACAAACGAGGTAGCTTAAACAACAGAAAATTATTTTATCACAATTCTGTAGGCTAGAAGACTAAAATCAATTTGGTTTCTTCTAAAGCATCTCTCCTTGGCTTGTAAATGGTTGTCTTTCTCTGGTGTCTTTGCATGGTCTTCCTTTTGTATTATCTGTATCCTTGTCTCTTATTAGGGATACCATTCATTTGGATTAGGGGCCACCCTCATTGACTACATTTTACCTTAATTACCTCCAAGCTCTGTCTCCAAACAAAGTCACCTCCTGTGGTACTAGGCGTTAGGACTTCAACTTAAAAATTTTGAGAACACAGAATTCAGACCATAACAGAGCCTAAACTCATAGTTGATAGACGAGGAATAAACATGTACACATAGGAGCAGAGACTTCTGGTGGGTTTTGTGGGAACTAAGCAAGTTAGATTAGAGAAGATTCTGTAGAACCAAGAATGGAAGACTAAGAAAAATGTTATCCTGCTTTATTCTCCCTTAAGCAGGTATCATTTGCAGTAGCCTCCAAAACATCTTACATATAAATGCTTTTATCTCAAGAGGAATCATGCAATACTGCAGATGACTCAGTAAAAATCCATCACCTCTCCTACAAAAACAACCATTCTACCTACAACAAAAACGATGACAGCAATAAAACAAAAACTCTACCTTATTTACTGACTTCATCTTTATGTTTTAAAACTTATTCATTTGTATGGAAGGGTGTGTATGTATATCAATATCTTGGCCTATCTAGCTATCACAAAATAACAACTTTTTTTTTTTTTAAGACAGTGTCTTGCTCTGTCACCCAGGCTGGAGTGCAGAGGCACAGTCTTGGCTCACTGCAACCTCCACCTCCCGGGTTCAAGCGATTCTCCTGCCTCATCCTCCTGAGCAGCTGGAATTACAGGCACCCACCACCACGCCCAGCTAATTTTTGTATTTTTAGTAGAGACAGGGTTTCACCATGTTGTCCAGGCTGGTCTCGAACTCCTGACCTCAGGTGATCTGCCTGCCTTGGCTTCCCAAAGTGCTGGTATTACAGGCTTAAGCCTCAAAATAAGACCTGTTATTTTGAGGCCTGGCCTCAAAATAACAACTTTTTAACCAAATCTGATCAATGTTTCGTATTAGTCTTACTGCATAATGGCAGTATCCATTGATACTGCTGTTAAACAACCAATAAAAAATCCTTCCAGAAATAATTTATATTACATATCCAGTTATTATATTCCTTTGAAAGAATTCCTGTTACAATTATCAGCAAAGGCCAGGTACAGTGGCTCATGCCTGTAATCCCAACACTTTGGGAGGCTAAGGTGGGAGGATCACTTGAGCTCAGGGGTTTGAAACCAGCTTGGGCAATATAGTGAGACCCTGTCTCTACAAACAATAAAAATAACTTACTGGGTGTGGAAGCGCACTTCTAATCCCAGCTACTCACAGGCTGAGGCAGGAGGTTCGTTTACACCCAGGAGTTAGTTCGAGGCTGCAGTGAGCTGTGATTATACCATTGCACTCCAGCCTGGGCAACAGAGCAAGACCCCATCTCAAAAATAAACAAACAAAAAAGAATGATCAGCAAATTTAATTTCTTTAAAATCTTTTAACCTAAAATCCAATTTTGCATTATATGAAAATATCCTTGTATCTGGTTTCTGGAAGAATGGAGATGTAATGTCATTAACTTTTATGCTAAAGACAGCTATTTTTAAAAACTACGCACAGTATCATCTAAAGGATTGTATGTGTGTGTGTATGTATGTGTGTGTGTGTGTATATATATGTATTTAGATAGATATACTTTGGTTTAATTCAAGATAGTTTTGGCTTATGGATGACAAGATGTGGATGTGTTTTCATAACTCACAGCTGTCGTTTATGCCATAAGGGTAATTCTCTTCTTATTCAGTATGACATAATATGCTACATTTTATTATCCAGACTATCTTTCTGACTCTGAGGAAAAAAATAGGTCCAAATAGTCAAATTCCATTATCTAATGACAGTGGTAGGCAGGAAGCACATGGATAATTATATATACATTGTCAGATTCAGCCTATGAAACTACTTTAACCAGGAGTTTCTACATTTTCCACCATGAAGTCTGTTGTTAGAGTTGCTACTGATAACTAAGATGACAGGTCTGAATTTCATTTTATTTTCTCTTTTTCTTCCCTTAACAAAGATACTAATGAACTATGAGTTGACTCATAGGCCAGAAGTATATAAAATTAAGGACGAAATATGTAGAGCCTAGACAATCCAAAGAGAAGCACCTTTAATACTAGTAATTGAACTTTCATTGAACTTAATGCATTTCATATATCTTTGTTGGGTGGGGGCTGCAACTGGTTTGTGTTCAAACTGAAGATAAATTGTTTGAAAATCCACTTAATTGATGGATAAAACCTTCTGTACATTTTATGACAGGTAAAAAATGAAGTTAGTTGATTCTGGTTTTATAAGCAAACTTGTGACTTCCTAGTTATAGTCCTAAGGAAAGCTGAATGTGTTTTCCTCCTAAAAATGCAATGACTCCAGGGTAGCTTTTGATCAAACCCACTCCTAATATTTGTAAGACCTGAAACAAGAGTAAAAATGGAGACCCATATCATACATGTAAATGTAAAAGTCATTTAAAAAGCTACCGAACTCTTAAATGTGCTCTATACTCCTTACTTGATAAGATAACTTCTTGATATCTTGGAAAGACAGATTTAAATTTAAAATTTTTGGACTCCTTGGGATTCTATGTCAGAACATGATAATGTGGGGAGTTGGCCCTTGGCCTGCCACCCTTTCCTTTTTATCCTGCACATCTAAGCTCCATTCTTACTTCCCCACAAAACAACTGCCCTGGGCCACCCCTTGGAAGACTATGGAGTATATGCTGTCTACAAATAGACATGAAACACTTACCACTGCTGTATTCCCCATGGTCTTCTCTAAGTCATTATGGATTGAAAGAGAAATGGCAATGATTATGACAGACATAAGTCAGATGCTTTTCTGTATCAATTTAGATGATTATGTGTCTTTCCACCTTTATTCTGTTAATGCAGTGTAATACACTAATCAATTTTCATATGCTGAACCATGCTTGCATTGTAGAAATAAATACTACTTGTATAATGATATGTAGTATACCATGGTGTATAAACCCTTTAATGTGCTCTTGACTTTAGTTTGCTAGTGTTTTGTTGAGGATTTTTGCGTCAATACTTACGGATATTGGTCTGTAGTTTTCTTGTAGTGTCTTTGTCTGACTTTGGAACCAGGATAATACTGGCCTCATTAGAATAAGCTTGGAAGTATCTCCTCTTGTTCAAGTTTTTGGAAGAGTTTCAGGACAATGGATGTTAATTCTTTAAATGTTTTGTAGAATTGTCCAGTGAAGCCATCTGGTCCTGGGCATTTCTTTGTTGAGGAGTTTTTAACTACTGATTCAATCTCTGTATTCATTATTGATCTGTTCATATTTTCTATTTATTCATGATTTAGTCTTAGTAGGTTGTTTCTAGGAATTTATCCATCTTGTCTTAGGTTATTCAACTTGTTAGCAAACAGTTGTTCATAGTGGTCTTTTATAACACTTTTTTATTTCTATGGCATCTGTTATAATGTCCTCTCTTTCATTTTTAATGTTAGTTATTTGGGTCTTCCTTCTTTTTTTCTTAATTAGTCTAGCTAAGGATTTGTCAATTTTATTGATCTTTTTAAAAAACTAACTCAATTTCTATGAATTTTTATATTGTTTTTTGATTTTTCTATGTCATTTATCTCTGTTGTAATCTATATTATTTTCTTCTTCCTGCTTACTTTGACCTTAGGGTTTTTTTTTTTTCCTAGTTCCTTGGATGTAAAGTTAGGTTGTTAAGTTGAGATATATATGTATTTTACATTATACACTTAACAGCTATAAACTTAACCCTTTAACACTAGTTTCACTCCATCCCAAAATTTTGGCATGTTGTGTTTTCACTTTCATTTGTCTTAAGATATTTCCCAGTTCCAGTTCCCCTTATTACTTATTTGGCCCATTGATTGTATGAGAATGTGTTTAATTTCCACGTATTTGTAGATTTCCCAGTTTTCCTTGTGCTACTGGTTTGTAGTTTTATTCCATTGTAATCAGAAAAGATACTTTGTATGATTTCAGTCTTCTGGAATTTAAGATTTGTTTTGTGGCCCAATGCATGGTCTTATCCCAGAGAATGTTCCATGGGTACTCAACAATACATGTTCTGCTATTTTTGATTAGAGTGTTCCGTATATGTCTGTTAGGTCTAATTGGTCTATAAGGTTATTCAAATCTTGTTTCCTTGTTGATTTTCTGAATAATTCTGTTCATTGTTGAAAGTGGAATATTGAAGTCTCCTACTATTATTGTGTTGTTGTCAAATTTCTTCAATCCTGCCAAAGTTTGTTCCATATATTTAGATTCATGTAAATACAGTAAGTCCTCATATAACATTGTGATAGGTTCTTGGAAATTGCATCTTTAAGCAAAACAATGTACAGCAGGCTTTTAAATAATGTCATTTTGTTCAGTGTCCTTTTATCATAATGTTGAGGGAAAAAATGGCTTTGTTGTTTGTACTTTTTCTTAAAGCTGCAGTTTTCAAAAAACTGTGACAACATTGAGAACTTACTGTATTTATGCACCAAAGCTATGAGGTTTGGTGCATAAATATTTATAATTGTTTTATTTTCCTGGTAAATTGACCCTTTTGTCATTATATAATGTCTTTCTTTGTGTCTTGTAATGGTTTTTTATTTAAAGTATATTTTGTCTGACTTTAATGTAGCCACTTCTGCTCTCTTTTGTTACCATTTACACGGGATATCTTTTTCCATCCTTTCACTTTCAGCCTATGTGTATTGTTAGATCTAAAGTATGTCTCTTGTAAACAGGGTATAGTTGGATTCTGTTATTTTATCCAGTTAACCAGCCTGTATCTTTTGATTGGGGAGTTTAATCTGTTTACATTTAAAATAATTACCGATAGGCAAGGACTTATTGCCGTTTTGTTAGTTGCTGTCTATGTCTTGTTCCTTTCCTCTCTCATTGCCTTTCTTTGTGTTTCATTGATTTTTTTTTCTAGTGGTATGCTTTCATTCCCTTCTCACTTCCTTTTGTGTGTATTCTACAGATATTTTCTTTGTGGTTACCATTGTAAATCCATAAAACATCTCAAAGTTATAGTATTCTATTTCAAACTGATAACAACCTAACTCTAATCACATATGAAAACTTTCTCCTTTACTGCTCCACTTCTCCATTTGTTACTGATGTTACAAATTACATTTCTATATATTACATGTACATTAATATAGATTTATGGGTTTTGTTTTGTTTTGGGGTTTTTTCATTTAAATTTCACATACTAAATTTACAGTATTACGTATTACTATATTTTTCCATGTATTTACCTTTATTGAGAACCTTATATTTTTATACAGCTTTGTGTTTTTGCCTGCTGTCCTTTCATTTCAACTTAAAGAACTTCCTTTAGCATTTTGTATAGATTAGCTCTAGGTGATGAACTCCCATGGCTTTTCTTTATCTGGGAAAATGTTAATTTCTTCTTCACTTTTGAAGAACTGTTTTGCCAGATGCAGTATTCCTGATTAATAGTTTTTTTGTTTTTGTTTTTGTTTCCTTTCAGCACTTTGAGTATATCATCCTACTCCTTTCTGGCCTTCAAAGTTTCTGCTGAGAAATTTGCTGATAATATTATGGAAGCTCCCTCATATGTGATAAATCACTTTTCTCTTGCTGCTCTTAAGTTTCTGTCTTTGACTTTACACAGTTTGACTATAATGTTTCTTAGTATGGTTATCTTTGGATTTTCCTCGTTGGAGTTCTTTGAATTTCTTGATCTGTATGTACATTTCTGTCCACAGATTGGGGAAGTTTTCAGCCATTTTTTCTTCAGATAAGCTCTCTTATTTTTTTCTCTCTTACTTTCCCTTCTGGAATACCCATCATGCATATATGGACCTGGTTGATATTGTCCTAAATCCCTTATCATCTCTTCACATTTCTTCTTTCTTTTTTCTCCTCTGCTCAGTGATTTCAGATAACTTGTCTGCAAGTTCACTGATTCTTCATTCTGCCTAAAACTGTTGTTGAATACCTCTAATAAGTTTTTCCATTCCGTTACTGTATTTTTCAGCTCCAGGATTTCTGTTTGGTTCTTTTTTATAGTTTCTGTGTTTTTCTTGATGTTCTCGTTTTGTTCATGTATCATTTTCCTGATTGTTTTCAATTGTTGGTGTTCTCTCTCTTTTTTTTTTTTTTTTTTTTTTTTTTTGTGAGACAGTCTCACTTTACCACCCAGGCTGGAGTGCAGTGGCATAATCTTGGCTGACTGCAACCTCTGCCTCCTGGGTTCAAGTGATTCTCCTGCCTCAGCCTCCTGAGTAGCTGGGATTAAAGGTGCATGCCACCATGCCTGGCTAATTTTTGTATTTTTAGTAGAGATGGGGTTTCACCATGTTGGCCATGCTGGTCTCGAACTCCTGACCTCAGGTGATCCACCCACCTCAGCCTCCCAAAGTACTGGGATTACAGATTTGAGCTACCGCTCCCAGCCTTCTTTTAGCTCATTAAACATCCCTATAATAGTTATTTTAAATTCCCAGTCAGGTAGCTGATAGACCTTTGTTTCTTCAGGGTAAGTGTCCCGAGTTTTATTTTGTTCCTTTGATTAGGCCATATTTCCCTATTGCTTTGT
Organism: Homo sapiens; assembly: GCF_000001405.40. NCBI lineage: Eukaryota > Metazoa > Chordata > Mammalia > Primates > Hominidae > Homo > Homo sapiens. The sequence goes on from NC_000005.10 coordinate 116,289,323, forward strand.
ATGCTTTGTGATTTTTGCTGGGCATTTTGAAAGACAACTACCTCCCCTAGTCTTTGCATACTGGCTTTGTGCAGGGGAAGACCTTCACTAATACCCCAGCTGGGAGTTCTAGGGCCTCTCAAATGTTTTCTGATATTTTGCTCCCTCTGGCACCTGCCCGTGGAACTGCAGCTCTAATATGCCTCTCACCTCTGTTTTCAGTGCCTTCCAAACGCTGGTGCTGGGCGTGTGAGTGCCCTTCTTTAATTAATACAGAAACCAGTTCCTTGGGAATCCCCCAGAAAGCCAGAATGTTGGATGTATGGTTCATTCTTTTATTTCTGTCCTGAGGGAGGAGCTCTGGCATGGGGGGTGGTGGGTTCTTCTTGGTTGCTCCGCTATTCCACATGGGAGAGAGGCATGCATGAATACACTGAACACTGTGAAATTCATTTCCTACCACTTTCATTGGAATTCCTTCTTGGTTTTATAATGGTGTGGGTGCTGTAGCATCTCAACTGGTCTCTCAAGTTCTCACAAGGGTATTCTGATCCGTATATTGTTAACTTGGTACCTTAGTGGTGGAAAGAGGGCCTCTAGCTTTCTAGTCTACCCCTATAGCTATTGTTCTTTTAAGAAGTATGTTTTCGAAGTTACATTTCTTCTCTTTCCTCAATGTAACATTTTAGGAAACACCACCTTAAAACAAAGCAAAGCAAAATATAGAAAACAAGAACCTGGCTTGACTGCCACCTTTAGGGGTACATCAGATCAGTTGTTTACGTGCTGATTCAGCCTTCATTCTCTCCTATCTTTTTGGATGGAGGTGAGAGTGATGAACTTGTCTTGCTTTTCTCAGAACTTTAGGGTAAACCTAGGCTTATCATCCTTCCTTAACTGCTAGGAGGGCATATACTATGTATAGATGATGCTGATTAAATCTTTGGAGCTTTAATGATGTGTGACAGCCAATGAATTTTTCTAATATAGTATAAAAACTTCATGATTTTATATCATTCTTAAAGGAAGAGGCTTTAAAGCAGATGTACTTCTTTTTTCATTTTAAAGCTTAAGTACTTAGATATATGAGAGAAAATGAAGAAGTATGGAAATTTGATCCTGTACACTTAGCTTCATGAAGAGTGAGATGCATTTTCTGAACATAGCCCCATTGACTCTTCTGGAATTAGTTGGAGATAATTTGGTTTGAAATGTCGGCTTTGTAAATAGAAATGGAAATCATTAAAACAGATAAAAGTGAACATAGAAACTGCGAACTAGAATAAACAGTATGTTGGAAATGACCATGTGGCTCAATTTTGCATCAGTTTTCTACTTCTTTAGTTCATGATGCCCATTTTATGTCATGTGATTACAGCAGTGTGATCAGAGCAGTTAGCATATTCTTGGCATTTTCTCCTCATTAACTTTCACTTCTTCAGAGGGACCTTGAGTAAAATAAACACATTTGAGCAGTCTTAAGCAAATTGTTTGAATTGTTTCCTCAGTATACAGAATCAACCAAAAGTAGGTTGGATTGAGTTGAGTTGGGTTTAGTTTAATATCATACTTTACTACAGCATCATACATACATATACAATATTACCTAGCATCTGTAGCACCCATAAAGGATTCTCTAATGCATGTGAAGTAAAAGGAAAGAGAGTGTTTAAGTCCTGACTTTGAAACTGTTGTGTTAATTGTGAACTTTTGCTGAGTCTATACATTGAAGAAGGTAACACTCAGCATGTTGAGATCACAACTGCTAGATTAGTGCTTGGAGGCAGTAGCTGTGCTGATGTGAGGCATTAATGGCTGGGTGAGTTCAATCAGATATCCTGCCTCCAGTGTCTTTGTGTAATGGTATTTACTAGATTTCAAACAGACTGCTGAGAAAGATGAAATATAATCTCATGTATTATCTCTGTCTTGAAAAAATTAGATAATAAAGTTGTTCTCTTACTGGCATATGTTTTATTAACCTTCGTAGAGTCAACTTAAAGGACAGATGTCTGTAGAATTGAAACCTTTTGCTAGAGTGTTATTAAGTGCATTTTTGAGTTCTAGGAATCATGGGGTTGAGTAGAGCAGGTAAGCATTTTTTAAAACCACTCAGAGGACAATCTTATGTCATATTCTGAGGTTAGCTGGAGAGAAAAAATGTGATGTAAATTGTGTGCAACTACATTCTTTTTGTTGTTTTTCTTCCTTACAGAGCCTGGAGAAAGTTCTTGTGGAATTCAGTCACAAGGAGTTGTTTGATTTCTATAACAAGGTCTGTATTTTTAAAATAATTTTCTAATATGTGGAGTTTTTTTCATAATATTTTGTTTCATTTTATGAATTCTTATTTTTAAATGTCATATTATGGAACTAAGTTCTTTAAACTTCCCTTATAAAAGACCTTATGTTTCACAGGAGGAAGTATAGCAGAAATGAAGAGAATTTGAAAAACTAAATCAGGAAGAAAAGGAAAATAGTTTTAATTAAAGCAATAGGATTGTTGCTTTAATATAAAACATTAAGTAATGAACTTTGTGATTCCTAGCCACACTGACACTTTAAATATATATAATGTCAAATACTTTAATTTCTGGGCCCAAGGGTAAAGGGAAACATGCCTTTAGAGATTTATCTGTGAGTATATTTCATGTCTCTTTCTGAAGACTGATTTTGTAATCCAGGAAAATATACTCCCTCCACCCCCCAACTTTAAAATATTATCAAGTAGGCAGTTCTTCTGCCAGTGTACTGCCACTGGAGCATGCGTGTGGTTATCCTGTTCAGCCCACCACCACTGTACCCACTCCCTCATATGTAAGCCTCCAATAAAACCCCATGTCTCATTAAAAAAAAAATTATGGAGTGATAATTTAAAAGGAAACAGCTGAAGACACTTAAAACAACAGTATTAAGAAATCTTCTTTCTTTGAAAATTTGAAAACTTAAATTTTCAAGCACAAATTCTAATATCTTCACCTAAAAAGAAAAATATTCTAAGTGGTAATTTTATTGCTATGTGAATGGATTTAATATTCATAGTTACCAGTGCTATTTTTTCCTTTCTATTTGCATGTGTCTGAATAACACTTGATATGAGTTTCGTTCCCTTCACTAACGTCTTTTTTTTTTTTTGTCTTTGTAAATAGCTAGAGACTATACAAGCACAGCTGGATTCCCTTACATGATGTTTTCGAAGACTGTTTTTTTCATCACGCTCCTGCCACCTCATTATTTTGCATTGAAGATACATTGCCAGGTTGTGTTTTCTGAAGGATTCAGTGACTTGCTTTCTGTAAATTATATGGCTTATCACTTCTTAGACAAATAACAACCAATAGAGATCATTGTTAAGAATACTGAGGTTCTAATATACTTTCTTTAGTTCTGTGAGCCAACAGTAATTATTAAGAACACTTTCCCTTTAAAGGAAACAAAAGTGAATACCATATTGTTTTTACTGTCATAGTGTTGCTTTCTTGCCTGTCCTGCTTAGTTTTTACTTGCTGGATGATACCATAATGTATCAAGGAGCGTCCATGGATACAAGATAAGATGTGTACCTTAGTAGAATACAGAGCTTTGGTAATTACATGAATAAAATTAAGAAAATAGCCATATACAATCAAATACACTATGGCATTTTTATTTGAATATGATGAGTATATTTTGCTTCGGAAATAATATAGGAAGGAAATGTAAAATAGTGAGTAGTATGGTATCAGTTAATTCCAGTCTGAGCTTCTCTGTCAACTTCAGTTTCTCTCTCAGTTTAATGATTTAATAATAGTCCAGGTTTTTGTGTGTTTTTCTTTATACTGCAAATTAATAATGATTCACTTTATAGTTTGGGAGACAGAATCAGGTCTTGAATAAAATAATTGTAATGAGTGCTAAATGGGCACCATTATTCGAATCAGATACCTTTTATATTCTCTTTCCATAAATACGTTGATTTCTGTCAATAAAATTTTTGTGTCTTAGGATTGGTTGAAGTGTACATTTTTTAATTATATACATTATAGTATATTTTATGCCATGAATGTATGTAAATGAATACATTTACGTACATTTGTTAAAATGTATGTAATGAATACATTTACATACATTTGTTTAAAAAAAACTTGAATTTTTTATGAATGAAATTTCTGTATTGTTTCCAAAAAGAGAGAGATTCAAACATGACTTGCTTCACATGAAGAAATTTGATTTCAGAAATGTCCTATATTTAAATAAGCAAAGCCATTGAAATTGAAGCACATTTCTTATTTGAAGCATCTGGGAAATACAACTGTTAAGTATCTCTCAAATATTCAGTATATGGAATTTATACCCACATTTGTTTGTATATCTATTTGTAAGCTGTTGCTTAGAAGAATTGAGAGTTTGGATTATTTCAGAATACAACTATTACAGTTTTCCATAGTTGATTGAAAGTTTTTAAACTCAAACTTTCATTGGTAGAATATCTGGAAGGCATGTTTGCAATATAATGTGGCTTGTAGGATCTCTCCTACTTTTTTACGCTCTGTTTTGCCAGTTCTCAAAAGTAAATACCTGAAGTCCTAGAGGTACTATAAACATTTTGGTAAACATTCTTTGAGACTTTTTCTCATGTACATGTAAATATACATCATCCCAAGTTAAATTTGATAGGCCTTCCTGACAGTAGCCATATAGATAAATAGAAGTTTTCGTTGGTTTAGTGGCAAAACTGAATTCTTAATGTAGGTATACAAGTTAAATATGATGGTTAGAAATGAAGTTTTCTGAAAGTAGTTCGTTGTATGCTCCCTAAAAGAATTAGCTTTATATTTATCTTAAGAATATCTCTAAACCTATGCAAAAATATGGCAAATAGTCTTCTTTCCATTAGTCTAGTTCAACAAAATCTGACTCAGAGACAGTAAAGAAAGGGCAAGTAGAAGATCTAATGCCAACTAAGAAGATAATTATTTCTGAAATATTTAGTTGAAGATAACTTTCTTTCTTAAGACATTACTGTTGTTATGATGCACAAGTCAAAGAACATGTGGCATTTCCAAAGAGTATTAAATGCATGTTACTTTTTTATAAAAATAAGATAAATGAGATTAATGGGGCTTGGAACTGCAATCTTGGTAAATAAAGTTACTGTATGTCTTTCACGAGTGTGTGACATGAGGATTGAATAGACAGAATTGCTTGTTAGAAAGAGGAACTAATTTTTGTATCTATTACAAATTATATTTGTAATTCTTCCCTAATTATAAATTATCATGATTATTTTTATTTGGGAAATACCAAAAAATCATAAATAACTAATCTAAACTTACAGAATCCTATCATCCAAAAATGGCCATTAATGACAGTTTGATAGATTTATTGCAGTTTTTTTGTATCCATTTATCTTTCTTGTTCATTTTTTCTTCTTTCCTAACAAATTGAAGTAATGCCATAAATTCTGTTTCATACTTTGCTTTATGTACCCTTACAGCATGAACATTTTTCATATCTTTATTGCCCAAACATAATTTTAATGTATATTAAATAGTTCATCATTTGAATGATCTATACTTTATATACTTTATATTTCTCAAAATAATTAAATTGTCCAAATTTTGGCACATTTAGATTATTCAAATTTTTGAACGTAGGGAACTCACTGATAAATATAATTATACATAAACCCTAGACCACATCTCTCGTGATATTATTAGTATAGATTCCTAGAAGTAGAGTTGCTATGTCAAAAGTATGAAGATTTATTTTCTATTTTCATCTTTAATCGGATTTTCATTATAAAAAAACAAGGCCAGGTGTGGTGGCTTATGCCTGTAATCCCAACACTTTGGGAGGCTGAGGCAGGAGGATCACCTGAACCCAGGAGTTTGAGAACAGCCCACGCGACATGGCAAAGCCTTATTTCTATAAAAAAATACAAAAATTATCCAGGCTTGGTGGTGCATGCCTATAGTCTCAGCTACTCAGGAGGCTGAGGTGGGAGGATCACCTGAGCCCAGGAGGTTGAGGCTGCGAGTCATTCTATCATCCCACTGCACTTCAGCCTAGGTGACAGAATGAGACCTTTTCTCATACATATATATATAGCTGCCCATTAAAACAAAGTTGCACCATTTTGCCATCTCACTTCCTGGAAGTACCTACCTAATACTGCAGACATTTGGTGGGTGCAGTAGCTCATGTCTGTAATCCTAGCACTTTGGGAGGCTGAGGTGGGCAGATTGCTGGAGCCCGGGAGATTGAGACCACCATGGTCAACATAGTGAGTCCTGTCTCTACAAAAAAAAAAAAAAAAAAAAAAAAAAATAATAATAATAATAAATTAGCCAGGTGTGGTGGCACACACCTGTGGTCCCAGCTACTTGGGAGGCTGAGGTGGGAGAACTGCTTGAGCCCAGGCAGTTGAGGCTGTAGTGAGCTGTGATCATGCCACTGCCCTTTAGCATGGGCAACAGAGCAAAACCCCATCTCAACACACAAAAAACCAGACATCTTATAATACAAATATACACACCTCTTGTGTATTTTCAAAAATACATTTATATTTATTTCAAGGCCTTTGATATATATTGCTAAATTGTTTCTCCAAAGGATTATATTAATTTGTACTCCCACAAACAATGAATGAGAACTCACTTGCCTCAAGCCACCTTCAGCAGCCCCTTCTTCCTTCTATACATTTCACCCTCAACATTTTTTATAACCTGAGGTCAGTGTTTGTTTAGGAAGAGTGATGGGACATATTGAGATATGTCACTTTGATAACTATAGAAGGATTGAAAAGGAAATCTCTTTAAAAATCAAATATGAGAGCCAATAACTCAGTATTCAAGTGTAAGGGCTTCGAAGTCAGGCATTTATTTATTCAACAAGTAATCACTGCTGAGTATGGTGAATATGGTGGCAGGAACTGTGTATGCTAGGTACCATGTTTACAGTGATAGGCAAAACTAGTTCTTGGCCTCTTGAAATGTAATGTGTTAGTGAAAAGTAAACAAATATGGAATAAATGAACAAATATGGGACAAAATATAATTGGATTCTATTCAGAGAAAATTAATGATGGAACCAAACTTGGACTGGGGCATCAAGGAAGGATTCTCTGAGGAGTGAGATTTGAGCTGAGTCCAATATGATGAGTTAAGATGGCACAATAGTAGAATAGAGTGACAGGCATTCTAGAGAGAATGGCCCATGCAAAATCTCAGAGGATGGGAAAGGCTTAGCGCATTTCAGGAACCAAAAGGTCAGTGTGGCTAGAGTGTAGTGAACAGATGGCATAGTGGAGTGCACTACAATTAGGTAGACAGGGAGCCATTCTCTTACAAGTTTTGTCGTTTTTACCACCAAAATGTATTGCAAGTGTATCTCCAGGGCACTACCCTGTCCAAGCTGCCATCAACTTTGCCCTGGACCACCTTTCTTCCATTCTAGCCCTCCTCCAGTCCAGTCGTTGTACAGAGCTAATTTTTAAAAAATAACCTATTAATTATACCATCTCCCTGCCTAAAACCCTTCAAAGGATCCTATTACACATTAAGTAAAATTTAACGATCTGGTTTCTCAGGACAGTGCAAAGGTTATATCCTTGTTCTTCTACTTTGTGTGTGTGTGTTGAGCAAGTTAATTTGTGAAAGTTCACTTTACTTATCTTTGTAATAGGAATAATAATCTAACTAACATGAGTGTTTTGAAGATTAAGTGAAATTCATGTTAAACATTTAGCATAATCCTTGAATCTCAATCATATAATAAGCATTAGCTGACATTTTTATAATCATTAAGAAAATAAGCAGACTCTCTGTTGAAATTTTTCCAGGTGAAGTTTGAATTAGAGTCAAAATTGTAGAAAGCTTGCTATGAAGCCCCTTCACTTTAAACTTATTTGGCATTCTAATAACAACTCCATTTTATAATCACAGATTCTAACACAATGCCAATTCTGCTTTTATTTTTTATTTAAAAAATGAGGTAATACATGTATTATGGGACCAGAATGAAAAAAATACTTTCTTCTGAGTACCTTTCCACGTGGCTCTTCTGGCTCTGAGAAATCTTTTTCTCTACTCAGTGAACTTTGATTTCTTCTTACCGTAAATAATGTCTTCTACACTTTATTCATTATACCAAGGATCAGCAAATGATGGACATGACCCACCACTTGTCTTTGTAAATAAAGTTTTATTGGAACACAGTTGTCTTGCTACCAAACTCACTCTTGAGACTTTCTCCCTTCCTTGCTTTGAAGAAATAATACCATGTTATAAGAGAGGCTGCGGATAGGGCTACATGACAAGGAACTGAGGGTGACCTCTAGGGGCTGAGGGAGAACAGCCAGCAAGAAATTGAGGCCCTTAGCCTTATAGCCTCTATGAAATAAATTCTGCGAACAACCTTGAATTAGCCTGGAAATGGGTTTTCTTGTCGTTTTTTTGTTTGGCTTTGTTTTGTTTTTTTCCCTGTTAAGCTTCTGGATGAGAGCACAGTCCAACTGACTCTTATTGCAGCCTTGTGAGATTTTAAACAAAGGACCCAACTAAACTATGCTTGAACTCTACCCATGGTAATTGTGAGATGATAACTCTGTTGTTTTAAACCTCTAACTTTGTAGTAATTTGTTACGCTGCAATAGATAACTAAAACAACAGCCATGCTCAATTGTTTACATATGGTCTGTAGCTGCTTTTGAACAACAGCAGGGTTGAGTAGTTGCAGCAGAGACCATATGGCCCACAAAGCCTAAAACCTGGCCCTTTATAGAAAGAAAGGATGCAGAACCCTGCTTTATACTATGCTCTCTAAACCGGAGCATCCCTAGAGAAATAAAGTAGTTGGTAGGGAACACAAAAAGTCGTAAGATGGACGTTGTATATATTTCAATAGCATCACTTCTACTTTTTGCCAGAAGTAGAAGAAATTACATTTTCTATCCTCTTTTGCAGCTACTGCAGCCGTGGAACTAAGTGTTGCTAATGAATTGTGAATGGAAGTGATCATTCATCTCCAGTTGTCTTCCTCTTTCTGTGATTGAAACCCAGATTTGGAGCTGAGTCAGCTTTGAGCAGACAAGAATGCTAATGCTTAAGAGGTAGGGAGCAACAAGATGGAAGGAACCTGGGTCCCTGAATATACTTATAGAACACAGCTGTCTCCATGCCCTTGACAGAAATAAAATATCTTGTTTGAGTTATTAAATTTGGGGTCAGTTTAGGCTATACACAGCACGTTTGCCTGTAGCCTAACTAATATGGTGGCAACATAATTTTATTATAATTGGCCAGTAATGTACAACATATTTTAAAATGGAGATTTACATTTTATGGCAAAATGCATATAAATGTTAAAGAGGAAATGGGAAACCTTAAAAAACAGAACAAAACCTTTGTGCTTGCAGCCTGCGAATTCAGGCTAAATTCTCAGTGTTACTGGGAACCTATATTCACCTCCCTCCTTCAGTGTGGTTATTTTGAGACAAATGTTTTGAGAAACCATAAGGGTATATTGTAAATTTCCCCCAAAGTCTTTCCATAATTCTTTTTCTACTGTTGAATAAGAGGACTGGGATGGTTCTGATTTATTCAGATGCATTAGTCAGAAGCTACTCAGGAATTATAATTTAAATTTCTGATCAATTTTGCTTCCCTAAAACTTTGATTTTTTTTTTGCCATCATTATGCAAATAGTCCTACTCAATAGACCAGCTTCATTTAATGCTAAAATTAGGAACACATTAATTTGAGGTATTTTATAGTAAAGCTTAATGGCATTTTTAATTTTGGAGAATTTTAAGGATTTTTAACCATTGCTCCCATCTCGCCATATGCACACTCCTGAAGTATTTTTGAAGCTCTTTTGCTTTTCTCTGAACTATAAGGTTGTACTAGCTGTTATGGAGGCCTACAATCCAAATCTAAATGATGGCAGTTTTCATAGCCTACTTTGTTTTATTTGAAATGGAAAGTTACTGATTTTTATTTCAAAAGAAGTAGTCTGCAAAGACAGGAAAGGTGAAGCCAGTCCAGTCAACAAATCTGTAAGGAAGATGGTGCTAGAGGCTTAGAGAGACTGTTTCAATCTCCAAGGCAGGAAAAATAATGAATATATAATAATCTTCTTTTAGTGAAACCAGAGTTCAGTCATTTTTAGCATCTTTTAATGAGAACCTGATTTTTTAATGATTTTTAAAGATTTTTCCTTCAAAAAATCTAGGTAAAGGAAAGCAGTTAATAGTAAATTTAATAGTTGCATTTATTTTTTTCTGACTTATGTTTGTATTTTTTTAATTGGCAAATAAAAATTAAAAACACTGTACATTCTACCCAAAACTTTAAAGGAAAGTCAATAATAAAGTTTTTTAAATCTATGATAAATATAGACTTGCTGTAAGGCAAGGAGTGCAGTGATTTCTCAAGGCCTTTCCTCATCTCTCCTTCTGAGATTTCTAAGTTTCCTTTGTGCACTATTTTTAGTCCACATTTCAAATTATTCTGCAGTTTCAACCAGACTACATAAGGGGACAAAGGAAAAAGCTGCTGTCCCCTGGATAAGGCTGCTTTAACACATCAACCTTGGAAGCTCCAGCATTCCTCTCCATCCCAAGAATGTGTTTATGCTTTGACAGAGGAGCAGAGTAATTTCCAGCTGATCAGAGAAAAGGTGACTTGTGTATTCCAGACCATGTGTTCTACTTTGCAGTCCAGCTTCTTACTCTCTTTCATGCTGCTGCAAGTAGTTCTACGAACATTGGGGTGCTTTAGAAATACTGAATGAATGAATTAATAGAGTATGTAGTTTTTTTCTGCCTTGGGCTCTCTCCATTTATTTGCACAGTACTATCTAAATTCTTAAAATAATTGTAAACTTAAAGTTGTACAAAAGTAGTTTTCAAACTGGTTTAGCCAGCTATGCTGGTATTTGGTAATTCCATTAGGGAATAGCCACATCCCTTCTAGGGAGTATCTCCTGAGGTCACTGATCCTTTTATTCATCATCCAGGAGATAAACATGAGAATAAAAGCCTTATAACCAGCCAGAGACCCAGATTTCTGCCCTCCAGAAGGCTAGAGCAAGTTCTCGCATTGCTGTGAAGAGATTTATGATAGTCATGAAGTTGACCTACACATGCTTCTGGGTACTGATGCTGCAAGACTGAAAACAGTTACATTCCTAGCAATTTCAGAGTTGTTTTATGTGATAGGGTCAAAATGAAGTGCTCCAGAGAGACATCAACAACATTCTTATACTGAAATATATGTTCAGTGTGTATAGATTTTCTGAGCTCATTACCCAGAAGATTTTAATTTCCTGCTGAAAAGAGTATCTTGATTAAAGACACACATAGACACACACACACACACACACACTCCTGTACACACTGCCTACAAACAGGCTTTCCTCACTGATGTGGGACAATTCTGACAAAGTTTTTTTAAGTCTCCCTTTACATGGCACAGATTGTTCCAACTTATCACAAATATACCAGCTGGACAAAAATCAGATAAAGTTGACATAGATAGTACAGAAAGCAGGCAAGATAAACAGAGCCACACAGAAAGCTGTTCAGTAACAGTTTAGTTTAATTTTATGCAACTAAGACTGTGCCTTTAGATGTAGAGCCCAATGTGAGGGATCAGTTTCTTATGATAGAGTAATATTTATAACATCTAACTTTTCTACCTTATGGCAGAATGCCCTGTGAATCCTTGAAACTCAAGGCCTTCTTTGTCAGAGTTTTGGTTCTTACTGCAAAGTATGTTCTTTCCTTATGTCATCCAAACAAAGTAACTAGAGTAGTAAAAAGAAAGTCAGTGAGTTTGGATGCATTGGCTTTCTGGACTTGCAAATTATCCAGTGCAGGCATTTCTCACACAGCAGGCTTGGAGGACTCTGGGGGTGGCCACCTTTGCTAGATATGCTATTAACCTCCTTCATATGGTTGGGTCAGTGATCTTGTAAAGTTCTGCTTGGCAGGCTCATAGGTGTTGATAGGTGCCCTAAACTGATGGACCAGTAGAGGGTGGCCACCATCTGTGAGGTTATTTCTTCAGGCCCTCAATAAGCACTTACCCAAATGCACTGATTTTACAGTGCTGTGGTTCTGTACTGGATTCCATGAAGCACCCTTCCCGTCTCTGATTTTCCAGGATCATTTTCCTTAAGTTAATGCCATTCCTGTAAATGCATTTCTACTCTTTGATCCCTTTTCTTTAGTTTACACTTTCAGTTAAATCTGTAAGCAAGATAATCTTTGAAAATTATTTTAATTAATGTTTATATTTAGCTCTATAGTCTGTGTAAGGAGATCCAGGGTTACAAGAGTCTGCTTGAAAAAATAGAGCCACATCAGATCAAATTTTCTTTCCATAGGATTGTATTTTTTGAAATGTTAAAAATTCTCCTATAATTAAATATTTAAACCTTATTTCATCATTTTTCTAAGCGTTTTTACTTTAGGGTTTACTAAAGGAAGCCAAATCAATTTCATAAACTTCTCTGTATAGGATTTCAAATAGAACATTTTTATGGAAATAGGGTGAATATGTTATAGAGGAAGAAATGCTTCTGCCTCTCTGCCTACTTCCCTATTGGCCCTCTCTCTCGTTCTCCCACATCCTTTAGGGAAGAATGGCTTGCCATTCATGTTTGGTCAGTTAAAGTATTGGTTGGCCATGTTTATCGATGGCCAGATCAACCATAAAAAGACCATGCCCATGGATGGTGCTCCTTTTGCATTTCTTGTTTCCACTCTATGGGATGGAATAGAGAGAGTCCAGATTTTGAGGAGAAGCTGAGATGTGTGGGGAAGAGGGGCAGGTAGGGAGGGAGTGTCTTTCTTAGGCCTTAAGAATGAACCATATGCTCTTACCCAACCTTACCAAGCTCTGAAAGATAATTGTCATTTTGGTTCCCAGTTGCTATCAGTCTTCCTATGTGTAGCTCTTCTGGAAATGTCAGCATCAGGAGTGAATGGCAGGATAAGATTTGGGCATTTGTGAAGTTCTCTAGTCAGGTTCCATTAATGCAATCACAATTCCAGCCTCTGTCCTTTATCAGTCGTCTTAGCAGATCTGTCTTATTTTTCAGTGATAAACGTAGAGAGCTATGGGCAAAAACATCAAAGGTATCATTCATATCTTTCAATTCTCAAGTAGGCCTCGAGTAAGAGAAGAAGGCTTTGAAATCAGTTACTCTGACTCCCAAAGAAGACCTGCTTGACACTTCTAACTCTCCATTCTAAATGAGCAAAAATTTCATCTCCCTGAAAGCAGAGGGAAGACATTGCTGGGTCAGTTTCAAAGGCTCATTGGTTACCTTCCTGCCACAATAGACCATTGAGAGTCTCTGCTCCCCGTTCCTGGCATGGTGGAAACTGACCTTACACTCACCTTCCTCTATGTACTTCTGAGTGAGAACTTGAACTTCAACATCCCCCTCTAGCTCCCTAGGAAAGTGAAGAGGTATGGAATATGCCCTCAGTAGCCTGGCTTGATTCTATCTTTTGGCTGTTTGCTGCATTTGTAGAAGGAAAAGAACAATAGAAAACATTGCTTCTCTCTTTGCAGACTAAGCATTTACAGTGGAACATAGCTAAGTAGGAAACCAAGAAAAAGAGAGGATGAGATGTTAACTGACGAATCAAGTTACTCTTGTGTGCTCCAGTAACAGATGTCCAAGAGGCTTCAGGCCTACCTTTGTGCCTCCTTTTTTAAACGTATTTGATCATCTGCAAGTTGGACTGATTTACATCATATGAAACCCATGAGATGTGCTTGAGGCAGGAGAATGAATGAATTAAAGGCTTTTTCCGTATGTTATTTTCACCCTGAAGTAGTTAACCTATCCCAGTGTGTATCAAAAGCAGAAGAAACTGATTCTGCAATGCCAAGTTGTTTCTGCCTTGGACCATTTACCATACCTGAATCTTATGTGTCTTTTTTTTTTTTTTTTTTTTTTTTTTTGCTGAACCTCATCCACAAAATGTGTTATAGGCAGTACAAAAAAAATTATTTAAATTAAATTAGTGATAGTTAGCTTTAAAAAACATGCAACATTTCAGTTCCCTGCAAGGGGCTCTGAAATGTCCAATGATATGTTTCAGAGCCATTAAGCTTGTTTGCCTCTTTCTGCTTCTCCTTCCTGACCACTGTTGTGGGGGCAGAGAGCCAGATGTCAGGAGGTTCCTTTCCCAAACCAGTTAGCATGTCCTCATATTTTGCCCTCTTCAGCCACAGCTTGTTCTCGGCTCTCTCCCTGCATGAATCAACAGCAGTCCCAGGACAGGCAGAGACCATCAGGAGCTTAACCTTCACACAGAGAGAGACTCCAGATCTCAGAGAGCAGTGCTCAAGATTCCAAGACAGAACCCTGGGATTTTCTACTGTGAGTTTCATGCTGCAAATACACAAATCAACAGTTATTTTGTATGTATACTCAGGTTTCTTCATTTATTTGAAAAGGTGGAGGAAGGAATGGAGAAAAATGGACAGAGGTAGGAGTGTGTGGGGGTGTGTGTGTGTGCATGCATGCACGTGTGTGTGTGTGAAAAGGCATTATATTTAAAGAACAATGGTTTTTGATAGCCTTATAATTACTATATTCTAATAGGATGCTGAGCACGGCCTTGGCCGGTTAACTCTATTTGCTTAGTCATTCGTTCATTTACACATGTATTTACCCATTAACTAATAGGCCAGTCAAATGAGGTTACTTCTGGAGTGCTGTAGTTCTGTTTGCATATCAGGATCTACAATAAAAGCATTGCCTTAGGTCCTCAGGTAGAGGTTGATCAGGGGCAGAAAGGCTTTTCCTGCTGACTCCACCAGCAGCATTCTGGTAAGATGAAAAATGGAGAATGATTAGTGTGGGCCACCCTTGAGAGACTATGGTTAGTCATAATTGAGTAGACACAGCAATACCTTCACGAGACTATCCATCAAGAAATAAGTTTTTTAAACTGTAGTTCTAGTAAGAAAGACAAACCTATTTATTTTGTTTAAGTAAGTGTGCTTGGTGCCAGGGATTCGAAATAAGATAGGGGCTCATCTCTTTGGCCTTAATTCTAGGCTAAACATTACTCAGCTTGATGGTAAGTGTAAAACTGAATACAACTACTACAGCAATGACCCACTGGAAATGTGTAGCACTTTACAGTTTATAGAAATCCTTTTATATGCTTGTTCTCGTTTGATCCTTGCATTATTCTTTAGTTAATTGAACAAGTGTTATTTCCATTTTCTAAATGAACAAACTAAAACGAAGACACCTAAATCACTTGCCTAAGATTACACAGCTGAACTCAGACTAGAACTCAGAATGTCTAATCCCTAGTTTAAGGCTCTTTTAATACTTCACTGTGCCAATTATCAATTTTTGTCCCTCCAAATTTTCCCTTGAGTTCTCTCTCTGCCGTTAATGTTTGGAATCCCTTTAAGCTGTCCTCCTTTATGTGAGCACCATATTAAGCTTTCTAAGTAGAGGGTGCTGGAGGGATATTGCAGGAGGAAGGGACTTCTCTTGTAGGCTCCAGCAGCTGCACTGTTGGTCACTGGTATGAGTGTGAGTGCATCTGGTGGTACTGTGCCCCAGCCAGAGCACACAGTCCCTTGGTAAGCTTGCAGCCCTGACCTATCCTAGTGATCACCTTCTCATAGCCCTCCCAACACAGACACTAGAAATTCTAGCCCTCTTGCCCCTCTGCATGCCCACTCACCTGCCTCACCAGTTGTGACTCACTTGTACCCTGCCACTCAGATTTGCCCTCCTGACATGGACACTAGGAGTGCCAAGCCTTCTACCCAACAGTGATAGTCCCAAAGTATCTGTGCATACCCAATCTGGCTGTGGCTCATGTACTTCCTAGAGAGTAGCTTTCTTCTTACTCAGTGACTGTTAACCAGCTCTGGCATGAGCAAGCCAGCAAACCTCTCTTCCATCCATTGAAGTGCAACTAGACCTTCTGCAACCAGATAAGAACCTGAGCCTTGAGGAAAGATCCCCTTCCATCCTTCCTTGAGCACTCTCCCTCAGCCCTGTGGAACATTATAAAGTTCTCTTACATCTTATAGTTACTGTTTTCTTATAGCTTAATCTTTTTTTTTGAGACAGGTTGTCACTCTGTTGCCCAGGCTAGAGTGCAGTGGCGTGATCTTGGCTCACTGCAGCTTCTGCCTCCCAGGTTCAAGTGATTCTCCTGCCTCAGCCTCCCAAGTAGTTGGGATTACAGGTGTGTGCCACTGTGCCCAGCTAATTTTTGTATTTTTAGTAGAGACGGGTTTCACCATGTTGGCTAGGCTGGTTTTGAACTCCTGACCTCAGGTGATCTGTCTGCCTTGGCCTCCCAGAACGCTGGGATTACAGGTGTGAGCCACCGTGCATAGCCAGCTTAATCATTCTTTATATTAAGCTTCCCTTATTTAAATCACTGTTTGGTTCCTGTCTCCTGATTGGACCCCAGTTGATGCACTCACTAAATGTTGGTGTGAAGTCACAGACAAGGTAAAGTTTCCTATGGGTAGGACTTTATCATATATCTCACATCACTACAAGCACCTGCCTATTTTAATGCCTGACACACAAAAAGTCTTGAATAAGTTCTGATTAATTGAGCACAATTTAAGTTAATTTTAACACCCCTATTTGTTGAGATGTAATAACAGCCTACTGAGAGGTCCAGCATGCTGAGAGGAAAGAGTCAAAAATTTGTTCATGTATGTGATCACTTATTTGTTCAGTAATGTTGATCAATAATGTTGACTGGGATAAGCAGCACTGGCTCCAACTGCAGGTCAAACAGCAGAATTGGCCCCAACTGGGAGGCGGAGTGAATCATTGCTGTTAGAGGACAAGCAAAGGGAACATTCAGAAGGAAAGAATGAAAACAACACAGAAAGACCCAGAAAGAACCAGGGAAATACAGAGTACTCTAATCACTTCTGAGGCTCAGAGGGGACAAATGACCTGTCCCATGTCATGTAGCCCTCTTCTTGGCAGAGCCAAGAGTAGAGAGCAGATTCTATAATCCTCAGTCTAAACTCTTGACATTACATATTGCATTGCTTCTCCAAGTGGGGCAGGAAGGGGTGGTAATGCAAACTGCCATTTCGGGAAGTGGTTAAAAAAAATACCTTAAAATGTGGTTATCCTTTACCTAGTAGTTCTAAAGGAGTCCATGTTTGGGATCCAAGAAATTCCCCTGCCAATGCTATTACCTTTTGGAAAACAGCTAGCAGTCTGTCAAATATGCTAGATTTGGGGTTTGACGCCCCTCAAGGTAATCAGTGACCTGTTAAACCACAGTATCTCAAGCCTTGTAGGCAAAGCAAAATGTTACCTGTCCTACCCCTGCTCAAAGTATCCATCATTTCTCTAATGTAGTCTCACACCCATATGTAAAGCCTCTCTAGCACTCCTTTCCAAAATCTGTAGCTTAATTATGCTAATGATCTTCATTTATCATGTTGGTTTACTTATCAGGACATTTTCCTATTTCTGGTCAGATGTTTTTCCAGGGATTCAAGGCATGGAATCCTTCATTAAGTGGGGAAGAACCAACAGAATTTGTTCCACATATTCCTCTGACACATCCCCAAAAGCATGACTTCTAGCCTGAATCCTACAATGAATGTATGGGTGTATGTGACACACTGTAATTTTTCATCAACAGATGGGTCACATATGAGCCAAAGATGAATGTAGATGTAGCAAGGTCTGTATGAACTAAGCCAAACCATGTTTAGAATGTCTTTGTTGGCTGTCATTGGGAAGTAGTGCATGCTGATTAACTGATTTGAGATGTGCATACGCCTCTGTGCTGGAAAGCAAGAGACACGTGGGTCCAGAGAAAATGGACCAGCCTGTAAGTGTCTTAGCAGAGGCCAGATGCTCTGCAAGGAGTTCCTGTGAAATGAGAGCTATACTTTTCAGACCACCTCTAGCTGAATACATCTAATTGGGAGTTGCAGGTGCATGGGAAATAAAATTTCCCTCACTGGGGAATTTGCTGCAGTGAGGATGGCTCTATTAAATCAGTGAGGAAGCAAACTTCCAGGACTTGGACATACTTACTTAGGCTATACACTTTGTAGGCTGGGCTTGCTCTAAGAGCCAGTCCTGAGATGCTTTCTGGCCTGATGGTTTTCAACAAAGCCACTATTTTTCTTTCTCTCTTCTTCCCTGTGTCTCTCATTCCTTGCACATATACTGTTCTAGAGATCTAAGGTTTTCTCCAGGAATACTCTTCTTTTACTTTTGTTTTATTCATTTAAGAGACACTGCTAAACTCTGGGAATACAGCAGCCCTCCGTGCAACTTCTTTTTGTTCGTTTTTAAATTGGGCAACACCTAATTCCATAAAATAGAATGAGTGTTTCTGAGACTTCTATTTTAGTCAAAATCTTGCCATCCTCTCTTAATAACCAATATAGGATTCTGTTACAGAGAGATTCAGAATAGTAGACTTCTGGACCTTGGATGTCACTGAGTTTAAGAGAAAGGTAGTCCCAGGACTCTGGTCTAGCAGCTGAGTAAGGCTCAGGCCTTAGAATGGCTTAGCTTGCTCCATTGCAATGCATCATCCTGGATGTTAAAATCCAGCTGTCTCTCTGAAAACTAAATATGAAAGACTGAGATTTAGTCAACTTTGCTGAGATTTAATTTACATATAATAAAATGAATCATTTTAACTGTGCAGTTCAGTAAGTTTTGAAAAATGTCTATACAGATTCATGTAACTGCCACCAAAATTGAGAAAGGACACTTCCACCATCTCAAAAGATTCTGTGTGTTCCTTTGTAGTAAGTCTCTTCTACCCCATCCCTAGACAACAGCTGATGTGCTGTCATTGTACACATATATTAGCTTTGCCTGTCCTAGAACTTCATGTTAATGGGAAGCATCCTGTATGTACTGTTTTGTGTCTGGCTTCTTCAGTGTATTTTTGAAATTTATCCACATTGTTGTGTGTATCCAAAGTGTGTTCTTTTTCATTGCCAAATAATGTTCTGCTATATGAATATATTACAAAATATTTGTCTGTTTATCTATTGGTGGATTTTTGCATTCGTTCCAGTTTGGGGCTATTATGAATAAAGCTTCTGTGAAAATTCGTTTCTGTCTTTTGGAAGACACATGTTTTCATTTCTCTTATAGAAATGCCTAGGAGTAGAGTGAGTCGTATGGAAGGTGTTTAACTTTATAAGAAACTGCTAAACTGTTTTCCAAAATAATTGTACCATATCACATTCCTACCATGCTTTTATGAGGGTTCTTAATGATCCATATCCTCACCAACACTTGGTATTGTGAGTCTTTCTAATTTAGCTTTCTAGAAGATGTGTGTTTTGATTTGCATTACCATGATGACTAATGATTTAACAATTTTTCATGTGCTTATTGTTCATTCATATATCTTTTAAGAATTGTCTTTTCAAATACTTTGCTCATTTTAAAAATTGCATTTATCGTTACTCTATAAGAATTATTTATATTATATGGAAACAACTCCTTTGTGAGATATTTTTATTGCGATATTTTCTCTATGTCAGTGCCTTGCCTTCAAAAGAAGGAGTGCTTTATTTTTTAAAAGGCATGCTCTTATTTTTTTCTTTTATGATTTGTGCTTTATGTGTTCTAAGATATATTTACATTTTCTGATGTCACAAATGTTTAAGTTTTATAGTTTTAGCTTTTATATTTAAATCTAATTGGATTTTTTAATTCTTTTTTATCCTTTTTATTGAGGTAAAACATACATATAAGATTTACCATCTTTACCACATTGAAGTGTACAGTTCAGTGCTGATAAATACATTCATATTCTTTTGATTTCCCTTTATCTTCCCAGCCCTGCTACCCTTCCTAGTCTCTGACAACTACCATCCCACTCTCTATTTTTATGAGATACACTTTTTTAGCTTCCACATATGAGTGAGAACATGCAGTATTTGTCTTTCTGTGCTTGGGTTATTTCAGTTAACATAATGGCCTCCAGTTCCATTCATGTTGCTGTAAATGATAGGATTTCATTCTTTTTCTGAGACAGGGTCTTACTCTGTTGCCCAAGCTAGAGTGCAGTGGCATGATCATGACTCACTGCACCCTTGACCTCTCAGGTTCAAGCAATTTTCCTACCTCAGCCTCCCAAGTACCTAGGACTACAGGCATCAGCCACTATGCTTGGCTAATTTTTTAAAATTTCTTGTAGAGACGGTGTCTCATTTTGTTGCCCAGGCTGCTGTCAAATTCCTGAACTTAAGTGATTCTCCAGCCTTGGCCTCTCAAATTGCTGGGATTACATGCATGACCCACCTCATCTGGCCAGAATTTCATTCTTTTTTATGGATGAGTGATATTCCATTGTGAATGTATGCCACTTCTTTTATTCATTCATTCATTATGGAATGTTGGATCATAGTAGTTCTATTTTTAGTTTTTTGAGGAACCTTCATACTGTTCCCCATAGTGGCTGTACTATACTAATTTACATTCCCACCAACAGTGTGTAAGAGGGTCCCCATTTCTCCATAGGCTTGGCAACATCTGTTATTGCCTGTCTTTTTGATACAAGGCATTTTAGCAGGTGAAGTGATATCTCATTGTGGCTTTGATTTGCATTTCTCTGATGTTAGTGATTTTCAGCATTTTTTCATATACTGGTTGGCCATTTCTATTTCTTGAGAAATGTCTGTTCAGATCTTTTGCCCATTTTTTAACTGTTTTTAGGGTTTTTTTGTTTGGTTGGTTGGTTTCGTTTTGTTTTGTTTGCTTTTGGAGTTTCTTGAGCTCTTTATATATTCCGGTTATTAATCCCCTGTCAAAGGGAGAGTTTGAAAATGTTTTCTCCCATTTTGTGGGTTGTCTCTTCACTTTGTTAATTGTTTTCTTTGCAGAAGCTTTTAAGCTTAATGAAATGCCATTTATCTATTTTTACTTTGGTTGCCTGTGCTTTTGAGGTCTTACACAAAAAAATCTTTGACTCAGCTCAATGTCCTGGAGCACTTCCCCTATGTTTTCTTACAGTAGTTTTATAATTTCAGGTCTTAGATTTATACCTTTATCCGTTTTGATTTTATTTTTATGTATAGTGAGAGATAGGGTCCAGTTTGATTCTTCTGCACCTAGTTATTCAGTTTTCTCAGCATCATTTACTGAAGAGATGTCCTTTTCCTATTTTGTTTTCCAGCTTTGTTCTCTTGCTGAGGATTGTTTTGGCTATTTGAGGTCTCTTGTGGCTCCATACCAATTTTTGGATTCTTTTTTCTGTTTCTGTGAAAAATGTCATTGGTATTTTAATAGGTATTGTATAGAATCTGTAAATGGCTTTGGGTAGTATTGCCATTTCAACAATACTCATTCTTCCAGTCCATGAACATAGGATATCTTTCCTTTTATTTGTCTTCTTCAGTTTCTTTCATTGGAGTTTTACAGTTTTCCTCATATAAATCTTTCACTTCTTTGGTTAAATTGACTTGAAGATATTTTATATTTTTTGTAACTATTGTAAATGGGATTACATTCTTCATTTCTTTTTCAGATTGTTAGCTTTTGGCATATATAAATGCTACTGACTTTTACATGTTGATTTTGTATCCTGCAACTGTACTGAATTTGTTTTTCAGCTCTAACAGTTTTCTAGTGGAGTCTTTAGGTTAATGAATGTACTTCTCTTGTTCTAGTCCTTAGAGGAGAGGCTTTTAATTTTTCCCTGTTTTGTATGATGTTGGCCATGGGTTTGTCACATATGGCCTTTGATATTTGAGGTATGTTTTCTGTACCCATTTTGATGAGGGGTTTTAAATTATTAAATGCTTTTCAAGCATCTATTAAAATAATTTGTCAGAGATGAGTTGGCTGTAGATGAATGGATATATATCTGGGCTCTCTATTCTTTTCCATTGGTCTATGTGTCTGTTTTTATGCCAATACCATGCTGTTTTGGTTACAAAATGTGGTACATTTTGATATCAAGTAGTATGATGTCTCCTTCCAGCTTTGTTGTTCTCTTGCTCAGGATTGTTTTGGCTATTCGAGGTCTCTTGTGGCTCCATACCAATTTTTGGATTTTTATTCTTGATTCTGTTCATGTGATATATCATGTTTCTGCATTTGTGTATGCTGAACCATGCTTGCATCCCTGATATTCATCATACTTGATCATGGCGAATAATCTTTTTAATGTGTTGTTGAATTTGGACAGGCAGTATTTCATTGAGAATTTTTACATCTGTGTTTTTCAGTTATATGGGCATGTAGTGTTCTTTTATCATTGTGTCCTTGTCTGGTTTTCATAGAATGAGTTTGCAAGTATTCCCTTCTCTTCAGTTTTTTTTTTTTTTTTTAAGACTTTAATAGAATTAGTATTGGTTCTTCTTTAAATGTTTGGTAGAATTCAGCAATGAAGCTGTTAAGTCCTGGGCCTTTCTTTAATAAAGACTTTTTACTATGGCTTTGATCTTATTACTCATTATTGGTTTGCTGAGATTTTACATTCCTTAATGGTTCAGTCTTGGTAGTTTGTATATGTTGAGTAGTATATCCATCTTCTAGGTTTTCCAATTTGTTGGCATGTAGTTGTTCATAACTGTTTCTAATGATTCCATTTCTTTTTTTTTTTTTTTTTTTTTTTTGAGATGGAGTCTTACTCTCCACCCAGGCTGGAGTGCAGTGGCTTGATCTTAGCTCACTGCAGCCTCTGCCTCTTGGGTTCAAGTGATTCTCCTGCCTCAGCCTCCCTCCCAAGTACCTGGGCCTGCAGGGGCCCACCACCACGCCCAGCTAATTTTTTTTTTTTTTAGTAGGGATGGGATTTCAACATGTTGACCAGGCTTGTCTCAAACTCCTGACCTCAGGTGATCCACCCACCTCGACCTCCCAAAGTGCTGAGATTATAGGCATGAGCCACCGTGCCCAGCCTTCTTTCTGTTTCTGAGGCCTCAATTATTATGTCTCCATTTTAGTTTCTGATTTTATTTATTTGTATCTTCTCTCATTTTTTCTTAGTCTGGGTAAAATTTGTCTATTTTGTTTATCTTTTTAAAAATCCATCTTTTTATTTTTTTGATCTTCTGTATTTTTAAATTTCTATTGCATTTATTTCTGCTCTGATCTTCTTTATTTCTTCTACTGATTTTGAATGTGGTTTGTTCTTGCTTTTCTAGTTTCTGAAGATTCATTATTATAATGTTTATTGAAGTATTTCTGCCTTGTTTTTGTTCTTGTTTTTTTGCCCAGAGTGGAGTGCAGTGGCATGATCACAACTCACTGCAGCCTCAACTTCCCAGGCTCAAATGATTCTCCCATCCCAGCCTCCTGAGTAGCTGGGACGACAGGTGTGCCCTACCATGCCCAGCTAATTTTTTATATTTTTTGTAGATATGGGGTTTTGCCATATTGCCCAGGCTGGTCTCAAATTTTTGGGCTCAAGCAATCCACCTGCCTTGTCCTCCCAAAGCACTGGAATTTACAGGCATGAGCCACCGTGCTTGGCCTCTTTCTGCTTTTATGATACAGCCATTTATCACTGTGAACTTCCCTCTTAGGACTGCTTTTGCTGGATCTCACAGATTTTGGTATTTTGTATTTCCATTTTCATGTGTTTTAAGAAACTTTTGATTTTCTTCATAATTTCTTTATTGATCCATTCGTAATTTGGGGGCATTTTGTTTAATTTCCATGTATTCATGTATTCTCCGAGGTTCCTTTTGTTATTGATTTCTAGTTTGATTTCATTATGTTCAGAAAAGATTACTGATATGACCTCTGTTTTTTTAAAAATGTTCTCAGACTTGTTTTATGACCTAAGATATCATCTATTTTGGAGAATGTCCCGTGTTTTAATGAAAATAACATGTATTCTGCGTGTATAGAAATTTGGGTGAAATTTCTATAAATGTCAGAGAGGCCTATTAGATTTGGTGTGCACTTTAACTCTGCTGGTTCATTGTTGATTTTCTGTCTGGATAATATGTCCATTACTGAGAGTGGGCTGTTAAAGTCCCCTACTATTATTGTGTTGCAGTCTATCTCTCCTTTTAAGTCTATTAATGTTTGCTTTATACACTGTGCTCTGATGTTGGCTGCATTGCTATTTATAATTGTTATATCCTCTTGCTAAATTGATTCCTTTATCACTATGTAGTGACCTTCTTTATCTCTTTTTACAGTCTTAGATTCATAGTCTATTTTATCAAAGTTTAGCTACTCCTGCTATTTTTTGGTTTCCAATTGCAAGAAATAGCTTTTTCTACACTTTCACTTTCAGTTTGTGTGGGTCTTTTATAGTTGAGATGCATTTCTTGAAGGCAGCATATAGTTGAGGCTTCTTTATCCCAAATTTTAATTTTTTTCCCTCTCAGGTAGCTAGTCATAGAGATCTTTCCATATGGCCTGATAGATGTGGCAGGCCTTGGTCTCATAAACATCACTTCCATCCAATAATGGATTGCTTCTTGGCCTGCTCACCTTTATAGATAGGGAGAGCAGAGAGCACTCATGGTGAATAGTTTGGATTATGTGGTCACCCACTGCCCCCTGTTCAAAATCCATCAGAGCCCAGTAAGGACTCAAAGGAGAAGGCCTTGCTTCAAAACCTTAAAGGCCTCACCACAGGCTTGAGATGATACTCCAAGCTTCTGCAGATACCACAAGCTCTTTTGGAATTCACTGGGTCACTAGCACTGATGCCTAGGCCCAATAGAGCCTTTTCTTGCCTTAAGACCTACTGAAATCTCAAATCTCACAGCTTTTTTTAAAAAGCACATGTCAAATGAAGGCTAAGTAGAAAAAGTATGTGCTTAGTAGAAGAAAGACAGAGCAATAGTGATTAATTTATCTTTATGAATGTATCTAGATTTTTGAAATCTAGAAAAAAATTGTTTAATTTTAACAAACACATATATTGTGCCTTTTCATAAGTTAAAATTTTATTTTGGATCACATAGTAGGGTAGAAAATCATTTCGGTACTTAAACGTCAGCAAAAGGTCTTAATCAGATATTTAGTGAATAGGCCAAAGCAGCCACCCATTGAAAACTGTATTACCTCCAGAAACGAAACAAGTCCACCAAGCATTATGCCCCTTCTATCTTGGAATGGGCACAAGATTCAGCAACTTGTCTGGCATATACGTGACCATGGGTCAGGTTCTCATGTATTTAACTGAGGTGAAAGGTCCCTATATTTTCATGGATATAGTGAAGTAGCATCCTTGTCTGGGGAAATACCCGAGATTTCTTGTCATGCACCAAGAAGATTAATGTCACGGACACACACACATGGAGTGGGTTAAGGAATGGAAAGTTTAATAGGCAAAACAAAGAAGAGAGGAGAGCAGCTCTCTCTCTCTTTTGTGAGAGAGAGGCATCCGAAAGAGGAAGGCTGCCTGCAGCGGATTGCACCAGATTTTATAGGCAGGCTTGAGGAGGTGGTGTCTGATTTGCCTAGGGCCCACAGATTGGTTCCATCAGGTGTGACGTTTACATGGTGCACAAGGGAGGCTGGTTGCCCCACCCTAATCCTATGCAAACGGATTTTCTACTTGTCCAGGGACATCTTGCCTATTCCATACTGTACACATGGCTGGCAAAGAGAAGATGGAGCTGCCGTTTTGAATGTGCCTATTCCCAGGTAGCTTCTTTCTGTTGGCACAACCGCTGGCATTCACCTGTGCAAGCTTCTAGCTTGTTAGTCTATGTTTGCAGCTCGATTTTACAGGCTACTCTTTGTTAGAAAAGAAAGTGATTGGGGGGGCTGCTTTTCATTTAAAGGAAAACCTTGCCAAGGACTCCTGTGCCCTCACTATCTGCCTAAGTAATTTCTTTTTAACTCCTGTATCAACAGCTTTTTCCTGTTGACACATATATCTTTTCAATTCTTTAAGCCGTAAGCAGCCTAGTTGAGGGTTCAGAAATCCTCCAAGGTTTACTCCAATATGATAGAGAAATATTTATTGTGTGTAGGATGATGTGAGAAAAAGTTTGGGAGGCACTGAGGTAAGTAATATGAGATAATGGTGACATGTAGTAAAAAGAGTTCTTAACATTTCCTTAGAGGCTCTAGTGAATTTTTCTCTAAACTGTATGGTATTCTCTTCTCAGAGAAAATTAAATCATTTATCAACGCAAGGTGATAAATGCATTCTTCTTTAGTAGTTATAGTTTTGTTTTTAAAAAGCCTTAATATTAGCTAATTCATTCCTAAGGAAAACCTAAGGCCTGTGCCTATTTGTCCACCACAGGGATCACCATGCAGCTGAAGACAGTCACCTAAATTCAGTTCTTGAGCATAGGAACAGTTCATCAGGCTCTGTAAAGTTTGTTCTCTAATTCAAAGCTTTCGATTATGGAGAATGTCACTTAAGGAGAAAGGAGATCTTATCTATATTACCAAAAACTATACTACTGTATGCTTGTGGTTATCCTGCTCTGTGTTTTGGAGTGGTACATCTTATCACTCACTTGACTGTGGCCAGAGGGTGGGAAGAGTCCTTTTATCTCGTAACTCCCAAAATGATGCCTGGAACCACAATGGTTTGTGGAATCCATGATCAAATCACAAAAAAGATTTTTTTTTTTTGTCCTGAGACTGACTCCTGGGTTTCTAAGGAGGTGGTTGAGATTGCAGTTTCATCTTTTCTGTTATCTCACCAGCATTGACACATAAAAAGGTTGTTTTTTTTTTTTTTTCTCCTTGAGCCTTTTTTAATTTAAAGAATTACAGGGAGGAAAGATCACAGAGAGATTCCCAGTGATAAAGCAAAAAAGACAAATAACAAGTGTCCGCACATGTTCCTGTTCAAAACATGATCTCCTGAGGTGTTAGGAAAGTCACACAGGCCCCTTCTCCACTCGACATGATTTCCACAGGTAGGGGTGGGTTGCCTTGTGAGGCTCAGAGAAGGGAAACATCAAAGAGCCATCCTCAGTCTCATCTCTTCTTCCTGGGTCCTCTCAGTGCGGGGAGCTGTGAAGGTTACCCTTGGCACTTTTTCCAGAAGTGGTACTTCTTCCAGACCCAGACACCATTAAGTAGGCACAGGGTACGGCTCTTTTGTTTGCTTAATCCCCAACAGTAGAGCCTTATAAGTCCTAGGTATTCTTTCCTATGGGGAACAGTCCCCAGGATACTTTCTGCTGCATTCAGATGAGAGCTAATAGCTAATCTTTAAAACCATTAAGCTGCACTTAGCTGAGCCTTCACTTACAGATTCTGGGAGACCCTTTGCTATTACACAGTGGAATCAAACTTTGTGAGGTCATGAGTGTAGTCAAATAAGCCTTTTCTGTGAGAAATCAGTGAGACATACATTTCCTCAATCTCAGTGCTCAGGTGGAGTATATGCTTTGCTGCCTTTTGTTTAAAACAGAAATTTTTAGAAGGTTTTTAATCCTAACATCCCTCTGAATTTTTAATAGAGTTACTTATTTAAATTGAATTGTATTAAAATTTCAGTGTTTTCATCTTCAAGACAGCAGGAGACCTGGAGTAGGGTAGGCAAGTAAGGCACTTAACTCAGACACAAAATTTAAAGGAAGTTCAGCAATCAATATAAATAATATTTTAAGGCAATATTTTTAAAAACAAAAATTAACAAAAAAAAATGAAGAAAATAATGAAAATTGTAAAGAAAGACTGGGTCAGGAACAGTGCCGTTCTGAGCCATATTGGAACCTGAGGCAAATGAAAAACTCAGTAATATTTTGTTCATCATGGATACATAATCTCTTTACAATGTGCAAAGAGATTCTGCTTATTATTGCTTTGTCCTTTTGGGGAGGTCATAGTTCCTTGCTTGCTGTTGTTTCTTGTGGGTACAGATTTATGTCTTTGCATTGAAAGATTAGTTATTTATTCCATTTTATTCTGTTCAGCTTATTTTGGTTTTTATTGGATATATTGGCTAGCAAATATTTAGTGCTAAGTTGCTGCCTCTTTTTTGGCTTTAAGTGGTACCTTAAGCCCAGGTTCATCTTGCGTTGATGAATGATCAGAGCTCTGCCTGTCATGAACAGGGGCGGCCCCAAAGGGATTATCCCAGCAGTGTGTCAAGGCTGACTGGCTAGGGGGTTTGTGCCTAGGAGACCTGTGGAACATACCTCCTACAGCATGTTGCTGTTGAACAACCTCTTTCATATGGTGTCTCCTGCCAAGTAACAGAGCAGAGTTTCCAGGCTGTGGATGACAGTCTTGCCTCCCTCTTTTTTCTCTGCCTGTCCTTAGGGATATTTCTTCCTTCAAGGAGTCACAGTGCTTCACATGGGTCAAGGCAAAGACAGGTCTCCTGCCAAGGCACCCAAGATGGTGGGTAAGCTAATTGATCACTTCAATCTTATTTTTCTAGTGGAAATTCTGAGTTTGGGGCAGATTTTCCATGCATTTAGTGCTGGGTAGAGGTGGGGGACACATCACATATGTGAAAGTCCAGTTCTCTAACCATTTGCTCAGAGTTTTTCACTCTTCTGTGGCCCTGGGAGCTGTCTTATCCTCATATTTGAGTTCTGAATTGTTGCCGGTAAAAATGTTGGTGCTGTGTATTTGTTTGTGGTTTTCTATTAGGGGGAGTGAAGCCAGCTTGCTTCTGTGCTACCATTTTGGAACCAAAAGTCTGTAAGTTGTTTTAAGATAATTTTGATAAATGATGTGAGAGAGAGCCAAGGTTCACTTCTTTCTAAAAGGATATCCCATTTTTCCAGCATCATTTGTTAAACAGATCATTTTTTTCCCCTCTGAGTTATCTTAACACCTTTGTCAAAATTATTTGGCCATTGATTATGTAAGTCTCTTTGGTTCCATATACTGTATATGTTTATTCTTATACCAAATGCACATACTACTTGATAACTGTAGCTGTACAGTAAGTTATAAAATAAACATAATAATTTTTAACTGAAATAATATTTTAAAAATCAAACAGAAATCTTGAAAATGAGAAACACATTTGCTGAACTGAAGAATTCATTAGAGGCTCTCAGCAGTAGAATGGACCAGGCAGAGGAAAGAATTGGTAAGCTCGAAGACTGGGTTTTTGGTGGGTTTTTCTATTGGCTATTTGAAAATACACAGATGAGAAAACAAAAACAAAAACAAAAAGGAATGAAAGCCACCTGGAAAATAACAGAAATTACCACAAAAAAACCCAAATCTGTGAATTATTGCTGTTTCAGACGAAGCTGAGCAAGAGCAAGGGGTAGAAATCTTAGATTAGATGATTACAGAAGATGTTGCATATGTTGGCAGCTGCAAATGCTGGAAATGGTCAGCTACAGTATTATGGTCCCACTCAAGGTGTCTGGAAGGACAGTAGAGTAGTAATATCTTCCCAGTAGTCAGAACTTTGATCTGTACATATTGTTGTTCATTTGCTGGGAAGTGGAGATGGCCTAAGCCCAGGAACACGGTCTGTGCTAATTCGAGGCATTTGAATCTTGCACAAAGTTTGAAAACAGTTGAAACTTTTACAGTTAAATGTGTGAAGTACATAAAGGCCCTGGCAACCACAGAGTGCCTGTCCATCTACATACATCAGCCTAAGTGATTCCAAGCCAAGTTTTACAAGTTTTTCCTGTTATAGTGACAGATAGAATGAAAAATATGTCCTTGGATAGTTGGGGTAAAGTAGCTAAATTTTTCTCCAAAGTTCAATTCAAGAAACATTCATTGAGCAAGCACTTACCCTGGGCCAGGCACTGTGTTATGTATTTGGGATATGGAAGCTCATAAAATGTGGTACCTATTTCAAGACTCAGTGAAATATCTCCCTCCCATAGTCTAGGAACTTAAATGAAAATAAATTTCTCTAGGATCCCAGGCTAGTTCTCTGTTGCAGATTTATATTAATATATTACTAAGCTAAGAGACTGGCATGTTGGTGAGTCCAGAGAGCCAGATTGTCATGAAACACAGTAGGAGTTTGGTAAATAATAGTTGGATTAATGACTAAAAATGATACTCCTGAACCCTCTTTCCATATCTGGTAGCAGCTATGCCATAAGAGTCAGTCCCAACAGACACCTACTAATTAATCAGTTCCTGTGAAATTCCTGATAGCCCCATGTGAGGCATCATTTTGAACCCATTCTGACCTGAAAACTGGAACATGGAGGATCATACTAAGAGTTACATTCAAATTGCACACTGTCATGTCTGTGTTGTGTGGTGTCTTGGTACTCTAAAGTTTAACTGCACGCTGCTTCCGGTTTCTCCCCTTCATGCATGTTCATTGACTAGCCATAGACATGAGCTCTTTCCACCGCTGGCCTTCTATTTTCCAGAGTTCTCCTTTCATTCTTCAGTGGCTGTGGTTGTCTCTGGATCTTTTCCCTGCTTCCTCTGGACAATAAGTTTAAGGGAGTTTTTCTATTGGCATTTTGGAGACCTAGCACTGTTGACAGTATGTCTATTGCTGCCTTCAGGGCAAAGCAGTATAAAAATGGGAGATTCACTCTGCTGATCACTTTTCAAAGTTCAACTCTCCTTCATAATCAGCCTGTGTTTTTCTATTTCCAGAGCCTTTAGATAATTTTTCTTTTTGTTTTGTATTTTTTAGAGTTTATAGCTGCCATTTGAAAGAGGATTGGTTGTATGAGAAGCTGATCCCTTCTATACTAGAAGCAGAGCCTCCCAGATACTGTATTTTACAGTTCTAAAATGTCAGTTTAATTAAAGTATAGATTCCCTATAACAAAATTTCATGTTTCCATACCTGTGTTCTATCTTTTTTTCTATTTTTATTTGTTTATTAATCTTACTTATTTTGAAGTCTTTGTTTGCAAGCCTGGTATTTGGTTCATTTCTCAGTCTGCTTCCATTATGTGTTTAATCTCTTTATTATCAGTCACTTTACTGCTTCTTAACTCTAGTTTAATTGTATTGTATGCTGGACATTGTGGATTTAAAAAATGTTAGAGTCTTCAAATGATGCGTATCTTTCACCAGAGTTGACTCATCCTTTATTAGACATAAAAAGTGAGAATTGATTATTTAATCTGATCAAGAGCCGAGCTAAGAAAATGTTTGGTTGCAGTTTTTATAAGTCTCAATCTACCTAGTGTTTGTTCCTGCTCTTAGGGTATAGCCCTTCAAATTTTTCCGTTGAGAACCTGGTATGGCCATGGTGACCCCCATTTTGGTAAATCGTGAACTCTTTCTTTGTTTCCTTAACACAGTGAGACTTCCCCAGTGTCAATTCTGCTTTTATAAGGTGTTCTGCTTAAGCTTTTTAGGCCCCCAACTAAATGTAGCTTCAGAATTTGGCAAATGTGTTTAGGGAAAAACTGGAAGTATGTTGAGAGCCCTTTGGTCTCCAGCTCTGCAATACTTCCAAAAAGTTCTGCTGGTTTCTCTGCCTCTGTGCAGTCAAAGCTTGATTCTCAGGCTCTTGGCCTTTGGCCCAAATCAACAAATGCCTCCAGAGAAAAAGCAGCTACAGGGAATCAATTTCCTTCTCTTCCTTCAGTTTCTCTCCAGAATCTTGACCCTCAGATGTCTTTATACAAATAATTTACAAAGCAATTAAAAATGCATATGACTTTTTGTTATAAACATAATCAATGGGAGCCTTAATTTGTCACAAGTCAGAAACCTGTCTACAAGAAAAAGTAATAGCTATATAAATAAAACCTGAGCAGACCAATTGTGATACCATTTCATAAACGAAGGAGTATGATTCATTTTAATCTCTGCACTTGCTCTACACAGCCAAAATAGGAAAGAAAAAACAGAGACAGAGACTTCACAAACATGCTCTACAATCTTATGCCTCCCAACCTTATCACATGCTGTTCCCTCTGCTGGAAATATACAAATTCTCACACAAGACTTAAGACACGGCAGACAGTAAGATGTCACATTTTGGCTATAAATGTGAAGTGTGAGTCCATCAGAGAAGGCATATCTTTGATAAGAGGAGGACTGAGCCCCATCTGGGTTAATTTTCTTGTCTTCACCACAGCCTCAGCAATGGAAGGAAGAGATATGTGTAATACTCCTCTGCACTGTACCCAGAAATATACTAGGCACTGAAGGCACAGAAGTAAAATACAAGTCTCTGCCCCAGAGGAGTTCCCAATTCTTTATCACAGCTCTTTTCTACATTATTGAGAACCTAGTAGGGAAGAATTTTAATAATATGGGATGTTCTTTGGTTTTTTCTTCCTTCCTGTACCTTCTGCCATTTTTATAGTTCTTTATTTAGAGCTGACCAGGCAGAAAGTTGTAAGCAAGAGAATTGTGAAAGTTTTGTGCTTCTCATCACCTGAAACTAACCCCACAGGCTATTATACTCTGCCCAGTGTATTAATATATTCTCAGAGCTTTAAGACTGTGTTGAAAATGGGAAAGAAAACCTTTTACTGTGTTTATTATATCAGCCTGATCCAATCAGGCCTGGGTCCTTTTTTGTTAGGGTAAATGGAGAGATTACTCTCTAACAATTTTCAGACAGTAGTAGTTAAACTGTGTATTTGTATCTAAATAAAAGGTTAACACTACTGGCATGCAGAAATTATAGAAATGTACATTTTATCATGATAAACAATCCCAATTGTGTAGCTTTAAAAATACAAAATTCTACTTGCAATTATTTTCAGAGACTTAAAAATTAAGTTTCCTTCCCTGTAGTATTTTAGCTGTCAGAATGGCTACTTCCATTATCTACCCATCCAAAATTATTCAGTTGATTTAATACCTGCAAAATTAGTGAATTTTTACCATGGGATTTAGGCAGGGGATTTTTCCAGCTATACTGATATCAACATTTAAGGTGATTATGAATAGACTTTTTCTATTCCACTAGTTCCTTAGGAAATACGGTTTTCACAATTTATCTTCAGTGGAAAAGAGATCAGGACTGGGTATGCTATCAGGATTCAACTCTGTGCCATTTATTGGAAAAAATAACCACAAAAATTGCTGCTGAGTTCCCTCCGTCAGTGTATTCTCTTCCCAATATCCTGCTATACTCCTGCCAGAGCTGTTCAGGTCAGAGAAAAGTAGGGTGTTAGGTTATTGACATAAGAAAGCTTGGATAGCCTAGGGAATATTTGTAGATATAGTCAGAGGTCTTTGTAATAATATAGCTTCTCTGAGCATCTCTGTTCAGAGTGTTAGGAGACAAGGAGAGAGAATGAACAGTATAGTTTTGTTATCCCACATTTTTTTCAATGACATGAGGTAGTGGGAATTGGCTCAATTCAGTTATAGAGGTTAAATTTTAAGCCCTATTCACAAGGGACAGAGTGCACAATAGATTTTTACCTAAACTTTATAAAGCTGGACCATTTATTATACTCAGATACTAACCCCTTTCATCTTGCATTTCTTGCTTTATGTTGAACAGGATCCAAAGAGCAGAAATTTTGTTGGCTGTAAAAATCTGAGATATAATCCTGAATGGCTTATTTCTAAGAATAGAATATATTTTAGCCTTAGTCAATTTTACGCTGCTATAACAGAATACCTAAGACTGGGTAATTTATAATGACCAAAAATTTATTGGCTTACAGTTCCAGAGGTTGGGAACTCCAAGATCAAGGCACCTGCATTTGGTGAGGGCCTTCTTGCTGCATCATTACATGGCAAGAGGTAGAAGGGAAAGGGCTCAAAAGAGCAAACCCACTCCTGGGAGCCCATTTTATGATTTCATTAATTTATTCATGAAGGCAAAGACCTTATGATCTAAACACCTCCCATTGTGCCGCACCTTCCAACACCGTTTTTTTGGGGGATTAAACTTCAACATGAGTTTTGGAGGGAACAAAAACATTCAAACCACGTTAAAATGCTTAATACATAAATATTTTCAAATGTATTTCTTAAAAATAACTGTAGGTAATTTAAGTCTTTGGGATTTGAAAAGTTGAGGGCAAAAACATGATGCAACATTTCTGCATCTCTTTCTATCTTCATTAAACATAGATATAGTGACTTCTCCTTCTGCTTACAAAGGATTAACTGCTATAGAAGTGTTCATGGAGTCCCTTGCAACTTTGGTTGATTATCAATCTCTGCATACTCTGTTAAAGGAATTAAAGGAAAACATAAACATAATGAGGAGAGAAATGGAAGATACACCACCAAGTTGGGCAATAACAACTTCCAAAGTAAAATAATTGTAAGGAAACTGTAAAGTAAACAATTCCCAGAGCTCACACAGGACTGGGATTGTTTGACTAATGTTGCCCAGTCACAGTGAAGAGACATTATTTAATTCAAGGACATTCAATAGAGACTTGAGAAGGGTCAAGCCTTAGAAATGGGGCAAAATCACCCTAAAACAAGGGCTTCTCTATGTGATCTTAAGTAGAGCTTTTAAAAAACACCTCAAGTGGCTGGGCACATTGGCTCACACCTGTGATCTCAGCACTTTGGGAGGCTGAGGCGGGCAGATTACTTGAGCCTAGGAGTTTGAAACCAGCCTGGGCAACATGGTAAAACCCTGTCTCTACCAAAAATAGAAAAAATAGCCAGTCTCATAACCCAGTCTCAGAATAAATAGATAGATTAAAAATTTTAAAAAAACCTCAAAATGGATAAATTTGTGTGAAAGTAACATAACTACCTCCTAGAAAGCGCTTACCACTAAAGAGAGACAACAAAATTGAGCACTCTGCAATGTGAAATTCACCATGTCTGAGTATCAATAAAAATTATTATACAGAATAGTTTATATTTTATACAGAAAATAAAATTTATACAGAAATTTTATTTACTTATATAAAATGTTCTTTTATACAAAAAAATTATACAGAATAGGAATCTGAAAAATGCAATCCATACCTGGGAGAAAAATCCATTAGTAACAAATAAATCTGGAAATGACAGAGATTATGGAATTATCAGAAAAGTGTATTTAAAAAGCTATTATAAACATGCTACATTTGTTCAAATGATTTTTAAAATGTGGACACAATGAGGGGAGAAATCGAAGAAATAAAGAAGAATTGAATGGAACTTCAAGCAATGAAAAATGCAATAGCTGAAATGAAAAATATACTGAATTCAAGAGCCCATTAAACACTGAAAAAAGAAAGATCAGTGAACATGAAGTTATACAGATGTAAATGATCCCAAATGAAACAGAAAAAAAAAACAGACTTGAAAAAATAACAGCATCAGTGAGTTATGGGACAATATTAAACAGTCAAACATATGTGCAATTGCAGCTAGAAGGAGAGGGAGGGGGATCAGAAAAGATATTTGAAGAAGTAATAGCCAAAACATTTTATTCCTTGACAAAATCTTTAAACCCACAGATCCAAGAAATTCAGTAAACCCCAAGCAAAAGAAACATAACAAGGCTGGTTACAATGGCTCATGCCTGTAATTCTAGCACTTTGAGAGGCCAACATAGGAGTAGGATCTCTTGAGCCCTGGAGTTCATGACCATCTTGGGCAAAATAAGGAGACTCTGTCTCTATAATTTTTTTTTTCCCCCGGAGACCAAGTCTCACTCTATTGCCCAGCACCCAGGCTGGAGTACATGGCACGATCTCAGCTCACTGTAACACCTGCCTCCCAGGTTCAAGCAATTCTCGTGCCTCAGCCTCCTGAGTAGCTTGGATTACAGGCATGCACCACCATACCCAGCTACATTTTTTTTCTTTTTGGATTTGTAGTAGAGATGGGGTTTCACCATGTTTCCCAGGTGGGTCTCAAACTCCTGAGCCCAGGCAGTTCTGCCGCGGCCTCCCAAAGTGGTAGAAGTACAGGTGTCGGCCACCTCACCTGGCCCCTATTTTTTTTTTAATTAGCTGTGCGTGGTAGTTGGTTCCTGTAGTCTTAGCTACTTAGGAGGCTGAGGTGAAAGGATTGCTTGAGTCTAGGAAGTCAAGGCTGCAATGAGCTGTGGTCCCATCACATCACAAGGGAAACTGTCTAAAGAAAAAAAAAGAAACAAAAAACCAGGTTTGTTCATCATAATCAAATTGCTGACAACTAGTGATGAAGAGAAACATCTTTAAAAGCCTCCAGACTTCTGGTTTCTGGTTCAGCATGTAAACAGCTTGAAAGTCATCACTCCATCTTAACAAGTACAAAGCTGAACAAGAGGAATGAGATCCTGGGAAAACCACTGCCTCCAAAGCTGGAGAGACAGAGGACAAAAACAGAGAATCACAACTCACCAGGGCAGAAACCTGCAAGCAGAACCCTCTGCTGGAACCAGTACCAGGGTAGGAGAACCTAAGCTATAATTAACAAATTGCCGGAAGCTTGGTGTGCACAAGTTTGAGATGGGAAACAGTTTACTCGGAGCCTAAGTAACCTGGGGGAAGGGAAACCGACTTCAGCATATTCTAGATGTTCTATCCCACCTGAGCTTGGAGATAAAACTGAGAAGCTCTTGTCAAGTTCACAGCCCAAAGGCTCACTAAGAGACTGAGACCTAATCATAGAACTATAGAATGTTTCCCCTTTTCTCATGCCTTATTGTCACATAATAAAAGGCCTATTTACCAGAATTTCTTCTACCCAGTATGGCATGTTTGGCTTTCAACAAAAAATTTTGAGACATACTAAAAGGCAAAAACAGTTCGAGGAGACAGAACCAGCATCATAACCAGACTTAAATATGGCAAGGATGTCAGAATTATTGGAATTTAAATCAATTATAATATGCTGAGGGCTCTAATGTAAAAAGTAGAAATGGTAAAAATAAAAAACACTAATAGAAATGAAGCATGTCTTTGGTGTGCTCATTAGTAGACTGGACACAGCTGAGGGAAGAATCTCTGAGCTTGCGGTTATATCAGTAGAAACTTCCAAAAGTGAAAAAGACTAACAAATTTGAAACAGAGTATCGAAGAACTTTGGGACAATTACAGAAGGTGTAGCATATCTATAATGGACATACCAGAAGGAGGAAAGAGAAAGAACAGAAGAAACATTTGAAGCAATAATGGCTGAAAATTTCCTCAAATGAATGTCAGATACCAAACCACACATCTAGAAAGCTCAGAGAACGCCAAAGATAAATGCAAAAATCAAACAAGCAAAGAAATGACACCTAGGTATATCATATTTAAAGTACTGAAAATAAAGAATTCTTGGAAGAAGCAAGAGGATAAAAACAGCTATAGATGGACAAAGATAAGAATTACATCTTTTGCCTCGGAAGCTATGCAACCAAGAGAAGAGAGTGCAATATTTAAACTGCTATGAGAAGGAAACCCACCAACCTAGAGTTTTGTATTTTCTGATTTTATCATTCAAAGCTGCCTTAGTCAGTTTGGGCTGCTAAAACACATTGTTATAGACTAGTTGGTTTATAAACAAAAGAAATTTATTTTTCACAGTTCTGGAGGCTGGAAATCCAACATCAGGTTGCCAGAATAGTCATGTTTTGGTGAGGGGCCCTTTTCCACGTTGCAGATGGCCAACTTCTTGTATCTACACAGGGAAGTAAGAGAGTTAACTAGTTCTCTGGCCTTTCTCATAAGGGCACTAATCCCGTTCATGAATGCTCCACCCTCATGACCTAGTTAACTCCCAAAAGCACCATCTCTATAAACTATTACATTGAGGTTAGAGTTTCAACATATGAATTTTGGGAGGTCACAAACATTCAGTCCACAACAAAAAGTGAAGAAGAAATAAAGGCTTTGTCAGACAAATAAAAGTTGAGGGAATTTGTTATCAGTAGAACTGTTTTGCAAGAAATGTTAGAAGTTTTACAGCGAGAAGGAAAATGATACATGTCAGAAACTTGGATGTATATAAGGAAAGAAAGAGCATTAGAAAAGAAGTAAGTAAAAATAAAAGCATCCAGAGTAAAAATACACATTATATACAGAGAAATAAAGATAAATATGACAGTAGACTTTTTGAGAACACATTTAAAAATGACATCTTTACAGAGTGTATGGAGGGGGGTGATTGAAAGATCTGTCAACCTAGAGTTCTAAACCTAATGAAAACATCATTACAAGATGAAGGCAATAAAGACTTTCAGACAAACAAATACAGAGAATCACAACTCACCAGAGCAGAAACCTGCAAGCAGAACCCTCTGCTGGAACCAGTACCAGAGTAGGAAAACCTAAGCTATAATTAACAAATTGCCAGAAGCTCGGTGTGTACAAGTCTGAGATGGGGAACAGTTTAGTCAGAGCCTAACTAACCTGGGGTAAGGGAAACTCGAAGAAAATTCATTGGTACCAGGTCTACGCTAGTAAGCAGTGTTAAAGGGAGCTCTTTTGGCTGAAGTGAAATGGTTTCTGATGGAAATTTGAAACCACACACATACTACACACACACACACACACACACACACACACACACTCTCTCTCTCTCTCTCTCTCTCTCTCTCTCTCTCCCTCTCCCTCTCTCCCCCTGCCAAAATAATGAAAAGAACTGGAAATAGCAAAACGTTTGGGTAAATATTTTAAAAATGCTGTAATTTTTACTGTCATGGAAATGTAACTATTTTAAACAAAAATAATAATAGTGTTTTGTAGAGCTTATAGTATAGGTTATAGTAAATGTGTGGAAATAATAGCACAAAAGATGGGAGGAGGGAAATGGAAGTATACTACTTTTATAAATCTTTACAATATAATATGACAGTAGGCTGTGATAAGTTGTAGCTATGCATGTTAAACCTTGGCATAACCGTTAAAAATAAATATAAAAAAGAGATATTGCTAATAAACTAATAATAGAGACAAAATGGAATTCTAAAAACATTCAATTAATACCAAAAAAGGCAGGAAAATAGATGAAGAAGCAAAGAGTAAATGTGACAAGTAGAAAACAAAGATGTGGCATATATAAACCCAATCATATTAATAATTAAATACAAGTTGTCTGAGCATGCCAGTTAACAGACAGAGATTGTAAGCTGGGCATGGTAGGGCATGCCTATAGTCCTAGCTATTGGGAGGCTAATGTGGGAGGATAGCTTGAGTCCAAGAATTTGAGGCCGCAGTAAGCCATAATCTCACCACTGTACTCCATCTTGGGTGACAGAGTGAGTCTCTGTCTCTGTTTTCTTTTCTTTAAAAAGGAGTTTATAAAATAAAAATAATAACCAACTCTTTAACAGTTTACAAAAACCCTTTTTCCAGTATAAAGACAGAGATAGGTTAAAAACAAGGGAAGAGAAAATATTTACCATATAAACACTAACCAAGAGAAATTTAGGGTGGTGTATTAGTCTGTTCTCATGCTACTAATAAAGACATACCTGAGACTGGGTAATTTATAAAGGAAAGACGCTTACTTGACTCACAGTTCCACATGGATGGGGAGGCCTCACAGTCATGGTGGAAGGTAAAGAAGGAGCAAAGACCTGTTTTACATGGCAGCAGGCAAGAGAGCATGTGCAGGGGAACTACCCTTTATAAAACCATCAGATCTTGTGAGACTTGGTCACTGTCATGAGAATGTCAAGGGAAAGACCTGCCTCCATGATTCAGTTACTTCCCACCAGTTTCCCCTTCATGACACATGGGAATTATGGGAACTACAATTCAAGATGAGATTTGGGTGAGGACACAGCCAAACCATATTCTGCCCCATCCCCTCCCAAATCTCATGTCCTCCCATTTCAAATCCATTCATGCCTTTCCAACAGTCCCCTAAAGTCTGAACTTATTCAAAGTCTCATCTGAGACAAGGCAGGTCCTTTCCGCCTGTGAGAATGTAAGATCAAAAGCAAGTTAGTTACTTCCCAGATACAGTGGGGGTACAGGCATTGGGTAAATATACCCATTCCAAACGGGAGAAATTGACCAAAACAGAGGGGCTGTAGGCCACATGCAAGTCTGAAATCCAATAGAGCCATCATTAAACCTTAAATTTTCAAAATGATCTCCTTTGACTCCATGTCTCACATCCAGGTCATGCTGATGCAAGAGGTGGGCACCCATGGCCTTGGGCAGCCCTACCTCTGTGACTTTGCAGGGTAAAGCCCCTCTCCTGGCTGCTTTCACAGGCTGGCGTTGAGTGTCTGTGGCTTTTCCAGGTGCATGATGCAAGCTTTCAGTGGATCTACCATTCTGGAGTCTGGAGGACAGTAGCCCTCTTCTCACAGCTCCACTAGGCATTGCCCCAGTGGGGACTTTGTGTGGGAACTCCAACCGCACATTTCCCGTCCACACTGTCCTAGCAGAGTTTCTCCATGAGGACCCCACCCCTGCAGCAAACTTCTGCTTGGACATACAGGCATTTCCATACATCCCCTGAAATCTACGTAGAGGTTCCCAAACCTTATTTATTGACTTATATGTACCCATAGGTCTAAAACCATGTGTAAGCTGCCGAGGAATGGTGCTTGCACCCTCTGAAGCAACAGCCTGAGCTGTACGTTGGCCCCTTCTAGCCGTGGCTACAGCTGAAACAGCTGGGATACAGGGTAATGTTTGAAGGCTGCATAGAGAAGGGGGATCCTAGGCCCAGCCCACAAAACCATTTTTTCCTCCTGGACGTCCAGGCCTGTGATGGGAGAGGCTGCCATGAAGGTCTCTGACATGCCCTGGAGACATTTTCCCCATTGTCTTGGTGATTAACAACGGGCTCCTTGTTACTTATACAAATTACTGTAGCAGCTTGAATTTATCCCCAGAAAAATGGAGTTTCCTTTTCTATAGTGTGATCAGGCTGTAAATTTTCCAAACTTTTATGCGCTGCTTCCTCTTGAATACTTTGCTGATTAGAAATTTCTTCTGCCGGTTACCTCAAATAATCTCTCTCAAGTTCAGAGTTCCATGTATCTCTAGGGCAAGGGCAAAAAGCTGCCAGTCTCTTTGCTAAAGCACAGCAAGAGTCACCTTTGCTTCAGTTCCCAACAAGTTCCTCATCTCCATCTGAGAACACGTCAGCCTGGACTTTATTGTCCATGTCACTATCAGCATTTTGGTCGAAGCCATTCGACAAGTCTCTAGGAAGTTCCAAACTTTGCCACATCTTCCTCTCTTCTGAGTCCTCCAAGTCTCTAGGAAGTTCCAAACTTTCCCACATCTTCCTATCTTTTTCTGAGCCCTGCAAACTGTTCCAACCTCTGCCTGTTACCCAGTTCCAAATTAGCTTCCACATTTTCAGTTATCTTTATAACAACACCCTACTCTACTGGTACCAATTTACTGTATTAGTCTGTTTTCACACTGCTAATAAAGACATACCTGAGACTGGGTAATTTATAAAGGAAGGCAGTTCAATTGGCTCACAGTTCCACATGGCTGGGGAGGCCTCATAATCATGGCGGAAAGTGAAGGAGGAGCAAAATCATGTCTTACGTGGTTGCAGCGCAGGCAAAAAAACGTGTGCGGGAGGACTTCCCCTTATGAAACCATCAGATCTTGTGAGACTTAGTCACTTTCCCTAGAATAGCATGGGAAAGACCTGCCCTCATGATTCAGTTACCTCCCACTAGGTTCCCCCCACAACACATGGTAATTATGGGAGCTAAAATTCAAGATGAGATTTGGGTGGGGACACAGCCAAACCATATCAGGTGGCTATATTAACATAATACAAAATAAGTTTCAGATCAAGGAATGTTTACGGGAATAAAGAAGGCAGCTACATAATTATAAGGAAGTCAAAATATCAACAAAGAATAACATTGTTACATGTGTATGCACCTAATTACAGACTTTGAAAACACATGAAGCAAAAACTGATAGAATGGAAAAGAAAAAAGACAAATCTGCAGATAGAGTTGAAGATTTCAATTAGTAGAACCAGTAGACCAAAAAATAATTGTCAGTATATAGGAGATTCAAGCAACACTGTCAACCAACTTGATATATTTGCCTTAAAGAATGTGCTGACAAAAATTAGAAACATGGAGAAAAAAGTTTCCAAGATTTTATGTGTAAAAAATAAAATTATAAAATTACAAGAAGAAATCATGTGAAAATAATTATATTTTTTAAATTTTAGACTAGAGAAAATCTAACTGTAGTGCATAAGTTAAGGAACATAATAAAATAATGTAAATATAATCATATGAAGTTAAAAATTCCTTCAGGGCAAAAATCATAAAGTCAAAAGATAAGTTAAAAAGGGAACTATTTGCTACTGCAATCATATATGAAACAGATAATCTTATTACATAAAGTGATTCAACAAATAAATAAACGGCCTTCTAGCTCCAAAGAGAAATAAACCAAGGGTATAAAGAAATAGCTCCTGGAAAAGTTTTCTCCCATTCTGTAGGTTGCCTGTTCACTCTGATGGTGGTTTCTTTTGCTGTGCAGAAGCTCTTTAGTTTAATTAGATCCCATTTGTCAATTTTGGCTTTTGTTGCCATTGCTTTTGGTGTTTTAGACATGAAGTCCTTGCCCATGCCTATGTCCTGAATGGTATTGCCTAGGTTTTCTTCTAGGGTTTTTATGGTTTTAGGTCTAACATGTTAAGCCTTTAATCCATCTTGAATTAATTTTTGTATAAGGTGTAAGGAAGGGATCCAGTTTCAGCTTTCTACATATGGCTAGCCAGTTTTCCCAGCACCATTTATTAAATAGGGAATCCTTTCCCCATTTGTTGTTTTTGTCAGGTTTGTCAAAGATCAGATAGTTGTAGATATGCAGCATTATTTCTGAGGGCTCTGTTCTGTTCCATTGATGTATATCACTGTTTTGGTACCAGTACCATGCTGTTTTGGTTACTGTAACCTTGTAGTATAGTTTGAAGTCAGGTAGCGTGATGCCTCCAGCTTTGTTCTTTTGGCTTAGGATTGACTTGGCGATGCAGGCTCTTTTTTGGTTCCATATGAACTTTAAAGTAGTTTTTTCCAATTCTATGAAGAAAGTCATTGGTAGCTTGATGGGGATGGCATTGAATCTATAAATTACCTTGGGCAGTATGGCCATTTTCACAGTATTGATTCTTCCTACCCATGAGCATGGACTGTTCTTCCATTTGTTTGTATCCTCTTTTATTTCGTTGAGCAGTGGTTTGTAGTTCTCCTTGAAGAGGTTCTTCACATCAGCCAAAAAACACATGAAAAAATGCTCATCATCACTGGCCATCAGAGAAATACAAATCAAAACCACAATGAGATACCATCTCACACCAATTAGAATGGTGATCATTAAAAAGTCAGGAAACAACAGGTGCTGGAGAGGATGTGGAGAAATAGGAACACTTTTACACTGTTGGTGGGACTATAAACTAGTTCAACCATTGTGGGAGTCGGTGTGGCGATTCCTCAGGGATCTAGAGCTAGAAATACCATTTGACCCAGCCATCCCATTACTGGGTATATACCCAAAGGATTATAAATCATGCTGCTATAAAGACACATGCACACGTATGTTTATTGTGGCACTATTCACAATAGCAAAGACTTGGAACCAACCCAAATGTCCAACAGTGATAGACTGGAGTAAGAAAATGTGGCACATATACATCATGGAATACTATGCAGCCATAAAAAATGATGAGTTCATGTCCTTTTTAAGGACATGGATGAAGCTGGAAACCATCATTCTCAGCAAACGATCGCAAGGACAAAAAACCAAACACCACATGTTCTTACTTATAGGTGGGGATTGAACAATGAGAACACATGGACACAGGAAGGGGAACATCACACTCTGGGGACTGTTGTCGGTGGGGTGGGGAGGGATAGCATTAGGAGATATACCTAATGCTAAATGACGAGTTAATGGGTGCAGCACACCAACATGGCACATGTATACATATGTAACAAACCTGCACATTGTGCACATGTACCCTAAAACTTAATAATAATAATAATAATAATAATAGCTTCTGGAAAAGAAATGTTTTTAAATATATGAAAGAATACTCAGTCTCATAGACAATATCATTTTTGCCAATCAAATTGCTAACAATTAAAATGTTTGCTTATATTCTGCACAGATAAGGATAGTGTAAAACCTGATTGTGGATGTTTCTTACCAACTCCCCATACAATGGCTTCATGTTGATTTCTTAAAATCAGCCATGGTGGCTGGATGCAGTGGCTCACACTTGTAATCCCAACACTTTAGGA
Source organism: Homo sapiens (assembly GCF_000001405.40). Taxonomy (NCBI): domain Eukaryota; kingdom Metazoa; phylum Chordata; class Mammalia; order Primates; family Hominidae; genus Homo; species Homo sapiens. The sequence continues at coordinate 116,333,256 of NC_000005.10, forward strand.
GGCCGAGGCGGGTGGATCACGAGGTCAGGAGTTGGAGACCAGCCTGGTCAACATGGTAAAACCCCGTCTCTGCTAAAAATACAAAAATTAACCAGGCGTAGTGATGCACACCTGTAGTCCCAGCTACTTGGGAGGCTGAGGCAGGAGAATTGCTTGAACTTGGGAGGTGGAGGTTGCAGTGAGCCGAGATCATGCCACTGCACTCCAGCCTGGACAACGGAGTGAAGCTCTGTCTCAAAAAAAAAAAAAAAAAAAAAAAAAAATCAGTCATCGTAAATGTATTTACATCATGGAAATTGACAAATGCTACAAATCAGGTCCCCCTTTCTCTCTCCCAGAAAGCCAGTTGTCAATTATTTACCAGTACATCAGCGGATGAAAGTGTGGAAATATAGGCACTCTCATTCTGTTGTGATTCTTAATATAAAGCAGCATAATCTCCACTCAGCATTTTGTTAATACCTAACAAAGTTACTGACTACACACATCTTTTGCAGTAACAAATCTACTTCTAGGGATGCGACCTTAATATTTTTGTATATATGTATAATAATACATTTTGCAATAGCACAAATGTTTGTCAATAGAAGATTGGTTTGAAAAATTGTAGAACATTTTACACAATGGAATGCCAATCAGCTGTTAAAGTATATGAGAACAAAGGGACATCGTCAAGATGGCAACTAGACTTGCCTGGTGCTTGGTTTGTGCCCCACGACTGCCATCAAAAAGGACCAAAACAACAAATAAACAACTATATCTCAATTGGAGAGTCTGAGACTGTATACCGGGGAGCACCAGGGGAGCAGTCAGATCCCTGTGGAGCATGGAAGTGTAGCGTAACACCACAGAGAGGGGAGCAAGGCATCCTACCTCTCCAATACTGTCTACCCTGCCATGCTTGTCCTGGAGCCAAGGGGACTTCTTATGGGGAGATGGTAAGCAGGAGATCCTTGGCAGTTCCCCATCACCACCACAAACACTGGCAGCAATTCCTACAAGAGGGTCCTCCAGTCTTCAAAGGCCACAAATCTTGTGTAGACAGTTGTCACACATGTACACAGCTGCATTGCCCCAGAGAAGGAACCTCTGGGATAGCCCCCACCCCTGTGGCCTAAGCTGCCATGGCACAGTGCCATCCTGAAAACTGGAACCATTGCTGGAACGTGTCCTGCCCTGGGAGACAGTAGGTACCAAATCCCCCATCCCTGTGGGCCCACTGTCATTTCACTATGTCTACACAAGTGCCTGCACCACACATGCCCTGACTGCCTAGAATCTAGACTTGAAAAAATTACTAAGACCCTGATGTTAAAACCCAGGAGTCACTCTATCCTCCAGGGAAACAACATGACCTACACAGTGTGAAAGCCTCATGCAACTGTCAAGCACATGTGTACCCACCCCCGTCATCATAGGCAGCCAGAAGGCAGCTTTGCCCCACTAGAGAGGATCCTGTGCAGCCGTTGGCCCACTCCCCACCCAACAACCAACCCAGAGTTGACCCTGCCCTCCTAGAGTGATTCCTGTGCAGCTGCCCAGTCCACATGCCCCTGTCCCCAGCCGTACAGCTGTCCCAGAGACACCTTTGCCCCATCAGAGAGAGCCCTGTGCATCTAGCTGCCTGGTCCACATGCACCCATGCTTAGCCTGACAGCCAGCTCATTGGTAGCCCTGGCCTCCCAGACAGCCTGCCACACAGCCTGCTGGCACCCAACTTGCACTCAGCCTGACAACAAACCCAGCACCCCTGCACCATCAAAACTGCACTACCACTGTCACAAACTCCCACAGCCTAGGCCACTGAGACAATTGCAGGTATTGCAGATGAAAATTACAGATAATGAATCTACAAAGACCACAATACTGAGTCCAGCCAGAACCAGAGCCAATGCACCATTCTCAACAGACACTCTAAGGAACTATCTACCAAAAAAAAAAAAAAAAAAGCCACTTATTTCAAAAGCTACTTTGTAAAATTGGAAAAGGTGACTATTTCAGTAGAGGTTCAGATGTCAGTGTAGAAACCCAAGATACATGAAAAAGCAAGGAAACATGACATCTCCAAAGGAACTAAATAAGACTCCCGTAACAGACCCTCAAAAAAGGATATTTATAAAATGACTGAAAAGAATTCAACATAGTGATCTTGAAGAAACTCAGTTCAATACACAAGAATACAATTCAATGAAATTAATAAAATAACCCATGATCTTAATTAGAAATTCAACAAAGAGATAGATGTCACAAAGAACCAAACAGAAATCTTGGAGCTGAAAAATGAAATGAATAAAATTGAAAAATCAATTGAGAACTTCAACAACAGACTGAATAAAGAAGAAAAAATTTCCTGAAAGGGAAGATAGGTCTTTTAAGATAACCCAGTCAGAGATAAAGAGGAAATAAGAATAAAAAGAATGAAGAAAGGTTACATGACTTACAGGACACCATTAGTGAAAAAAATATTTGCATTATAGAAGTGTCAGAGGGAAAAGAAATAGAAAAAGTCACAGAAAACCTATTTAATGAAATAATAGCTGAAAACTTCCAAAGTCTGAAGAAAGCTGTGGACATCCAAATCCAGGAAGCTCAAAGATTCTCAGTGTGATTCAATACCCCCCAAATTGTCTCTGAGTCATATTATAATAGGATTGTCAAAAGTCACTGACAAATGGAGAATTCTAAAAGCTACAAGAGAAAAACATTGAGTCACATATGAGGGAATCTCCATTAGACTGTCAATAAATTTCTCAGCAAAAATCTTGCAGACCAGGAGAGAGTGCAAAAATACATTCAAAGCATTGAAATAAAAAACTGTCAGCCAATAATACTATATTCGTTAAAGCTATACTTCAGAAATGACAGAGAAATAAAGAACTTTCCGGACAAGCAAAAACTGAGGAAATTCATCAATGCTAAACTGGCTTTACAAGAAATGCTTCAGGGGTTGCTGACTGGGAATAAAAAGATGATGATTACTACCATGGAAGCATGTGAAAGTATAAAATATACTCATCTAGGTAAATCCATAATTATACTCAGAATATCCCAGTGCAGTAATGGTGCTGTGTAAATCAGTCCTCATATATCAGTGTCTAAAGTCAAAAAGGTCAAAAACCTCAGCTGCTACAATGAGTGGCTAAAAATACTCTAGACGTTTTTCTCTCCCCATTCCACAGTTTGTATTTTGGTTGCCTTAATTTATATCTTTAGAAAATTAAGACAACCAAAATACAAATTGTGGGATGAGGAAAGGAAAAAGTCTAGAGTATTTTTATGCAGCCAAAGTTAAGTTGTTATCAGTCTAAAATATTCTACCTACGAGACTCTTTTTTTTTATTGTTATTATTATACTTTAAGTTTTAGGGTACATGTGCACAATGTGCAGGTTAGTTATGTATGTATACATGTGCCATGCTGGTGCGCTGCACTCACTAACTTGTCATCTAGCATTAGGTATATCTCCCAATGCTATCCTTCCCCCCTTCCCCCACCCCACAACAGTCCCCAGAGTGTGATGTTCCCCTTCCCGTGTCCATGTGTTCTCATTGTTCAATTCCCACCTATGAGTGAGAATATGCGGTGTTTGGTTTTTTGTTCTTGCGATAGTTTACTGAGAATGATGATTTCCAATTTCATCCATGTCCCTACAAAGGACATGAACTCATCATTTTTTATGGCTGCATAGTATTCCATGGTGTATATGTGCCACATTTTCTTAATCCAGTCTTTATTTTAGCCCCATGGTAGCCACAAAGAAAGAAAAAGAGTAGGTACACAAGTGATAACATGGCCAGATGTGTAAGTATGTACCTGTAGTCCAAATACTCATGAGGTTGTGGTGGGAGGATCACTGGAGGCCAGGAGTAGAAGGGTGTTGTAGGGTACTATGATAAGACCTGCAGATAACTACTACATTCCAGCCTGGGCAACACAGTAAGGCCCTGTCTCTAAAAAAACTAAGCAAAACAATAATGAAACCCAGCTATATGTTGCCCAGAACAGAACCACCTTACTATTAAAGACAAATATAGATTGAAAATGAAAAAATGGAGAATGATATCGCATGCAAATGGAAAGCAAAAGCAAGCAGGAGTTGCCATACTTACATCAGATAAATTGGACTTTAAGTCAAAAATTGTTAAAAAAATAAAAAAAGACAAAGAAGGTGATTATATAATGATAAATCAATTCAACAAGAGGATATAACAATTCTAAAAATATATACACTCAACACCAGAGTACACAAACATATAAAGCATATATTATTAGATCTAAAAGGAGAGACATCCTGCAATATAATAAGAGTAGAAGTCTTTAACACCCCACTTTCAACAATGAACAGATCAACTAGATAGAAAACCAACAAAGAAACATTGGACTTACAATGACATACACCAAATGAACCTAGCAGAAATATACAGAAGATTCCGCCCAACAGCTATGGAATACACATTCTCCTCAACTGCACATGAAACATTTTTCAGGATAGATCGTATTTCAGGCCACAAAATAAGTCTTAACAAATTGAAGAAGATAGAGATAATTTAAGTATTTTTTTAGGCCACAATGGTATAGAACTAGAAATCAATCATAACAAAAACTTCAGTAACCTTACTAATACATGGGAAATTAAACAAGATGCTCCCAAGTAACCAAAAGGCCAAAGAAGAAATTAAAAGGAAAATTAAACCTTTCTTTGAGACAAATGTACATGGAAATACATCATATCAAACCCTATAAGACACAGGAAAAGCTGTTCAGAGAGGACAGTTTATAACAATAAATGCCTACATGGAAAAAAAAAAGAATTTCTAATGAACACCCTAACTATGCACCTCAAGAAACCAAGAACAAAGTAAAACCAAAATTGGTAGAAGGAAAACAATAGTAAAGCTCAAAGCAGAAATGAACAAATAGAAGCTAAAGAAACAATTCAAAAGATCAACAAAAGGAAGAGTTGCTTTTTTGAAAAGATAAGCAAAATAAGAAACCTTTACCTAGACTAAGAAGAAAAAAGATCCAAATCAGTAAAATCAGAGATGAAAAAGGAGATACTACAGTTGATGTCACAGAAATACAAAAGATTGTAAAAGACCATTATCAACAACTGTACACCAATACGCTTGAGTATATAGGAGAAATGAATAAATTCCTGGATACATGCAACCTACCAAGATTAAATTATGAAGAAATAGAAAATGTATCGATTCTGAAAAGACCAATAAGCAGTGAGGATATTGAATCAGTAATAAGGAGTCATCTTCCACTAAAAAACAAACAAAAAACCAGCCCAGGACCTGATGGTTTCACTGCTGAATTCACCTAAATATTTAAACAAACACTAGTACCAATTCTCCTTAAACTATTCCAGAAAATTAAGGAGGGAATACTTCCAAACTCATTGTATAAAGCCAGCATTACTTTGATTTCAAAACCAGACAAGGACACAGCAGAAACAACAAAGAAAACTATAAGCCAATATTCCTGATGAACGTAGATGCAAAAATTCTCAGCAAGATACTAGCAAACTGAATTCAACAGTAGGTTAAGAAGATAATTCACTATAATCAAGTAGGATTCATCCCAGAGATGCAAGGATGACTCAACATATGCAAATCAATAAATGTGAAACACCGAAAGACAAAGACCATGTGATCATTTCAATAGATGGAGAAAAACATTTGGCAAAATTCAATATCTTTTCATGATAAAAAAAAAAAAAACCTCTTAACAAATTAGGTATAGAAGACTCAACAAATTGGGTACGTCATCATAATAAAGGCCATATATAACAAACCCACTGCTAACATCATACTGAACAAGGGAAAAAGACTAGAATGCTGACTTTCACCAGTCCTATTCAACATAGTACTGAAAGTCCTAGCCAGTACAATTAGCCAAAAGAAAGAAAGAAAAGCCATCTAATTTGGAAAGGAGGAAGTCAAATTGTTCCTGCTTGCAGATAACATAATCTTACATATAGAAAACTGATGACTCCACCAAAAAAAAAAAAAATTCTAGAAGTAATAAATTCAGTAAAGTCACAGGATAAAAAAAAAACATGTAGAAATTAATAGCATTTCTACATGCTAATAGCAAACTATCAGAAAAAGAAATCAAGAAAACAATTTTATTTACTATAGCTACCCAACATAAGATACCTAAGAATAAACTTAAGTAACAAGGTGAAAGATGTTGATATTGAAACTATAAAACATTGATGAAATAAATTGAAGAAGACACAAATAAATGGAAAGCTAATCCATGCTCACAGATTGGAAGAACTCATATTTTTAAAATGGCCATACTACCCAAAGTGATCTATAGATTTAATGTAATCTCTATGAAAATATCAATGACATTCTTCACATAAATAGAAAAACAACCCTCAAATTCATATGAAAGCAGAAAAGGCCCTGAATAGCCAAAATAGTCATAAGCAAAAGAACAAAACTGGAGGCATCACACTATCTGATTTCACAATATGTTGCAAAGCTGTTGTAACAAAAACAGCATGGTACTGGCATAAAGGCAGACTTGTAGAACAGTGAAATAGAATAGAGAAGCCAGAAATGAATTGACACACATACAGCCAACTGATTTTCAACAACAGTGCCAAAAACACACCTTGGAGAAAAGGCAGTCTTTTCAATAAATGGTGCTGGGAAAATTGGATATCTACATGCAGAAGGATAAGACTACACCCCTACTTCTCACCGTATACAAAAATCAATTCAAAATGGATTAAAGACTTCAATGTAAAACCTGAAATTATGAAACTACTAGAAGAAAACATATGGGAAATGCTTTATAACACTGGTCTATGCAAGGATTTTTAAAATAAGACTTGAAAACCCAGGCAACAAAAGCAAAAATAGACAATTGTGATTACATCAAACTAAAAAGCTTTTGCACAGCCAACAAGTAACAGAGTGAGGAGACAACCTACAGAATAGGAGAAAATATCTACATACTATCTATCTAACAAGGACTTAATATCCAGAATATATAAGAAACTTAACAGCAAACAACAACAACAACAACAAATAACCCAATTTAAAAATGGGCAAAGAAAAGACCTTAATTAACATTACTCAATGAAGACATACAAATGGCCAGGAGGTATACGAAAAAAGAAAATGCTCCACATCACAAATCACCAGGGAAACACAAATTAAAAACACAATGAGATAACACTTCACTCCAATTAGAGTGGCTGTTATCAAAAACACAACAGAAAACAAGTGCCAGTGAGAATCTAAAGAACAGTGAACACTCATACACTGTTGGTGGAATTAAGTCAAAAATTGTTAAAAAAAAAAAAAAAAAAAAAAAAAGAAGGTCATAATTGTAAATTAGTACAGCCACTATAGAAAACAGTGTGGCGATTCCTGAAAAACTAAAAATAGAACTACCATGTGATCCAGCAATGTCATTCCCGGTATATATCTAAAGGAAATGAAATCAGAATGTTGAAGAGATATCTGCACTCTATGTTTATTGTAACACTATTTACAATAGCTAAACTATAGAATCAACCTACATGTCCAACAATGAATGAATGGATAAAGAAAATGTGGTATATGTACAATGGAATACTATTTATCCATAAAAAAGAATAAAATTTTGTCATTTGAAACATTGAGGGACCTGGAGGACATCATGTTAAGTGCAGTAAACCCAGTACAGAAAGACCAATACCACATGATCTCAGTTATATGTGGAACTGAAAAAACAAAGTTGTTATTATAGAAGCAGAAAGTAGAACAGGGGTTACCAAAGACTGGAAAGGAGGGGGAAGAGGAGGACAGAGAAAGATTGGTCAACAGGCACAAAGTTACAATTAGAAGGAATAAGTTCTGGTGCTCTATTGCACTGTAGAGTGACTATGGTTAATAGTACGGTATTGTGTATTACAAAATAGCTTTGAGTGTTATCGCCACAAAGAAATGATAAATATATGAAATGATAGATATGCTAAATGCCCTGATTTTATAATTATACAACATATATATGTATCAAACATCAAATTTTACCCCATAAATATGTACGATTACAATGTGTCAATAAAAATGAACAAAGGTACATACAGTATTTTAAAACAAAACAAAAATATATAAAAACACCATTATGTACTAATGTGGCATGAGATCCATTCAATATTATTAATTTAAATAAGCAAGACTGTAAGGGGAGAAGAGAATATATTTACATATATTTGCTAACATATGCACAAAATGTCTTTGAAATTATTCACCAGAAGTATCAGTTGCCTCTGCAGAGGGTGATGCCTGGAGGACCAAAGTGGAAGGGAAAGTTTCACTGCTTTTGAATTTTTAAAACATTTTGCACTATATACAGTATTATTTATGCAACAGGTAAATACAATTTAAATGTCCTAACACCAATATGTTGTGAGGTAGGCTGTTTGATACACTATTGGTGATATTCTGAGTTGGAATAATCTTTTTTGAAAGCAATTTAATAACATGAAACAAGAATCTTTAAGTAGTTTCACTTTTTAACATAGCAAATATACTTTCTGGTATCTATCCTCAGAAAATATGCAGAGATAAAATGTTTATCATGGTGTTATTTATAACTATGAAAAATTAGAAATAACCTAAATGTCCAATGAAATTGGAACAAATAAATTTGATGCAGTCATACAACAGAATAATATACAGCTATTTAAAACCATTTTGAATGAATATTTAACAACATGCTCAAAATATTGTGAATAGAAAAGTAAGGTGCAAGGTCTCACACATGGCATGACCCTAATTTTCCCCAAAAGTTATGTATATACATACTCACATGTTTATGATGTGGTTCAGGATATGCTACCCCAAAATATAACACCTTGGCTTAGAGGAAACAGCAGGAACAAGACATTCACTCTTACCTCTTTCACCTATTTTCACCTGAGGCAGGACATACAAGGATTCTGTCTTTCCTATGAATGTCATAAAACCATCATTCCAGAGATGTCCTCCATATATCCGGAGGAAAGGAACATCCTTATCCTCCAAGACACAGAGACACAAAGAACAATCTGAATGGTTTCCCAAGTTTAATACCATTAGATCATATCCTCTTTTGTCCAATCAGACCTTTGCACAACTGACAACTCTTCATCAAACCTAAGCATAACAATACAGTTTTTACTGTTTCTCTGGGTCTTCATTTCTGAAGTCCCCTGTGTCCTGTAAAACTTAAATAGATTTGTGTGTTTTTCTCTTGTAAATGTGTCTTTTGTTACAAGGATCTCACCATGAATCCATCAATGAAAGAGAAAAAAAAATCAGTTTTCTGCTATACTTCTCTTATATACACATAAAAACATAGGAAAGAAACCCCACAACATATTAAGATAATTATCTCTAGATGCTAATTCAATATCACTGAATTTCAATATCTCCTAGATATGATTTTCAGTATCATCTTGAAAATTACTGATATTTTATAAATTTTCTATGTTGAAAATGTATTACTCTTGTTAGCTTAAAGGATATTTAGAAAAAATTGAAATATTTAATGCTTTACAACATTTTAAACATAAAGAAATACCTTGGGTCATATTGTACATTCTCCTCCCAATAATTCTGTACATTGTTAACAAATAAAACATCTTGAGTTACAAAATATATCACTTATGAAAGTAAAGACAAAAATAAAATTATATTTACTCTTACCAAATCATGTTATGAAAAGTAGGGGTTCCAGAAAGAGAAGAGTTCTGTGGTCAAATAAGTTAAAGAAACATTAAGCTACATTTCGTAGCCTCCTCCTCTTAGAGATAATGAATTAATTAATATTATCATATTAATGCTTTTAACAGATCCTGCATTAAGGAAAATTGTTTAACCATTTAACCTAAAGTTTCTCTCTCTTCCTTTCTCCCCTTCTCTAAATATCTAAATATGCCCCAGTATTCCAAAGAACATGGTTAAGAAGATGATGAGCTTGGGAACTTTTAAGACCCCTCTGTCTAATCTCTAATTATGTCTGGTTCTATGGCACTGGCTCACTGCAACCTCAGTGACAACCATAGTGTGAGGGCTATCCTAACTCTCTCCTGATTTCCCCAAGACAAGATATCATACCTGATCATTTTATTGTCCATGTCCACCCTCCCTTCCCCAGTAGGGTTTACCTGCACAGTATCGCTTCTACCTATCAGCATATCAGAAAACATATACTAAACATATACTAAAACACTGTGCAACTGTGTTTCTGATGGGACAAAAATTATTAGTGTAAGAGAATCTCTACTATTTCCACTTTCTTTAGAAGACAGGTCAGTTTTTTAATTTCCTGTGTTCAGTTTTTTCTCTCCCTTGCCCTCCAAGGAAGTCTCTTCCATTTATTGTTTGAGCTTTAACAATGCAGATTTGGGAGAATGGGAAAAAGTAGTGGTAGGCAAGCTGCAAGGAAAAATACTGGAAGAGAACTAGAAGGGGAAACAGTTGAGAGCAGTAGAAGAAAGTGGAGTTTTAAGAATTGTTGCTGTGGATCATGTATTGTCTTTGTAGTGTTTAAAAAATAATGCAGAAAGAAATGTGGAAGAACGTGTCACAGGACTTTTCCTTAGTTCAGCTAAAGACGGGGTCCTTGTCCATCCCATGGCCACAAAAATTTAGGCTCGCGGACAGTTTGAAGGTGAGTGAACAGGGTTTTATTGGGTGAAAAGGAAGAAAGTGGGGAAACAGGGACTCTCGCTAGACCAGAGTCCCTGCTAGAGCACTTCCACCCAGCAGTTCTTCAAATCCCAGGTTTCACACAGGAAGGGGAGGATCCAGGCTCCTTCCTGCTGCAAACGTCGTGAACTTCCCTAAGCTCCACCCTCACTGGGCAGGCTGGTTGGACTTTCTCCAGGGACGCCCTCCCACCTGGCTGTGTCATTCTCTCCTCTAAAGAAATACATCTAGCTGCTGTTAGATTCAGGATAAGGACAAAGACCCATCTTAACTGCTTCCTGCTGAAAGGGGGCACTGCTGTTTTGGGGAAATGACAGAGCTCCCTCAGAGGCCTATTTAAGGGTCCCCAGCAGAAGGGCCCATTGTCAGAGGCTCTGGTTGCATGACAGTTTGGAGTTTGATGGCCTGAAGGCAAGAACAGACAAACCAGGTTATTAGAAAACATGTATCAAAATGAAACAAGGTGCGGGGAAGGACAGCTCAAAAATTCCAAGGCTTTTTACCAGTTTGCACAAGGAGAGGGAAGCCAAAATCCCGACTGGCAAAAAAACCTTACCCTTTGGCCAGCATGTTGGGCTTCTGGGTTCCCTTCCACTGGGCCCTATCCTAACCCAACCAGTTTAAGGTTTGGGAAATTAACTCTTTCCAGTTTGGAGGATGCATCTGAGGGGAGTGTCGCATAGTATGGAGACACAATTACCTATTAGTGAAGAGAAAACCAAGTAGAAGAAAGGAAAAAGAAGGCATTTTTAAAAGGCGTCCCAAGGGTTCAGGATGCATTCGAAAGGGGTACAAACTGAAGATGAATGGCTACCCATTTAGAAAGAGGGAAGCAGGCGTCCCTGGTTCCCTTCTCTTCCCAGCAGATACACAGTGGTAAGTGAGGGAGAGAGAGAGAAGAGTGTCTATTTTCCCTCTTCCATCCTTGCATCCCCAAGTTCTGGTGACCTTGGCACGTGCCACCGTGGGTGTCAAAGCAACTTGCACCCATGAAACGGGGCCCTAGAGAATAGGAATTATCCATTCTCACCTGTGTCTCTTTCCTTCCTACTGTCAGTGGCCTTCGAATTCCCTAGACCTCATTTATGCCATGAATATTAACGTGGTCTTTATCCATGAAACAGGAAGCTTAGTGTTGGCTTATTTGGCAGGAATCAGCCATGCTCACTTGCCCTGTGCCTTTTAACCTCTGTTGTTATTTGCCTCTGGATCCCTCAGATCCAATTTTGTTTCCTAGGGCCTTGACTCGAAGCTTGGAGTTGCATCTGGGAGAAAAATGTATCTCAGGGGTAGGAGGGAGGGGGGTTGCACGGACTCCTTATCATAAGCCAAATGCTAAGGTGAAACTGTGGAACTGAGTCCTCCTCCAAGGGAGAGGAAAGGATGTCTTGTGACATAACTTTCATAACTGGTAGCTATAGTTAAGCTTGCTAGGATTTGGGTGCATGGTACTTAGCTTTGGTTAGCTCCTTTGGTTTTACTTTCCCAAAAGGAAGCCTCTGAGTGACGGGCATTCTATTTATTCCAGTTGCCTGGCAGTATTTGCAGGATAATTGCTCAGAACTAGAACATTGATCTGGATTTCTACACTACCCATCCCTTTTGTTCTTTCCGAACTGCAGCCAGCGATGGCTGCAGTTCACAGGAGCAAGCAGGGTTAGTCTAAAATGTAGGCAAAAACTTAAAAACTAATAATGAGTTTAGAATTTAATGACAAATGTATGATAAGTTTTGAAACATGATTTTTCTCTCTGTAGTCCTCATGTTTGTTAAAAAACAAATCATTGTAGGACTGAGTGGTTTGCAAAATAGACTTAAGTTTTATAATTGGCCTGATTATTTGCATAAAGTGCAGCAAGAATAATTATTTCTATGTAGGCCTTTTGGATTGGCTTTGATGGAATTCTATTCCATGAGGAATCTCAGATAAAATATTTTAAAGCTGAGCCCAACCATGGGTTTGTATCCACAAATACCTGTGAGCTGGGTGATCCTCTCCTCTTAAGGTTGCAAGATAAACTTGGAGCTCCTGACCTGCTAGAAAGTGACATTCTTTACTAACCACAGGTCAGGAACCCTGTACATGGACTGTGTAGATGAGGGTAGGAGGACAGTTCCTCCAGTGGGCTTTTATTGGCTCTGCAGGTCAAAATTGACTCCTTAAAGGGAAGCATATCCTTCCAGTCAAAGCCTTGGTAAAACAACCGTTTTCTCCAGTTGTGTTCTGTTGCAAGAGAAAAATGGATTCTTACTGCACTGATGCAACTATTTATATTGCCATAAGAAAACTCACAGATAGTTTCCAAATTCTAGGGGAGCCAGGCAGAGAGAAACAAACATGCTCCAAATTTTGATCACACGAGTGTACACCTTACTTAATTATTAAAGGCCATAAATAGTTCAAAATAAGTTTCCTTGACTCTGAAAAACAAAACATGGATCAGCAGTATTCCAAGCAAAAGTCAAAAATGTTGCTTCAGCTTTCTGAGTTCAGTTCATTTGTGAACTCTTGTTTTGCTTGATATTCATGAGCATTTCAGCTCTTCATGAGACCTGTACATTTTCCTTTATTCCAATATCACAATCTCCAAAGTTTTCAGAAGCCTGTATTTGGGAGCACCTGTTAAAGTTCTATAGCTTACTATAAGCCATCTTTTGAAAAGGATTAAAACAAAACAACAATTGTCTGAATAGCAAAATGTCCAGGGTAGTCATAGTTAAAAACACGATTGACAAATACGTTTGGTTATCTCTGTAGCTTACAATAACATAACAACCCTAATTATGATTGTTAGCATATACTCAGACATTAAAATTCTAGAAATCCCATACAATTTTGGAACATATGTTTGCATTATTCACCAATATATAACCTAAAGAAGATTGAACATCATTTTGGAAATTTCATATACCTAAATATGTCAAATAATCCTGTTTACCTCTCTTTTCTGGACATTCCAGGGGTTCTCTGGACTATCTGAAAAGCCAGATGTCAGGGAAGGTAATTTTCAAACTGAAGTTTGATTTGGGGAAGGCTGTAAAATATGTTTAAAGCACTTGATGTTGTGAAATAGTATTCCAGATTACCATAAGTTATTTATTTTGCTAAAATGATGATGACTCGGAAATTTTAAAGAAGCAAAAACTTTTTATAACTCTTTTGAATTTAGTCAATATGTTCACATAGAGATCCTCTTCTGCAAGATTAATTTCCACAATTCCTCCACCACTTTTTGAACTTTCAGCTTTTTCCTAATTTAACTCAAAACAATCCTTTAACCCTAGGCAAAAGTTTACATTTCCATGCCTTCTTAAAACCTTTTACTAAAAAACACGTTTTACTGTTCTTGCACACCTTGCACATAAATCTATTTTCAGTAGTCTCAATTACATGTTATAGTGATAACTCCTATCAATTTTTAACTTTAAGATAAAATTCGGTAAGTTGCTTTAATTGTGTGCTAAGTGCATCCAAGGTTTGCCTTCTTAGTTAAGGGCATGTTTAGTTCCATATGTCCCCAGGCCTAAACAATTGTAAAGCAGACAAGACAGACAGTTCTCAAAACCCAAAAAGCAGTTTGTAACCTTAAAATATTCAGCAAACCTTGCATCTGACCTACATAGTTTAGTTTATCTATTTACATTTTAATGACAACTACATTTTACCAATCGTCTTTAAGGCTGCTTTTATTTCTCAAAGATTAAAGTCACATGAACTGAAAGATTCCACAGCTCTTAACTTCCCTTTAAAAAATGTTAGATCCAAGCACTTGTCTTTCTTTAGGCCAAATTAATTAGAGCTGTTTTTATAGACATCACACACAGTACATACACAGAAAGGCAGAAGAAAACCCAGTCACTGGGTGAGGTCCCCTAGGAGACAGAGCTAGGAAAACATGCAGATATGAACCACAGGGGACTCATCCTCTAAGGCAGTATTGCTAAACAAAGCTTTGCCAAGGGGTTACTGGCCATGCCCCAAGGATGTAAAGCAAGATGGAGTCTTGCAGGACAAGCGATACAGACATGCAAAGCACACCAGAGTGGCCACAGTCCAAGACTAGCTCCACAAATCCTTTTTCATAATTAAAGCTTTATGAAAAATATGAACAGTGATAGTTGGGGGACCTGGTCTAGTAAACGGGGGAAAAAAAACTTTAAAAGTTAACTGCTGACAGGGTGGAGAAGAGGAAAGAAAAAAAAATTTTTTTAATTCCTGGGGAAGAACCTCTTATTCTTATGCAACTGGTTCCTCCACCAGGGAGAAAAGATGAAGCTAAATTACTGTCCAACAGAGTTGAAACACCTTGGCTGGTGAAGGGGAAGGCTGCCTCAGCCTGGCTGGGAACCAGCCTGCAGGCTGTGCAGAACCCTTGGGCCATGCATCCCAGCCCCAGCAGGGAGTGGGGAGTGGTGGGGAGCTGCTACTTACTGGTCCCTCCTGAAAGAGGAAGGAAAAGGCCATGAAAAATCCTGGGAGTGACAGGGTGGGTGGGGACATGGTTTCCCCCACCTCAGAAGTCTGAGTATGAAAAGGCTTAGAAGCAACAGTGAGAGGTTTTGAGTCCCCATTTTACTCACCACTTCTCGAGCCCCACATTGGGTGCCAAAACTGTTGCAGGGCTTTTCCTTAGTTCACCTAAAGAGGGGGTCCTGTTGCATCCCACGACCATGAACATTTAGGCTCACAGATGGTTTGAAGGGTGTGCGAAGTAGGGTTTTATTGGGTGAAAAGGAAGAAAAGGGGAAAACAGGGACTAGGCCAGAGTCCCTGCTAGGGTGCTTCCCGCCCTTATCCCAGGTTCCTCACAGGCTCCTTCCTGCTGCAAATGTCGTGAACTTCCCGAGGCTCCACCTCAGTGGGCAGCCTGGTTGGGGTTTCTCCAGGGACCCCCTCCCACCTGGCTGTCTCAAAATGAAGGAAGGAGAGAATGGAAGAAGGGAAGGAAATAAGGAAGGCAGGAAAAGGTAGGAAAGAAAAAAGAAAGGAAGACAGTATTGTCTTAAAAATTGTGTTGTGGTTTCTAGACTAAAGTTCTTTGACCATACCACAGCTTTTAAATGGACCATGCAAGTCACTTTTAATAGTGTAACAAGCTTAGAAGCTCACACACTCTAAGTAGAAGATTATGTAGGCCTGGAAAAAATGGTAGGTTACTGCCAGTCATGCAGTGTCTTTATTAGAAAATTCATTGATTAGAAAGGAGAGAAGAAGTAAGCAGATTCTGGAGCATAAAAAGGGGAAAGAATAGCAGCTCTGAAATTAGTATCTTAGTCACTCAGGTAAGCACATCCTAATCAGAACATGTGGTTTAGGAGAGATTCTGAGTAATCCTGTATCCTGAAGAATGCTTTCTGTTCTGAAAGGAAGCGTAACCAAAAAGCTTGTCTCCTTGGGACAAACTGATGAAGAGGAAAAAGCAGGGTCAAAGCCAAGGCTTAACAGAGGAAATGCAGCAATTGGGAATCAGACAGCTCATTAGACACTAACAGCTCAATAAGCACCATTTGAAAACAAATGCAAAAAAATGAGAATCCTATTTTTCAATGCTCAAGTATCAGAAAAGGAAAATATTGACAAAACTCGGTGCTAAAAATGATGTCAATAGATAGGCACTTCTATAAACTAATGGAGGGGTTGTGAATTGGTAAACTTTTTTTGGAGGACAGATTAGCAATTGTACCACAATCTATAATTTTAAATGCATATAATGGCAGTTCTCTTTGTAAGAATTTTCTCAGAGGAAATAAATAGGCAAGTACATAAAGATGTATATCAAGAATTTTTAAAAGTTATTTTATATATAATAAAACTGACTAATTTAATTATCCATCAGTAGAGGGCTTAGTTTAATAAATTAAATATATCCAGATAGTGGTATGCTGTCTGACGTAGTTCTTATAAGCATAGATTTTGGAGTCAGTCTGAGTTTAAATCTAGTCCTACCTCTTACTACTTGTATGATTTTGATCACATTATTTATCTTTGCTTAAATTTCCTAGTCTATAAAACACTTTATAAAATCTATAAAGTAGCTTCATAATCTATAAAATCTACTTCACAGAGTTATTACAAAGATTAGATGAGCTAATACACTGAAAATTCATGTACATAGTAAGTACTCAATATGTGTTAGATATGAATACAGTTGAACAACATGGGGGTTGGGGAGCTGACCCCAGTGCAGTCAAAAATCCTTGTATAAGTGTAGACTCTCCCAAAACTTAACTTCCAGTAGCCTACTGTTGACTAGAAGCCTTAACAATAACATAAACATTCGATTAATGCATACTTTGTAAGCTATTGGTATTATATACTGTATTCTTAGAATAAAGTATGCTAGAGAAAAGAAAATGTTATTAGGAAAATCATAAGAAAGAGAAAATGTATTTACTGTTCATTGAGTGGAAGGGATTGTCATAAAAGTCTTCATACTCTTCATCTTCACATCAAGTAGGCTAAGGAGGAGGAAGAGGAGGAGGGATTGGTCTTGCAGTCTCAGGAGTGGCAGATGTGGAAGGTGGAAGGGGAGGCAGGGGAGGCGGGCACACTTGGCATAACTTTACGAAAACACATCTGACTTTTTTTCCTCTAAAAAATGTTTCTATATAGTACCAATCCTTCTACCACTGTTTGCTTTAGTTTCATATCATAAAAGAGTCCATGTCATTAATGTCAAAAGCAGTCCTGAATAATCAGAACCATTCTGCATGATTATCTAACATCAATTTGTTATCGGGCATTGCATCTTCTATGTCTTCTTCCTCATGATTTGTCATTGATTTGGAAACACTCCTGTCCATCAAGTTGTCTTCTGTTAATTCGTCTGGTGTGGTATCTAGTGGCTCTTAAATTTCTCCAAGATTCTTATCTTGAAATCCTTCACCTCCCACATTTTTTTGTTGCCATATGCATAGTCTCTTTTATAATTTCCTTGACTGGCTCTGTTGTAAATTATGTGAAGTCATGTACAATATCTAGACAGTTTTCTCCAGCAGGAGTTTTTTATTTCTGCTCAATGGTATTCATGGCTTTTTCTAAAATGATGGCATCTTCAATTGAATTATGCCATTGAAGATAATTCCTTTAAATTTTCATGATGTTGTTTCTATCAGGGTTCTCTTTCATAGTGTTGATAATCTTTTTCATAGAGTACTGTGTTTAATGAGCCTTAAAGGTCCTTATGACCTTCTGATCTTGAGACTGCATTAGAGATGTCGTGTTTGGGGGTAGGTAGACCACTTTGATGCCTTAAGTGTTGACCTCATGGTGTTCTGGGTGGGCAGGGGCATGTGTAATAAAAGGCAGTCTCTTACTGGGCAAGGTACTGCGTGACTTCAGAGACAAAGCACCAATGGGACCAGTTCAGAAAAAAATAGTTCTTGTTGTCCAGGCCTTCTTATTGTACAGCCTTAAAACTGGAAGCCTGTGTTTATCTTTTCCATCAAGGCTAAGGAATTGGCAGATTTATAGGTGAGGACAATCCTGATCATAAACCTGGCTACGTTTTCACATGATAGTAGAGTTAGCCTATCCCTTCCTGCCTTAAATCCTGGTGCTCACTTCTCTTCCTTACTATAATAATAAATTTTCTTTGTGGCATTTTTTTCCAGGATAGGGCACTTTCATCTACTAAAATCATCTATTAAAAACCTTTTCGGGCAGTATCTTTTCTCCTCAGTGATTTTCTTAATGATGTGTGGGAACTCATCTGCTCCTTCTTGATCAGCAAAAGCTGCTTCTCCTGTTATCTTGACATTTTTAAATCCAAACCTTTTTCTAAAATTATTAAACCGTCCTTTGCTGACATAGAGTTCTCCAGCTTTAGATTCTTCACCGTTTGTGTAAAGTTTTCATACGATGACTTTGCTTTCTCTCAAATCATATTACAGCCTATAGGCATGTCTTTGTGTTTTCTTTCTCTTTTTTTAGGGACCCAGGCTGGAGTGCAGTGGCGTGATCATGGCTCACTGCAGCCTCAACCTCCTGAATTCAAGCAATGCTTCCACCTCAGTCTCCCAAGTAGCTGGGACTACAGGGCGTGCCTTTCTTAGAGCAGTCCTGGTGCCACTAAAAGCTGCATTTTCAATATGAGATAAAAATGTATTTTACAAAAAGTGCAAGGTCTTCATGTCTGCTGGCATTGCTGCAACAGTGGCTTGTGTGAGAGATCACTTTTTACGGCAATACCCAATTTATTGGAGAGACAAACTGCTCAAGCAAGGATGATTAGCATTCTATGGCATTTCAAAAGGATACTTGCAATGCTTGACCTTACCACAATAGCAACAGGAGGTAGCTACAAAATTATTACAATAGTAGAGTATGGTACCACAGTTAATTTTATGTAGTTATAATTTAATACTGCATCTTTATGTTTGTTCACATTTCTCTGGACTGTGAATGGCACTATGCATGGTCTGTGTTTGTGCAGATTTTGATTAATGTTAACTTTTTGTAATAGATTTGTATATATCTTATGGTAGTAAATAAATGATAAAGTAGAGTATTATATACATATATTTTATGAATTCATGACATACCTTTTTCTTAATTTTTTCGGTGTCTGTAGGCTACACGGTTCATCTGTGAGTTTTCAGATTGTTGCAAATCTTCCACAAAATTTCTAATACAGCTTTTGAAAAAAATCCATCTATAAGTGGACCCCTGCAGTTCAAACTCATGTTGACCAAGGGTCAACTGCATTATTATGCAAACATTATAAGTTACAATATCTAAGTTAACGTGGAAAATAAACATGTTGAGCAAAAGTTACAGGCTAGCTAATAATACAGGTTTCCATTTATATAGAAAAATTTGTGTGTGATTGCTTGTGTAGAAAGGGTTCTGAAAATATTTTTACTAAAATGTTAATACTGGATATCTCTGATGGTAGGATTTTGGAAGATTTTTCTTTTCTTTTTTTCTCATTTTCTAGTATAATATTTTTTACTAACATATAATAACTCCTAAAATGGCAAGCTAGGACATTTAGAGCAACTTTTCTGCTGAAGAAAACTAAAATTCTGATGCAATATGAAAATAACAATCTTGAAGCACTAAAGAGGCAACTAGATAGTGTGTGCGCCCCACCCTAAAGTAGGTGGTTTGACGGAATGGTGAAATGGCCTTTTGAAGACTACAGCAGCAGCTAGGTAGCAGTGCCTTGCAGGGTTGAGGCAAGGTTTTCCAGAAAGCTGTATGTGTTCTGAATCCAGCAATACAAGGTATTGTTTCTCCCACAGTCAGGATTGCTGAATCAAAGGGTGAAAATGAGAGTGGCACCACTTACTCCTATGCCCGCCCAGTAACCTCTACTTGGAAAAATTGTTCTTTCTGTTCCCATGACTTTATGCTCTCCAGGCTTAGAGGTCTTAGTTCCAAAGGAGGAAATACTTCCACAAGGAAATACAGCAGTAATTCCACTGAACTGGAAGTTAAGACTGCCACTCAGACACTTTAGACTCCTCATGCATCTGAATGAACAGAAAAGATGTCAATTACTGTGCTGGCTGAGGTGATTAATCCTGACTACAAAGGAGAAATTGGACTGCTATTCTACCATGCAGATAAGGAAAAGTATATGTGGAATATGGCAGATCCCTTAGGGCATCTTAGTATTACCATGCCCTGTGATTAAAATCAATGGAAAACTACAACCCAATCTAAGCAGGACCACTAATAGCCCAGACCTTTCAGGAATAAAAGTTTGGGTCACACCACTGGGTAAAGAACCACAGCCAGCCAGGGTGCTTGCTGAAAGCAAAGGGAATACAGAGTGGGTGGTAGAAAGTAATTATAAATATCAGCTATAATTACATGACCAGTTACAGAAATGAAGACTATAATTGTCAAGCGTATTTTCTCATTTTGTTAGAATATGTGTGTGTATCTCTTTGTTTTCTTTCTTCTCTCATTCCCTTATCATGTAACATAAGATATGTTGACTTTATATCATAGTATTTAGTATTGCTAATTTTATATGAGAGTATTTAAGTTGTGAATATCAAGGAGAAAAGTAAATATCACTCAAGAACTTTACCTTTTCTTCTAGGGCAGAGGCTAGTGCATTTTTGGTTGTATGCAGGATAGTTGTATCACATTAGGTGGAATTTTGACCTTATTATTGTCTTTATTTGAAGACTAAGTATGGCTTCAGGAGATATGTATGAGTGCCAAGTTGACAATGGATGCACTCGTGATGATTAATTTTATGTGTCAACTTGATGGCCATAAGATGCCAAGTAGCTGGCTAAACATTATTTCTGAGTGTGTCTGTGAGGGTGTTTCTGGAAGAAATTAGCATTTGAATTGGCAAACTGAGTAAAGCAGATGACCTTTCCAATGTGGGTGGCCATCAAACAATCCAAAAGGGCCTAAATAAAACAGAAAGGTAGAAGAAGGTTGAATTAATTCTGCCTGATTGACTGAGCTGGGAAACGGATCTTTTCCTGTCCTTGGTGCTCCTGGTTCTCAGGCCTTCAGACCTAGATAGGAATCTACACTATTGATTCTGAGGTTTTTTAACTACACTGCTGGCTTCCCTGGGTCTCCAGCTTGCATATACACACACACACACATATATATACACACACACACACACACACACACACACACACACACACACACACACGTTCAGACACAATGACCAGCATGCAGCAGATAACCAGATAGACAAGGAAATAAGACACCTTGAGCAATAACCAGCTCAAAGACATGATAATATAAATAAATTTAAAATACTGGAATTGTCAAACACAGACTGTAAAACTTCTAAGCCATAGAATCAACCTGATCTGCAGAAAACAGGAAGTAATAAAAAGTGATATAGCAGATATTTAAAAGAAACAGAATGTCTAGAACTAAAAATGATATAACTTAAATTAAGAATTAAATAATGGGTTAACTAGTACAGTAGACCCAACTGAAGAGAGGATTAGTATATTGGAAAATAGATCCAAAGAAATTATCTAAAACAGCACAGAAAAATGAAAAAATATAAAAAAGAAAAATTAGAGAGGATAAGAGACACATGTGGTAGAATAAGAAAACCTAAAATAGGTTTAAGATGAATCTCAGAAGGAGAATCAAGTAAAAATGGGGCAGAGGCAAATTTAAAGAGATAATTGCTAACAATTTCTGTAACGAAACCCGCAGATTTAAGGAGTGTATCACATGTCAAATGGTATATTTTTTAAAAATCCACCCCATCAAAATGAAGCTACAAAAAAAAAATCAAAGAGCAAATATTTTAAAACATGTAGAGAGAAAGATGCAAATTGTCGTCAAAGGCACTACAATTACACAGACAGTTGACTTTTCAACAGCCACATAGATGATTAGTGAGCAGTAGAAGAACATGGAGTCAAGTGTTAAAAAAAATCTACTGACCTAGAATTCTATACCAAACTAAGATATTCTTCAAGAATACAGAAGAAATGAGAACAAACATGAAATTTAAAACCAAAGCAAAAAAGTGGAGAGATGTTTATCACTGGCAGGCTTACATGAAAGAAAATTCTAAAGGATATAATTTAGACAGAAAGATAGTAATCCCAGATGGGAAGTCTAACATGTAAGAAGGACTAAAGAACAAACACAGTGAAAAATATGTAGGTAAACCTAAATGAACTATGATTGTATACAAAATAAGAGTATCTTATAAAGTGTTTACAATACAAATTGTGTGTATATGCACATACACACATATATAATGAATAACTGGAGATTTAACAGCATTCTTCTCTTGAGTCTTAGGTGAATTTGGTAAGAATGCCACCTATCAGTGTAAGAAGAAGCAGCTCAGGAAAGTTGTCTGAAAGACTCCTTGAGCCACAGCAGTCTTAAGCAGTTACGTATTTGGAGAGAAATACCATATTGTGGTCAAGTAAAGAATAGTGGACATCAAGGGGTGTTTTGTTTTGTTTTTCCTGTACTCACCTTCCTTTAATCTTGGAATAACACCTTCCTTGTCCTTGGGGAAACTCGTTCCCCATTCCTATGTTTTTATTGATGCTGTCAATCATAAATCCCAGTAGTCATGGGGATGGGCATATAGTCTAAGCCAAGTCAATCAGCATTTTTCCCTAGGATTTTTTTTTCAATTGGTGCTATAAAATGACATAAATCCCCCCCTGCTGAAAGCATATGAGTCAAGGGAGTGGCTGATAGTCAGTTTCCAACCAAGTGAAGGAAGCTGATCTTAGAAAATGAACTGGACAACAGAGAGGAGTAAAGAGGGAATCGCAAGAAGAGAAACTTGGTAGCATTCAACTCCTTTGTTCCATTAGCTCTGAGGGTTAGTTCCTTCTCTTACGAAATATTTACCTTTTTACCGAAGCAAGTTCAAGTCATAATTGTTCTGTGAAACACAAAGCGAGGCAAGCAGTGCTGATGGCTGTGCTTAAGGATAAGTTTAAGGTATTAGAACTAAACCACAGAAACAGATCAGAGACCAGGAGAATGGAGGCAGATGACTCACTTAATTGGGATGGATCAAAGCAATTGAACAACTGCTTAGAATTGGCTAGAGGCCCATTTCTGAGTTTTTTTGTGTCTTTTTTCGCTATCTGCATTTTATGGGGACAGAAGAAACATACTGAAGAAGCCTTTGGATGTTGCACAGAACTCTTTTAAAAACTTTTATTTTAGGTTCAGTGGATATTTGCAGATTTGTTATATAGGTAAATTCATGTCACCGGGGTTTGGTGCACACATTAGAACTCTTGATATTAAAGTCATAGGTAATCTGTGGACAGTTATGGAGAACCAAGAGACCTGGATTTAAAAGTAGAAGGGTTTTCAGATGCTACATGGATAAACATAAACAAGTTAAAAACAGTTTACAATAGTCAGAAAGCATTTATTTGTACCTATTAATTATTAGTTTTTAAATTTTGCTAGATAGCCATGTTAACTCACTGCTTAGGGATTAAAATTAGTACTAATTTATGCTATAGTAGTTACAAAGAGTTAGATATGTTTTGAAAATTTTGCACTACTTGGGATCAATATCAATCCCAGGCATAAATACCCAGGAATGGAGCCAAAGGAAGGAGAGACAGGGCTTAGCTATGTTCTTTATTCTTGTACCTCACATCTACTCTATCTGCCTGGGTCAAAAGCTCCCACCAGGGCCACTGGTTCCAGATAGATCCAACTTCCTCACAGCAACATATTATGAGAATGATGAGCAAATTCAGAAGCCAGGTATATTTTCCTGGCTTGATGCCTTAGACTTCCTTCCTGGGGAAATGACCCATTAACCATGTCACTAGATCAGACCTGCAAACCTCCAACCTCCAATATACCTCTTTGGAAGCCCAAATTTAACCCAGGTGCTCCATGGCTTAATCTCTGTGTCCTCTCACACACCACTCATCGCAGTTCTTTTTTTGAAGTAAAGGTTCCATAAGTGTTTGGGGTCAGTATAATGTATTGAGAATTTAGTTTGCATGTGTTCCTTTGTACTTTTTTCCTTGCCCTTGTTAGCAGGGATCTAGGGTCTTATCATTTCTGTGCCACAGAAGCTTTTGCAAGGCAGAAAGCAAAAGCTATGGAAGATAAAAGGCTGTCCTTTGCAAAAGTCTAAGGTAATTAAAGAATACTAAAGGCCTGTATTGATTTCCAAGGGCTGCTCTAAGAAATTGCCCATAAACCTGGTGGCTTAAAACAACACAAATTTATTATTTCATAGCTCTGGAGTGCAGAAGTCCAAAATTAAGGTATCAGCAGGATTGATTTGTTCTGGAGCCTCTGAGAAAGCATCTGTTTCATGCCTCTCTCCCAGCTCCTGGTGGCTGTTGGCAACTTTAGGCATTCCTTGGCTCTGTCTTCACGTGGCTTTCCACACTGGGTCTCTGTGCTTTCTTTGATAAGGACACTTGTCATTGGATTTGGGATCCACCCTAATCCAAGACGATCTCATATTGAGATCCTTACCTTAGTTCCATCTGAAAAAAAATATTATTCCAAATAAAGTCACATTTTGAGGGTCCAAGTGGACATACTTTCAGGGGAATACCATTGAACCACTATAGAGCCTAAGTGGTCGATGAGTGAGAAGAAGGAGAGATTTTTCTCTTGACTAAATTATTTTGGAGCTATGGGGAGGGAGAGAGTAAAACCACATTACCATTTTGTAGCCATATCCCAAGGAGGAGATGAAATTTGGAGGGGAAGGCAGCATGGTACACCTACACATAAGCAGGCTGAGCCCAAGGCCCTGCCTCCTCAGCCCCCAGCCTGACAGTGAATCTGTCACTCAGTGAAGAGCCATCAGACTTCAAGGGATTGCTGTGGGTTTGGCCATAAGAGATGAGAGGCAACCTGGATGTCCAGGCAATTGGAGACTCTTGCTCACTATCTTCTGAGCAAGATAAGCCTCCCCAGATTCCTGTGCAGCCTAGGAAGGGAGGGGCCCCAACAGCAACTGGACTGAATCTCTC
Organism: Homo sapiens; assembly: GCF_000001405.40. Taxonomy (NCBI): domain Eukaryota; kingdom Metazoa; phylum Chordata; class Mammalia; order Primates; family Hominidae; genus Homo; species Homo sapiens. The sequence goes on from NC_000005.10 coordinate 116,358,407, forward strand.
ACCAGACACTTGAACTGGCAGCTCAGAGTTGGACTTCTAAGTTTGAAGAAAATAAAGCTAAATTTTCCAGACTGAGATTCACTGTTGCTCTGTTAAACAAAATCCCCAAATACAAGCTCCATGGACTGATTGTAGTTGGCCTGGTTTTCCCAGGTTTCAGCCATGTGGCTCCTCCTCCTGCTACTATCCTTGTTAGTCCTGAGGTCCCCTGGTTAGCTCTGGGGAAGAGAACAGAGCAGATGCTGGGACACACTGGTGGGTTGTGGTGGTATCAGATCTATGGACAGAGGCCACCAGCCAAGACCACCTCCAGGGACTGAGCCTCCAAAAGAACACTGGGATACCTTCCTTTCTAGTTGTAATCCACCCACCACTTTTCATCTGGAATCATTTCTATAGGTAGGAAAAATAAAAGATGGGCCTTGTTGGTGAAATGCAAGGGGAGCCAAGCTCAGGTATCATGCAAGGCTATGCAATAGGAAAAGTGCAGAGCTGGGTGATCATTTCCACTATGTGGATGCAGTACAGTTGATGTGTACTTTGGGCTAGTTTGGTTTTTTAAATAGAACATTTCCCCTGCTAATAAGCTAGAGAGCTCAGTTCCTCTTTTTGTAAGTGGGTGTGGATGACGTAGTTCTATTGACACTTTGCTATGTTTTTTTCCAACTGTAGCTCTTTTATCTTCTCACACCTTTCAGCTACAGATTTATTCCTCATATTCACTCCTCTCTCTCCTACCTCCCTATTTCTATAGGTGTTTATGTCCTTTCAGTGAGCCCAGCACAACAGCTGCTGCCACTTATTGAGTGCTGACTGTGTGCCAGATGTGTTCAACACCATACATGTGCATATTTCTCTTAATCTTCCTTGCAACTTTAAGTGTATTATGTGTATTATCTCCAGTTTACAAATGAGGAAATAAGCCCAGAGAGGTTCAGTAACTTGCTCAAGATTGCACAGCTCATAAGAGGTGGAACTGGAATTTGAGGTTATATCTGTCTGATATAAGGCCAAGCTTGCAGCACTGCTTCTTGGCACTGTGCTGTTCTGTGAGATAAGAGGCAATTCTTGCAATTCTCACTTTAGTGTCTGTAATGTTGGTGGAGGGTGAATGAGTATTGCATCTCAGCTGCTGCTCGCAGGTAGTGGCAGGACCAAACCACCCAGGGCTCTGGGTGTTTGCTGTTGGCAGAAGCTTCTCCTGGTCTGCCTGATGCTCCAAGTAGGCAGGCCATTAGGGAGCCCCCCAAGGTGATGGCTGTTATTTTCAGCTGAGGGATCCGAGCAGAACCCCCAAAGAAAGAGTTATTTCAAACTGGGCCTTTGTTCCTTCCTCTTCCAGTGATTGCAATTCTGGGCCCCAGCTGGAGGTCTAGATTGCAAGATCAGGAAGGAGCTGGGCCAATTTTCTGGTTGCTTCTTTGCACTAAGCTCTTGTGTTTTCACAGCAGCCACAGGCCCTACATCCTTCCTGGAGACCCCAGGGTGGAACACAAGCAAATTCATCTCTTTTCACTTCCCCACCCCCTTGCATGGTGACTCTTGATTTGCTATGCTCAGAGCCTGTCATTGCTGGGTAGGGGCTTGCATATGGCCCCCATTTGAAATGAATGGTTTTTGAGGGGCTCCTGGAAATGTGTTGCAGGTGAGCTCCTGGACACTTGGCTTGCCTGCTGCTTCAGCTCTGTTTGCTTTGACTAATTGTGTTTTCTCTGCCAATTTGTCTGAGTAAAGTTTTTCTATCCCACTTTGTCCGACGTCTACATGGTACATCTGGTACCCATTTGGCTGAGATGGGGGCAGGAGCAGGGTGGTTAATTGAATGCTTGGCACAGGGCTGCAAGAAGAAAACTGAGAAGAAAGGCAAGAACTGGGAGAAGAGCTTAGAGAATGCTCTAATGCTTGGAGCCTTTGCAAAGTCCTGAAACTCTACAATCTCTTTTCCTCCACTTGGTTTCTGTTTAGAAACAGAGCCTTAAAAAGGGCAAGAGAAGGACTTTGATGAGATTCTGAAACTAGATTGCAACTACTGTTTTAGTATAAACCCCGCAGTGCCCCATCTTTCTCCCACAGGGCCCATGGCTTCTCGGTAGGTGGCTAGGGTATCACTAAGCCCTGTTTGTGGAAGGGGAGAAAGAAAGAGCTGGGAAAGATCACCTGTCTATGTCTATTTTTGTACGCATCTAATTTGGAGCCTCTCGTTCTGCAGTGGGAATTTTGGCTCCAGATCTTGGTCTGGTTCCCAGGATACTGAGTAGAAGTAAAAGTGAAGCAGCACCACTTGGAATCCCTGCTTCTGGCAAGGGTCCAGGGCCAGCCCAGGCACTGCATGGGCTCTCTCTGCCTGTCTACCTGTCGTTCTGTCTCTTTCTCTGCTTCTGATTTTGAAAGACCAAAAAGAGCATGGATCCTAGAGTCACAAAGTGTAGGTTTCAGATCTCAGCTCCTGCTAGATGTGTCATCTGGCAAGTGCCTATTCACTTTGGAGCCTCAGTTTCCCCTTATAAAATGTGACAATTCACACATTGTTCCAAGGAGTAAATGACATGATTCAAAACGCAAGTCAGCTCTGCACCTCTCTAAGGACTCTCTACTCAACCCTGAAAGGAAAGTAGTGTCATCACTGTCAGCATCCCTGTTTTATGGAGGAGGAAACTGAGGCACAAAGATGTTAAGTGACCTGTCCATGGTCTCACAACCAGTAAGTGGCAGAAGTGGCCAGAGTCCAGGCAGGGAGTCTGGCCCAGAGCCGGCGCAGGGAAGCCTGCTCTGCTGCCTTTGTAAAGCTTGGGTGCTCCCAGCGCTGGGCCTGGACAGAGGAGGCACCCACTCAACAGCAGCCCTGACTCTTACCACCCCAGGGATGCCGAAGCTGCAGCCTATTCCAGCCGCCGTCTGGAAGAACAATGGCCCTGGGGGCCAGCAAGCCTTAGAGAACAAGAGCGACTCAAGGAGAGAAGGCCGCGGCAGGCGCTGAGGCTCTCACAAAAGTAAGGGCAGCAGGGGCAACCCAAGGAGGTGGGGAAGGGCACGCGGGAAACGAGGTCGGCGCCCAGGCCTGCCTAGGCCGGCCTCCCTCCCTCCGCAGGTCCTGGGGCTCCTCCGGGTGGCGCTCTTGAAATCCATCGTCACCTTCCAAGCGGCCCTCGCGCGACTGCAGCCAGCCCCGGCGGCTCCTTGCCTGCCTGCGTGCCCTTGCGGCGGCTGCTGTCTACCCTAAACAGCTCCAGATTTAGGGCTCCTCCATCTGATTGCTCTTCCCCAGCCGCCTGGTGCTTTCAAGTGGGCCCGACACGCTCCCGGGACTTGGCCACGGTCCCTGCATCTCCTGATGAGAGCCCGCGCTTCTAATTCGGGTCCGCCCCGCACTCTTCCCGCGCCCTGCCCGCGCTGTCATTACGGCGCTGTCGCTGCTCCCACAGAAAGCAGGCGGCCGCAGCTCTCGCTGGCCCGGGGCCAGACCCAGGCCCGCTACGCCGCCTCGCGGACTGGATCCACCCCTTGCAGACAGGCACCCTGCTTGGGTGTTGTTCCTGAAGGTGCATAGGGAGGCTCCTGGGAAGACAGGGAGACTTTAAGAAGGAGAAAGGTGCGTTTACAGGATGGATTTGAAAGAATCACACTTTACTGGTCTGCCCAAGACACCTCACACCCAAAAGAAGCAAAGAGGTGTTCTGGAGGAAGGACAGAGGGAGAGGCTGCAGGTGCCCTGTGGCTGGCCATGTCATGATCTGACTCCTTGGCAGTGTCTTGGTACACGATTCCTTATGTATTTTGCATGCAAATCTAGTCAGGTTGGGCCTTGAAAGGAGCCCTGCCTGGTAGGCTTCACCCCCTTGGGCAGTCTGGGTGTGACTCTGGCTCAACAAGTTAGTTCTCTGCTCTGAACTTATTTTCCTCTTATGAAAATGAGGATAACGGTGGCGCTCTCGTGTGGAAATGACAAGTCACCCAAACTACCTGGCACATAGTAGGTCCTCAAGAAATGATAGGCCCTTCTTTGTTAAGGTCTCTGGCCCCCATACTACTCCTATGCATAACTTTTGGTCCATCTGTCTCTCTTACCTTCTCCCCAAGGCCAGCACCGAAGTGGTCCTCACACTGTGCTAGACTCCATTGACTTGAGGAGTTGGATTGCTGCTAGCTAGCCAGTGAGGGCAGAGAGGTCTATGTCTGAACCTCGGGATATCTACAGGAGTGACTTTCAGTGTTCTCTTGCCTCATAACTATGGCAGACCCACAATTCAACAACCATGGCATGGGAAGGGTATGTAAGGGATCAGACCTCTTGGGGATAAGGGTCTCTGTCACTGCACAAAACAAGCAACTTACACTAACTAAATGCTGACCGAGGATGAGGGAAATGGAGAATGGGTGGTAGAAATAAGTGGTGTATACCAAGTATGGTCTTGAGATCAGCTGAGGCAGGGGAATCAGAACTTGTGTCACTCATACTCTTACACTAAGTCCTGGTAAAGGCTGCAGCCTTGAAAAAGACTCAGATTAGGTTTAGAGGGTCCATGACAGATATGCGAGGTACAAGGGATATCTCCTGTGCCCCATTTCAAATCCTCCCAGTGTCACTCCCTACTCTTCTGACCATTACAGTGGCCACTTCTGCACAGGTGTCAAAACAGCTTTGCTCTGCAGCAGTGTGGCAATGTCTGCCCCAGGACCCCTCTGAAGCTGCTGTGTAGAATGTCTGTAGAATCCACTGGGCACTCACCCATGGACAGCCTGGAGATGTGAGGAAGTTAGTGTCGAGAACCACCTTTGACCAATGGAAGGCAGGATCCTATGGATAAATGCTGAACCATTTTACTCCCCAAGCAGATAAATAAAAGCTGCATCCTATCAGGATCTTTAGAAGGTCCCATGGAATTGACCATCTGTTGTCCTAGGAGCAGCCCACTCACTTATGCATCTTTGCCTTTCCCCTGTTTCACTCCTCGGATCCTGTCTCTGGATCCCTTTGATCACTTTTTATAAAAACTACCTTCAGGTAAGTCTTTGTTTCAGGCATGGCTTTTAGGGGAATCCATGCCAAGCTAGCCATTTATAAAGCTTAAGGACAAAAGGGAAGATGCGAAGAAAATATTTTCACAAAGTGGGCACATTAAAGAAGTGTCATAAAACTGCCAGGTGTGCTGAGTGCCTATTTTGGGTGTGCAGTAATGTGATGAAGATAAACTTATTAGCATCTTTGTGTTTTCTGCCAGAACTTTGAGCACCTCAGGTGTAGTCATAAGATACGTGGATATGGACTTAATCTTTAATGTGCATTTACCAGATGAGTTTGACAGAAAGAGAAAGGTTAGAAAAACAGCAGAATGCACAAAGCAGTAATTATAATGGTGAACAAAGGAATTAAGCAGAACAAGAAGGTAAGTGAGGATAAAAAGAAGAACATATATAATGTATTTTTTGTATATTTATAAAGACGTAAAAACAGTAGGGTCAATGGATTGATTTCAGAGCATGGGGAGTACTGACATACAGATTTTGGAAGTGGTGCCTTAACTGGTGGTGACAGGGTTAGGGACACAATCATGAGAGTGTGGCCTAGGTGAAATAGAGATTAATGATTGTTGGAGGTGAGGAGGTCAGGGAACTCAGATGGCAAGGTATTCCATGAGTCCCTATTCTACAAGGTTGTTAAAGTCACCAAGAATGGTGATGGGAATAGGGGATAGGAACAGGTGTTAAAGTTATTAATGAATGAAGGGAGTGAGTTGGTAGATGACAGTTTAGCAGATATGGATGGCAGATGGTCAAGTTTGGAGACATGAATTTCAGAGGATCTAGGGGCTTTGAAGGAGGGGAGAAGATAACTGAATTCAAAGTACAATGTGACATTTATTCCACTTTCAGTCTGACATAAAGAGAATAAGGTGGGACAGGAATTGTCTCCATTTGAGAGGCTGCAGATGAAGGGGACAGCCAAATTTCCATTAAGGCAAGATATAAAGAGACCTTATGAAAAGGGACAAAAGATATAGGGGAACTTGGTGATGGCAGATCCTGAGTCTCAGGATGCATAGTATGCAAAGGTTGGCAATGTGGACAGGGAGTGAGAAATGGAGATAATACTTGCCTTATAGAACTGTTGCAAATACGAGAGATAATTTTATGTAATGTGGCCAGTAGAATGTCTGGTGAAGATGATGATGATGATAATGATGATGATGATGATGATCATTTCCAGAAGAACAAGAGTTAAAGGGGAAGCATTGGTAATGTCAGAAGAAGCGCTCATTTGGGAATCAAAATGTTCTCAAGTCTCTTCCTGGCTCTACTATTAACTAGCTGTGCAGCCTTAGGCAAATCAATCACCTTTGTTCTGTGGGCCATGTATAAAAGGAAAGAGTTAGATAACATCAGTGATTGTCCAGTAGGAGGTGGCAGGGTGGTCATGTGTCAAATACATATGATAATTTCCTAAAGCACTTTTTCAAAACATGTGTATTTGGGGTCCCCCAATAGGTCAAATTTCATTTTCTGGGGGTAAGGACCCAGGAAGTGCATTTCAAAAAAGTTTTTCAGGTAATTTAATAAATCCTCCCTCCACCCTCAGCCCATTTTTTTTTCCTTCAGGAAACTGCTTGCCAAGAAGCTAGGCTTTTCCCTCCCAATGTCATCACTCAGAAAATGACAGTGAGAAAGACATGGTTTGTCCATCAGAGCTGGGTCAGAGCATTTATCAGAAGAGACCAGATGGCCTGAGGTCTTCCCTCAGTGGGTGGATGGCCAAAGGGCAAGTAGCAATATTTTTACAGCTTCATTCTTTGGGCATTTCCCCCATGCAAATGCATAAGAATGAGAAATAAGTCAGCACAATGCAGGGATTTTTTTGTTTGTTTAATGTCAGATCACATCATTTGCTGCTGCACAGCCAACCATTGGCTTGCTTTGAGGAAGGTGGCTCCTTGGGGAGAAGGGGATCTGAGAGAAGCACAGCAAGACCAGGGCAGAAGTGGGGAGTGAACCCAGCACATAGAGCGCAGACCAGTGTCTTACTCATCCCTGTATCCGCGGCACCTAGGAAGGTGTGCAACTCATAATGGGAACTCAACAAATTTGTTAAACTGAAATCAAAGGAAAAGCAGCACCAGAACAAAAATGACAGCTATTTAGGGGTATTCACTGGTTTTCAACTGCTGAAAAGAGAACAGCTGCAAGAAAACTATTGTATGCTGAGCCAAACTAGCATTAAAGTTGAAGGGCAAAATAAAATCACTGACATGCAAGGACTGGAAAGATTACCAACCACAGACCCTCTCTAAGCAGATACACTCGAGAATTTCTAGCGAAAGAAAAAAATGAAGCTAAGAAAGTGGTCGATAAGTAACAAGAAAGTGTTAAACAAACTTGTAAAATTATAAGTTAAATCTAAAAAGTTGTTGATAGCACAATGGAAAAAATAATTAATAGAACTAAACTAAAACTAAAATCTCAAATGATCTTAACATAGTGGCTTTGGAATGGGGGGATAGGATATGGGGAAAGTGAAAGTAGACTAATTTGGAATTGTGTCAAATCAATAGGTAACTATCCAGGGAGAGTATAGAGATGTTGACTAATACCAGATATTCATAGAAAAATATATGCTTAAATGTGTGTTAAAATTTAAGGATAATCACCAAGAAAAAATAAAAATAAGATGTATAATGTCCAACGTTCTCGAGAAAAAATTCAAAGTATTTAAATGTAAACAAATGGTAAAAAGGGAAGACTAACAGCTTTGCTTAAGACTAGGATAGATGGGCTGGGCACGGTGGCTCATGCCTGTAATACCAGCACTTTGGGAGGCTGAGGTAGGCAGATCACCTGAGGTTGGGAGTTCGAGACCAGCCTGACCAACATGGAGAAACCCTGTCTCTACTAAAAATACAAAATTAGCAGGGCGGGTTGCACATCCCTGTAATCCCAGCTACTCAGAAGGCTGAGGCAGGATAATCGCTTGAATCCAGGAGGCAGAGGTTGTGGTGAGCTGAGATTGCACCACTGCACTCCAGCCTAAGCAACAAGAGCGAAACTCTGTCTCAAAAAAAAAAAAAAAAAATTAGGATAGATGGAAAACATAAAATAAGATTGTGGAAATATATCCAATTATATTAGTAATTACAATATATGTAAATGGGTTAAATTTGTATGATTATTTGACAAAAACATTAGGCTTTACCACTAGGAGGTAAGCGCTATGAGGTCTCAGATCATGTTTTATATTCTCTTTTTCTGTCATTGTCCTATCATATACATCATATATCATACAATGATGAGAGAGAGAATACAAGAAATATCTTATTGTGGTTTTAACCTGCATTTCCTGATGACTAGGAAATATTAATATTTATATTGTATATATTAATATTTGGCCAATGCATTTATAAAAAGTTGAATATCAATATTGAAACATTAATATTAAAATAATATTAAATATTCAACTGCTTTTTATAATTTTTTCGAGACAAAGTCTCTGCCACTCAGGCTGGAGTGCAGTAGTGTGACATCAGCTCACTACAACCTCCGCCTCCTAAGTTCGAGCAATTCTCCTGCCTCAGCCTCCAGAGTAGCTGGGATTACAGGCACCCGCCACCATGCCCAGCTAATTTTTGTGTTTTTAGTAGAGATGAGGTTGGACCATGTTGGCCAGGCTTGTCTCAAGCTCCTGACCTCAAGTGATCCACCTACCTCAGCCTCCCAACCTACTGGGATTACAGGCGTGAGCCACCATGCCCAGCTCCCTTTTTGTAAATTTATTGTCCAATCAAATATCTACTTTTGTGAAGTACTTGTTTAAATTTAGATTTATTTTATAACAGGTTGTTTGTCTTTTCATTAATAATTTGTGGAAATATTATATATATTCTAGATACATGTACCAGGAAATTTTAACACAGATTTCTAAATAACTTCTGGGTTAAAAAGGAGATCTTACTGAGATTACAAACAATTTGGGACTAAATGAAAATGTGAGCACAGCACTTAAAAAAAAACTACACTCAGAGGTTGTATACCAAATTATATTCAGAGGACATTTTACAGCTTTAAACGTCCTAATTTGACAATGAGAAACGTTTATAAAAATGCATTAAACTTATGCATTAAGAAGCTAGTGACAAATAATAGGGTAATCCCTCACCAAAAAAATAGAAAGAATACATAAACATATGAAATGCAGGAATTAATAGAGTAAAAGCAAAAAAGAAAAATTGATCAAGGCTGCAATTATGAAAAAGGAGGACATTCACAAAACAATGTTAGAAACAAGAAAGGAGACTAAGATCCTGTTAGGAGATTTAAAACATTAAAAGATATCATGTTCAACTTCATTACAGTCAATTCGAAAATCTACATTAAAAAATGGATAAGTTTCTAGGTAAATATAAATTCTAACACTGATTGAAAAGAGGTAATTACAGAAACATTACAAAGTTAATCAAAGCTAGCCAGAAGGCTCAGATCACCAATAACAGATAATTTGGGGACTGTATCACTTCTTTCAGAACATAGAATAAAATGAGAAGCTTCTCTACTCATCTATGAGGATTGCATAACCATATACCAAGACTAAACAAAGGATAATGTGGGAAAAGAAAACTGTACATCAATCACATTCCTGAACAAAGGTACACAAATCCTAAATAAAACATTAGCAAATTAAATTCTTTTGTACATTAAAAGAATAATACATCTTAATTAAGTAGGGCTTATCCTTGGAATGCCAGCATTTTTCAACATTAGGAAATCTATCAATGTAATTCATTTGATCAAGAATTAAGAGGATAAAATCATTACATCATTTTGATAGATTTTGAAGAAAATTTTAATGAATTAAAGACCCATTAATGATTAGAAAACTTAAAATAGAACTCAAAATGAAAACAGCTTTATTTTAATAAAGGAAAGAAACCCTATGCAAATATCATACTCAATGGTGAATCACCAGTTCGAAATCAGAAACAAAGACAATAAGGACACACTATTATTGCTCAAAATCCTCACTAATGGTATAAAATAATAAAAAGAAATAAAACATAAATGTTGAACAGACAAAACTGTTTTTACTTGCAGACGTGATAATTTTCTATTTAGAAAATCCATGCAAATCAACTGAAAAATGATTTCAACTAATAAGAGAATTCAGTAAGTTGGCCAGACACTATACCCAATTAATAAGCAATTGTGAAAATGTCATGAGGAAAAAAAGATGACATTTACAAAACTGTAAGCTACCGAGGAATAAACTTAATAAAAAAAAAGTAAGACCTACATGGAAATAAATCAGAAATGATTTTCTAAAGATTTAAGGACACCTAAAGAAGAATTACTTAGGTATCAATGTACTTAGGAATTCTATCTGGGTGAAATTGGTCCACATTGTAATATACAACCATTGACTTCCTATGAAGACCACGAGTTTACTTTTCCTCTTATAAATTTGCCAAAATCTAAAGTAACAATTCCATCTACCTGTCAAAATTAGATATTTTTTGCTTTAGCCCCTTATCCTGATGATCCAAGCTGTTGTATTTTTATTTGTTTTGATTTGATTTGCTAGGTTTTGCAGAACTGAAAGGTGTCCCTCAAAATGTCCTCTAACCAAGTAGTCACTGGTCAGTTACAGCATGTCATGCAATTGTTCTAGTTTCTAGAAAGAAAGAATGGTGGAAGGGTGAAGACAGCTCTTGGCTGGTCTTTAGGCAGCAGGGAAATATAGATTGGCTACAATATGACTTGGTAATGCCAGTGATCCTGGGAACCATGGATTTAATGCTATCAAAGAATACAGGGGGTTTAAAGGAATCCCTATTCTCTGGTTATGCTGAGATAATTGTCTCAGCATCTCTTGTGGACTGTGTGTGCATTTTCTCTGTTACAAAGAGAGGCTGGCACTGAGAAATGCAGCTATCAAGCTCTCATGGTTTATACATATGTGCCATATATTTGAACCTAGCCTTGCAGACTAATCAGGGCCTAAGTATCATGTCAGAGCTGGGAACTCCAAGATATCAGGACAGGAGATTTTGGGAGTCCATTTTCACAAGGGGCTTTGAAATTTTGAGAAAGAAACAGTCAAAGAGACTTTGATGTTTATGGCACTTGGAACACTGAGAATCATGCAGCTGAATACAGAGAGAAGATGAATGCGGATCCCAAACTTTGAAGTTTAAGTGTTAGGATAGAGAAGTTTACCGATAAGTTAGTAGCTTATCTTGAGTCAGGAGGAAGTCACAAAGACATGCACCTTTTTAAGGCTGGGATGACCTGAAAAAATCGTGGTAAAATAAAGCACTCTAACACCATAACTCCGGATTCCAGGAGGAAACTACCAAGTATGTGGTTGTAGGATTGCCGCTTTATGCTTGCTTCTTCATTTGTTGGTTTGTCCAGGGAATGGTGATGGCATGTCTACCCAGTTCCAGTCCTTAAAGCACAGTTCAGGCTGATAAGTCTAGAAATAACGTCCTACCAGGAACAGTTACAGCTGCTTTGGTGATTTGTCCATGTCTGCTAACCACATTTCTCTACACTGATAATGGAGACTTTGTAGCTAAGGTGATCTTCAGTTGGGGATAAGAGGCCAGGACCTCATTCTTGTTCATTGCCCTTCTCCCAGTTCCACTCCTACCCTGAGAGTGAAGCATGAAAACACCTGCCTACCTCAGGCTCATTTTGAGTGTGGCAGATGACAGGCAGCAGCAGTAACAGTAGTAGGTAGATTTCTGGTTTTAGAACAAAAAACAACAAAATATCCTGTTTGACTAAGCTGGAAGGAAGCTGGCGAGCTCTGGAACAGGTGGGCTGTTAATTTTCCTTCTTTATACTCAGTGAACTGGGCTTTTGTGTTCTACTCCACGAATCCCGCATCTCCTACCTGGTTTGGTGTAGTGAACAGCCCTGTCTGACACCCAGGCAAGGGTTTTTTTTTGAACACCAGCAAGCCAGGCACTGTTTCTGCTCCATTTCAGGTTTTGCATCTGATCTCAAGTTCACTGTTTAGCTTTTCCTTCAGTCAAGTTAGGATAATGACATGTATTTTCTTTGCTTGAAGATACTTTGCATCCTGTGGGGAAGGAGGCTGAATAAGTTAGTTTCAAAATATGATGAACAGGTCCATGCAACAAACGGAGGAGCCCATTATTCAGCTGTCCAGATTACTTTTAGGTAAAAGAAACCACAGCCACAATCTCTCAAGTGGAGACTTTAAAGCAATAACATCCAAGCACTTAGGTATTTTAAAACCACAATTTAAAATTATAATCATATTAAAAGAAGAACAGGTTTGGCAGTAATGAGTTGTTTTTTGTTTTTTGTTTTTTTCAGAATTCTTATTTTGCATACGACCCTTAATGCACCTGCCTCACCTTCTCTTTGGAATGTAAATTGTCAGATTATTCATGGGTTTTTGACATAAAGTTCATTTGGCTCTGGCCACCTTGGAAAAGGGAGACTTGTTTAATTTTTTTTTTCTTTTAAGTTCTACATGCTCTCTGGGGCATTTGGAAAGGGTGGTTGAGTAGAATTCGGTATATTTGTAAGACTTTAAAAAACATCATAGGATGAAAAGGAAGGCCACAAAAAGGAAATACTCTTTGCATAAAATTGACGTTCCTGACTTTGCCAGATTTTGTTCCAGAGGTTAATAACCTTCTGTTTCAAAACAGGAAAGAAGCTGAATCACAGGGAGTCACCTCCACATGGGCTTTGCTAGATAATTATTCAGCTGACAGTTTAGAGAGCTTTATAAACCTTGCTTCATGGTCTCTGAAGACTGAATTCATTATGTCTTAAACCAAAAAAAAAAATCCCATTGGCATTTTCAGATCTTCATACTTTGTTTAAATATGTGGTTTACCTGTTTAAAGACTTGGCAAAGAGGATTAAAAAAAATGCCTTTCTTAACAGTTACATCTCAGACTTTAATTATTCCTATTTTTGATCTTCTAGCTGTAGATCTAGAATTAAACAGTCTTCCTTTAATGTGGGTAGCTGCTTTAAAAAAAAAGAAAGCGTTTTTCAACTTGTAGACTTAAATTTTTTTGTCTGTATGAACAGCTTGGGTGGAGAGAGAAAAGAAAGTGCCAATTTATGGCCTTTTTTTTTACTGGGAAGCCGATGGGTAACTTTTTGGAAATGTCTGGAGTATCTTGTGCTATACAGACTGGTAAAGGCAAGAGGAGTGCTTAGAGTTGCCCATGTCTCTCACCAGAGCTTTACATGAAGATGGACTTTGCTCCCAAGAGGCTGTGTGGGCCGGGAGGGCTGAGGTCTGATAGGGAGAGGGTATTGTGTGGTGCTTGTAAGTTTTACCTAAGTGGCAAAAGAGACAATTTTACCTTAGAGAACTCTCTTAACTCATCTCCCTTGTTGTTGTAGCTTTAAAAAGATAGCTGTTGAGGGGAAATATTTTAAAAGCCCAAAGCAGTCTCCTAGGCACCAGCCATATTTAGGGAGAATTAAGAACATAGCAGAGCTGCCCTTTTCCTTGGGTGATATTGGTGGGGTTGGCATATATGAGTATTTGGGTTTCTTATAGTTAAGTTTATATCTGTTTGTAAAATGTGAATATGTATTTCTCTCTGTGTGGGGAAGGGTGGATATACAGAAATGTGAGTAAACAGATAGTTCCAGAAAAAGAGGAACTGTCCCAAGAACAGGAAGGATGGAGCCACTCTAGGATCACAATAAACAGACAGGAAGAGAGTCCAACTGTGTGTTGCAAGATGATGGATTAACTCAATGTCCTGAGCAAAGAGCTGACTGGCCAGTCTCTATCCCCTCTCTTTTGAAAGATGAAACCCCTGAAGAACCCTGCTAATTATGAGATGTCACTCAGGCAAAAGGAAGCAATAATAGAAGAGTCAACACATATGCTGCTAACTGTAATCCAGACACTGTTATGAGTGCTTTACCTGCATAAATTCATTGAATCCTCACAACATCCCTATTAAGGAAGAGTGATTTTTACCCTCATTTTACAGATGTGGACCCTGAGACAAGTGATAGAGCAGCATTTTAGCTCAGATAGTCTAAGACCAGAGTCCATGCTATTAATGACTACAAGTCTAATAGTAAGAAAAAATTAAGTAAACAGCAAGTCAAGGTGGGAAATGCTGTGACAAGACTCGAAGGACATCAGATGGAGCAGAGGAAGTCCCACAGAAGGAACTGGAGATATTCAAGAGACAAGGAGACTTTCTCTGTGTGCTCCCAGAACCAGAATCCCTACTTAGTCCCTGCCAGATTCCAGCTGGATGTGGCCTCTCTCTAGGGGCAAGAGACAGCCAGTGGGAATCCTGGGAAAGTAGTTCCTTCTCTTTTGGCTCCAACTCACTCCCAGCCTGACTACATGTGTGCAACTGGGACATGCACCCCCTGCCGGTGTTGGATTTGGAGTCTCTCAGGTACTGCCCATGGTGCAAGTTGAAGATAGGTCCTAGGAGAGGATGAGCTGCCTGCTTGTGGTTGCCATTGATGAGGAGATACCAAATGGTTAACGGACTTGCCTACCTAAGCCATCAGGTCTGTGGAGAGAAGCGCAGTGAACCCAGTAGCAACAAATACTTACCTACAGAACACTGTCCCCATCATGACCCTAGGAAGGCTTTTACCTTCTTCTCTTTATAAAGAAGGACATGTAGGCTTGGAGAGGTTCAACAGCTTACCCACAGTTCTGCAGCTGCCAAACAACAGAGCCAGAATGAGTGAATCATGACTGCTCCCTTGAACTGCCTAGTTCACCCACAGGTGCCACACTAAGACCCAGGCTATTCTTCTTTGCATGACATTATACAACTCCTTCTTTTCTTATTAAGCTTGGGTGCATTTGACTGCCCAAACTCTAACTAAAAGTTATTTTATGTTTCACATGGAACACTAATGAACATAGGTGTGTTTAAAATTATCAGAGCTTTGAGGAAGGTGGCAAAAATGACTCATTTCTCACCTCTATCTACAAATGGCAGGGGTGGTACTTTGGGGCTTTGGAGTGAAGTGAAATCACAGTTGCAAAATTCAGAGGTGTTGGCTTACAACCAGGGAACTGGTTAATGCCCACTCCAAACCAGAAAGTTCCACAGCCCCTACTCCTTCTCACAGATGAGACATGTAGGTCAAATCAAAACTTAGCTCTGGTGTTACCTTGTTCTCATGGGAGAATTTCAGGGGGCAGATAAAGCATGGGTTTTAGGATCCTTGGGATACAACATAAGAACTACACATTACTAAATACTTTCTACATGCCTTTTCCTTGGCATGAATTATCTCATTGAATTTGTACACCACACTTAGGAAGTGAAGACTTTTCGTAGGCCCATTTTATAGATGAGGAGACTAAAGTTAAAGTAGATGAAGTAACTTATTCAAGTTATGTGACCCCAGAGCTTAAGAGGATAACTGTTAGAAATATTCTCTCTTCCACTTTGATTACCTTTGTGATGGCTAATACTGAGTGTCAACTTGATTGGATTGAAGGATGCAAAGTATTGATCGTGGGTGTGTCTGTGAGGGTGTTGCCAGAGGAGATTAACATTTGAGTCAGTGGGCTGGGAAAGGCATACCCACCCTTAATCTGGGTGGGCACCATCTAATCCACCTGCCAGCATGGCCAGGATATAAGCAGGCAGAAAAACATGAAAAGGCTAGACTGGCCTAGCCTTTCAGCCTACATCTTTCTCCTGTGCTGGTTGCTTCCTGCCGTTGAACATCAGACTCCAAGTTCTTCAGCTTTGGGTCTTGGACTGACTTCCTTGCTTCTTAGCTTGCAGATGGCTTACTGTGGGACCTTGTGATCACGTGAGTTAATACTACTGAATGGACTCCTATATATATATATATATACACACTCATGCAATCATATATATATATTTATATATATCATAAATCATATATAATCATATGTTTATATAAATCATAAATATATATATTTATGACTGTGTGGGTGTATATACATATGGATACATATATACATATACATATACATATATATATATATACACACACACACACATGTATCCTACTAGTTCTGTCCCTCTAGAGCACCCTGACTAATACAACGTTACATTACACGTACCTGTTACACTGGATGGAGTACTTGTGGTCTGTGGTCTAAAGGGAAACCTGATTCTGCCCTGTTTCTCAGGCTCTTGAACCTTGGCCTCTGAGGCCGTGGGAGTCCTGAAGAGGGAGCTCACTCAGCCCCAAGAGGAAGGAAGAACCTCATCATTTCCCCAAATGGAGCCTCCCACTTCCTCACCTCCAAATGGATTTGGAAGAACTCCTGGGTTTGTTTGGCTTGGAATTAAGGGTCTGAAAGATAGAAAATGATTTGGGGGCTGTATAATTTCGAGTCTGGTCAGGGGCCCCCCACTGTGGGTAGAATATATTTTTAAAGGCCAACTCTGACTGACTGGGTGGAACCTTCAGTTCTTTCTGTGGCTAAAGGAAAAGCTTTGTGAGCTAGAACTAGCCACGCAGGAATATGATGTCAGGTGCAGTTTCCCCCACAGGGCAAAATTGTAATGCAGAACATGGGATTCAGTCAAATATATCCACTTCTACAACTTGCCTGGAGTTCAGGGCTAAACATGAAGACAAGCAGCCTCTAAGTTTTCTCTCCAAATCATGGTGCAGCATTTTGGAAGTGAGCTAATCTTTAGAGACAGATGATTTGATAAATGCAATCTCTTTATTTTGTTCATTTTACAACTGAGGATACTGAGATGTGGGGGCTTGGCTTTTCCAGGGTCATTCCTTGAGTGACAGGTCTGGGACTTGAACCCATGTCTCTTTAACTCCCTTGTCCAAATCCCAACAGTTGCTTATGTCCAATGGCTCACTCATGCCTTTGTGTGCTTGATGCTCTCGCCTAGCTCAGGGACATTGGGCAAATCCATCCTCATAGTCTCTCTTCTCAGAAGAGAATATGATGTTCGGGCTGTTGTGTAGGCTTAAAAAATGATTAGTGTCTCATAGGTGGGCGTTGAAACACCTAGTTCCCTGCTTCCATGAAAATAAAACAGAAACTTCTCTTGTTGCAAATCTTTCCAAAAATGTGCAGCCACATCCATGCCTTAGTAAGTAGAGTTTAATGAGCATAACATTTTCACATTATTCAAGGTGCACAATACCTCAAGGTCATCATCCTAGAGGTCTCTGTGTGCAGCTTATAAGTTATAACCTAGTTTGACATTTTTAATTGAGTTGTCATTTGATTTTTTTGTGTTTATAAAAGTAGAAAGTAAAATATCTGGTTAATTGAGAGGTATGGGTTTGTTAAATCCTTCTGATTAGTTGAGGTCTTTTCACAGTATATGGACTGCTCAATCTTTGTCCTACCAGCCTCCTCAGACAAGTTGCAAAGAATATTTATTGACATAGACTTTTTGATATTTATAAAAATACTGTGCATTCTCTTTAGCCGAGGCCATGTCCATCGTAAATCAAACAGGAAAAAGATAAAACACCTAAGAGACTGACACCTAGCCTAGAATATGAATCTCCCTGACTCTCCAGCATGCTCTCATCTTTTGTCAGGTTCTGAGAGGCTGACGGAATCAGGCAGAAAAGGATTTTGACCTCTTCCCAGACCGGGTCTGCTGTGGTGCCCAGTGTTGCTGGCCCTGCCCAGGAGACCTGAGAGCTGCCTGGCATTACTTCAGCTTCTCAAGTTTCCATATGGACAGCAGTTCCAGTGGGAGGGATCGGACACCTGTTTTTCTCCCTCACAGGCAATCAGGTTCCTCAGTCTGTAGAAAGGCACTGCCTCTCTAGCTCCCTGTATCCTCCTCTCTGTGCCCGGTGATTGTCTCATAAATCAGAGCTTTTGTCTTCCTTCCTTTAATCAAATAGAACATCAACAATTAAATGTATTCTTAATGTAATCACTCTTTTCTTGTTAGGCCCCGGGAAGCAAGTCTCCTTAAGATGTCTGTTATTGTTTTTCCAGGCTTGTTTTCAGGGAAGGGACAGAGGCCTTTTCAAGCTAGGTTAAGTAAAGGGGAATTCATGTTGAGATGGATGTGGAGCAATGAAAAAGGCCAGAGGCTCCTGGAAATCCTAGAACAGAAAGCAAGGTATAGCTGGGTCACCTGAAACTAGAAGAGGATTCAAGGGAGCAGGGGGCAGGGGCTCTAGCAGCCATGGCCGGAGATTCTAGAAGATCTTCACTCATGTGCTCACTATTAAGATGGAACACCTACACTCAGCATGACGTCCCCTCTCTCACTCCCAGTCACCATTGACTCCTTGTGCTTCCCACTGCTCCAGCTCACCCTTAATTTTGGCCTCTTTAGTTCTAGGTTTACTTTTGCCAATAGGAGATTCTTTTCTGATTAATCGTTCACATGATAGGGAATTTAATTTGTTCAGTTCTTTATCCTCCTCCTTTTTTTTTTGTTTGCTTGTTTTTAAATGTGTGTGTCACGAGTCATTGAAAGTTTTCAATTGGTTCATTGTGAGTTAGGTCTACAATCCCTGATCCAATGAGCTGTGTGGGTGGGGTGTGGATGGAAAGGAATGGGTCAAAATTAGACCACCTAAACAGCAAGGGCTTTACATGGGCCAGATTTCCTTTGCCTAAAGTGTGATCCAAGCAGGCACCACACACCCGTCAATATAGACAGCATATATGGGCATTAGAGAGTATTTTTAGAACCATAAGCTACCCATAAGCCACCATTTCCACAAAAGTCCTGGTTCCATAGGAAAACCTAGGAGAAGGAGAAAAATAACACTCCAACATACATAAATAACTCCGATGGTCCAGCATACATTTTCAATTCCAGGACAAGGCCATGGACAATCTAGCAATTTCAGAATTGAATGAAAGAGAAATACCCTGTCAAGCCCTGCTCTGGAATCAAAACAATATGTCTTCATCATGTATGTCCGTGCGCACAGACACACACGGTGGGAGACTGGGTGCTGGGACGATGTGAAACTTCCTTGCAGCCTTGATGAAAAGTCTCCTGATGCCCCTTTCTTGTTGGCCTGAACCTGAGAAGCAGGCATGCAGCTCCTGCCCTTTCAGACAGAAATGCCTACAGAGCTGCTATTGTTTCCCTCAGGTAACAAATGCCACAAGCCTAGGCCGGCCAAGTTGTACTGAAACCCAGCTGCTTCCGCGCCATCAAATGAGAAGGGTGCTTTGTTTTAACTGTCACATTTGTTGTTTGGAAGGATGCTGTTTGACCACGGAGTTTTCTGGGTGACCTTTCATAAGAATTGCATGCAAATGTCCTGGCGAAAGGTTGCGGGGATTGGTCTGGAAAGGTTATCTCCATTCGTCTAGACCGCTGTCTTCACAAAAAGAGCAAGTGCAGGCAAGGAGCCCAGGGCTGGAGAACAGTGGAGGATAAAGGGCATCTAGTCTACCACCCTTCGTCCTCTGGGCCCCACCTGCAGGTGTCCACTTCCATGAGCTTCTGGCCTAGAATAACCCCGCTGGCTGAGGCACCATCCTGGGGCTTCCTGCAGATCGCCTGGTCCCTCAGAACAGGCTCTCTTTCAGCGGACGTAATAACATCCCCCAATTGCCCTGAGATAGGCCATGCGGAGGAATCTCCCCTCTGAACAACTGAGGCTCTGTTAATAGGTTCTTAAAGGGTTTTTTGAGGGGAAAACGTATTAATGGTTTGTCCTCCAAACAACCCTTTTTAAATAACTGCCCTTTCTGAACCAGAAAAAAAAAGAATCTTTCTGGAAACTAGGTTGAGATTAATGGGTTCCTTATTGCCACAGAGCAGTCTGATAACCCCTTATCCGCAGTCTCAGGCAGGCAATGGGTGAGAGATGGATTTTAAATGAGACATACTCAGATTTAGGCTGCTGAAGAATAAGGCCTATGCTGTGATTTATGCGTGTATGGGGTGGACTTCTTGCCCCTCTCTCCCCTATCCACTGACTCCTGGCAAAATCAGACTGTTTATTTTCCTTCTGGGTGGAGGCCTTGAGGCAGCATAATTAACCTCAGAGGTGGTGTCAGGCTAGGGTGGGCGAGGGGAAACAGGGAGCAGGAAGCCTGTGGACCCGGCTGAGTGTGAGGTGTGAGGAGATTGCAGCAGAGGAGTGTGAAGTTCTAATGAATCATGTCAGCTGTTGACTTGGGATTCACAACAAACAGCTGTGTGTGCAGGCCACGGCCTCGTCCTTGGGGAAGCAGGTGGTGGTGACGTGGGGGGATGGCCTGCCCCAACCTGCCTCCATTAGCTGTAATTATGCTTACGACTTCTGCTCGGGGGCAGCAAGCAGGGAGTGATCAAGGCCTGCCGTGACTACCAGGGACCCTTTTTAGATGGTGGTCAGTCAGCTGTAAAATGGGCCACAGTTGGCAACGACAGAAGGAGACTGAAGCCTGAAGCAATTTTTCTTTGAAATCAGCTTCTAA
This sequence comes from Homo sapiens, assembly GCF_000001405.40. Lineage (NCBI taxonomy): Eukaryota > Metazoa > Chordata > Mammalia > Primates > Hominidae > Homo > Homo sapiens. Next base: position 116,378,796 of record NC_000005.10, read on the forward strand.
ATTGCAGGGAGTCCAAATAAATTGACACATTTACTAGCTTGAGCTCCTTTCCCATTCTGACTTCATTGCCTCAGCCGGGCCTCTCCTCCGTGAAGCAGTTCTCAGAAGTGGGGGTGGGCTCCCCAGCACGGGGCAGGAGGAGGCTCTGATCTGTCAGGAGAGCAGTCACGGGCTGGACACTGAGGTGAAGATTTCAGTGTGCATGTACATTTCATTACCCACATTGATGAGTACATTTCAACTGTATAAACGGAACACATTTCTCACAAAAACTTGCAATCTACAAGGGAAATCTCTATTAAAAAAAAAACAGCAAAAAGGGACCAAGTGCTTATTCCAGATAAATACTACAGGTTCTCTCCCCAATCTACCCTCCTGCATAGAGAAAGCACCTTTTTAGGCAGCAAAATTCTCTTATCATTTAGCTGGTTTAAATTCTAGGATATTATCTTTGCTACTCAAAACTGAAATTAAATGACGGAAAGCCTCGTGGGTTTAACATTTGATTGGTTGCTTAGCATTTGCAGCGACATCTCCCTCAATAGAATTTTGTACAGCAGGCCTGACTGGGCAGACCTCAAGCAGTTAGGGAGGAACAGGTCATTGACAGTAGACTCATCTCTTTGCAGTGGAGAGCTGAGGGATGGAGCTGCAGGCACAGGCATGAATTCCGGCTGTTACGAATTCAAATCCCAGTTTGGCCACTTACGAGCTGGGTGACCTTAGGCAAGGCATTTCATCTCTGTAAGCCTCAGATGCCTCATCCATGAATGGGGATAATAATAACTCTCTAGTGGTGAGTTTGGGATTCCGTGATGGATGTAATAGTACTGGCATGTTGTAAATGATTAAGTGAGTGTCAGCTATTTTGAATCATTATTGAAAATCAACAGGAGCTCATTTTCCATTCACAATGCTGGGAGAGCTCAGGCAGTCTTTGTATCATCCTTTCTGTGAACCCCAACTTTGTCCTCTCATCGTCTGTGCAAAGCCTCAAAAACAGATGAGTTAGGGCCTTCCTGTTGCCCCCAATGTGCCTTTTGAACTCTGACTTCTGCTCCTTTGCCAGTGTCTTCCTCTTTATCTCTCTTCTTTCTGTGTTCTGGCATTGGCTGAAATCTCACCTCCTCTGGGAAGCCTTCCCTGAAGCCACCTGTAAGGATCTCTCCTTCTTTGGAATTTCTATAGTATTTATTAGCACTCCCTGCCACTTACCAAAATGTAACACTGTGCTGTTTATTAGCTTTAGATGAATTTAGATGTCACCTCTTAAGCCAGTTGACTATAATTTCAGAGCATGAGTGACTTTTACTGCCTCTTTGCATTCTGCTCAGTATCCAGCCCAGTGTTTGGCTCAAAATAGATGCTCAGTTAATGCTTGCTAATTCAGAGACTTATGTAAAAACAGACAGAATGGGCTGAAGACTTCAGCACAGGTCAGAGTTTCTTCTGATTATCTCTGGCATTGACTTATTCAACCAAAATTTACTCAGAATCTTCTAGGCATAGGGATATTTATTTAGGTCAGTATTTCTTCTGACCTTCATTAGGTCAGAAGAAATACTGACCTAAATATGATGCATGGTTCCTGATGAGCCCTGGCTACATGAGACATTTTGAATAAAATTTTGGAAGGTGGAGGTGAAGTAAGAACCATAGTTCTTAAGCTCTGAATGTGGGTGCAGGGCACCAAGCATATGTGGGTGCTGATCTGCAGGTGTTATAGGCCAGCACCTGCTTCTGCAGGTCTGCCAGCTCCCACCAGGTCTTCTTTTTTCAGCTTCTCTGAGTCCTGTGCCAGGTGATTATGCCATTATGTGGCAATGGGCACCAGGTTCTCCTGTAGGTCACCCATAGCACTGAGGTGGTTAGAGGCAGAAATAGGTTTCTGCCTTCCCTGGGTTCCCACTGTCATGAGAATCCTAGCTCATCCTTGCAAATTCCAGTTTGTCCTTGTTCTCACCCATATCCCACTCCCTTCTCAACTGACTGGCTGGCTGACCCATAGTGACTGCAGACTCTCAGATAACAGCTGCAAAAGCAACAGCCTGCATAGGCTGCCTCACCAGCATGGTCTGCCACTACCATTGCAGAAGGTCTGACTCCTTCCTGCAAGTGCTAAGCCTTTATTCTTTTTTTTTTTTTTCCTGAGATGCAGTCTTGCTCTGTCACCCAGAGCTGGAGTGCAATGGCACGATCTCGGCTCACTGCAACCTCCTTCTCCCGGGTTTAAGCAATTCTCCTGCCTCAACCTCTCGAGTAGCTGGGATTACAGGCATGTGCTACCATGCCGAGCTAATTTTTGTATTTTTAGTAGAGATGGGGTTTCACCGTGTTGGCCAGGCTGGTCTCTATCTCCTGGCCTTGTGATCCACCCACCTTGGCCTCCCAAAGTGCTGAGATTACAGGCGTGAGCCACCACGCCAGGCCAAGGGTCTTTATTCTTAATCATCCACAGTGCTTGTGCTTCTCTGATGAAACCTTGCGTGATCCAATTAGTATAGCAGGTAACATTGGTAGAATCCTTGTTATGTGCAGACTCCTACGTCCTGCCTTGTTTAAGAGAGCTTACATGCAAATGAGTGCAGTGGGAATCCTTAAATCCCCCACTTCAGGGGTTAGATCCAATCAGTATAGCAGTTAACACTGGTGGAGTCCTCGTTATGTGCAGACTCCAATGTTCTGCCTTGTCTAAGAGAGCTTACATGCGAATGAGTGCAGTGGGAACCCTTAAATCCCCCAGTTCAGGGGTTAGGGACTGAGGCACCAACCTCTCCCTGTTATTCCTGGGCTGTTCTGGTTAGGATTGAGGTGATGTCAACATGGCAGGATTTCTGCACATGACTACAACTGGAGAAACAACCTATTCAACACAAAATTGGGATGGCGAAGATGCAAAAGCGGCTTCAGATTGCCATGACTGGAGGTGAGAGATGTACATAGCAGTTTCTTTTCAGTTCAGCAGATATTTATTACCTGTCTCCTGTGAACTGGTGATAGGAAGAAATACCAGGGAATTTCATTTCCCAGATTTGGTGATGCATTTGCCTTTTTAAGGGACAGCAGCCCCCCTGGTCTTTGAATGATGTGGCCCAGGAGACAGCGAGGGGTGGCAAACATTTCCTTAGGAGTGGCCCTTTGCGAGGCAGTGCTGGAGGATGTTTCCATGCTGTGCAGGAGTAAAGGCTCCCAGCCATCACTGAGCAGCAAGGCTGCGTGGATCTAAAGCGGGATGAGATGAGGTAAAAACATCCAAAATTGAAGTAAAATATTCGACAATGTACATATTCATGTGAGGAAAACATGGGGACGTGGAGAAAGAAGAGGAACAGAAACAGCAAACCTCCCAAAGCACACTTTTATAGAGCGATAAAATGAAACCTCAGTGTCTGTCACCATTCAAAGTGCCATAATTTTATCATCCTTCCCACGCAATGCTGTGCTATTTTGAGTTCTGTTATTTTTTTCCTCTCTCACCTCAGTATGCCCAAGATGTCTGACAAACGAACGTGTAAGAAATGCTTTATTTTTCTCAGCAAGGATGGAGAATTTATTATGAGATGCACATCTCAGCGCATGCTGCCTCCTTCATGTCGTCATGCCCTGCCTGGCGATAGATTGCGGCTGAGAGCAGAAGGCCAATTAATTTGCCTGATACGGTATTGTGCCCAGAAACTGAAACCCTGTTGCTCTTTGCTAGTGATTCCTTTCCTTAGTCCCGGATCCAAGCAGAACAGAAGAATGCCAGCTACCCTTCTGCAAAGACAATATACCTCCCTTCTCTCTTACACACAGTGTGCCAAAGAGTTCTATGCTTTGCTTTGTCTAGTTTCCTTTGTTAAAAAAACAAGAGCAAAACAAAACAAAAAACCCTTGGAACTCTCTTGAGGACAAGGAAGGAGAGCCAGAGGAAGTGGAAGCATTTGATGTTATCTTATTACCATCTGTTCACCTAAGTTTGATATTTACTCAAATGAACAACTGAGAACCCATGTAAACCAGGAGACTGATGATCGTCCTCATTTATCCCACTCCTTCCCCCACTCCACTTTCTGACCAGGCCTCCTCTGTTTCAGGACCACTGAAACTGTAACACATGTGTGTATCTTCCCACTGTTGGCCAGGCCAAAGCTGCAGGCTAGGCTCAGGCAGGTCCTGGAGTTGCATTGCTGCTCTACCTACGTTGTCCAGGCTTGTGAGGTGCCAGCACAAGTGAGGTCACCCTGTCTGCAATGCTGGGGCTGAAACGGCCCTGAATTGAGCATCAGAGGCCACGTTGTTATTAGAATTGTGTTTTCAGCAGAGGAACAAGCCATTAAACTTAAGGAGATAAAGCTGCTAGCCATCTCCAGTAGAGAGTGCATTCACTGCAACTCACAGCTAGAGACATGGCCATAGACTTGTCAGCTTGAACAGCCAGCCATCTGCTAAGACCAAGTCATTTGTCTTTGCAACTTCATGACCCCTCACCTTAAAAAGGGAACTGAGCCAGTGTGAGGCATGGGCTTGGGTCTGTTCTAACTGTGATAATAAAAAGTTATGTTTCCCTGGGAAGGTTTTGAAGCCACAGCAAAAAGGTGAGTACCTGGGTTTAATTCTCCATTGCTAGGTGCCCCCAATCCCCCTCATTTGTTCTAGCACCCCAAGCAGATGTTCTTACAACCTGCCATGCATGTGCTTCTCTGTGGGGGAGTCAGACCTAAATGAGTCCTATCATGCTTGGAAGATTTATTTTACAACATAAATACATTATCCCCTCTCTCCAAACATGTTCAATCCTAGCTCACAATTCCCCTAAAACTCTTTTTGCTGGACATTTTACTGTTCGTGTAAGTGGCGTGCTTCTTTGTTACTTCTAAGACCACATCATTTCTACCTGGAAAGCTCATCTGAGAGTTCCAGTTTCCCAAACCCACTCATTCTTAAGGTTGAGCACAAATACCATGTTCTCCCTGAAGCCTTGCCTGACACCCCCGTGCCTCCATCCCCCTCCCCAGAGTATCACCTTCTCCTCTAGAGCTATAGCAATTTATTTTAGCCTGTTTTAGACATTGCATTCATTTCTGCGTCAATTAATGGTTGTCTAGTGATATGGTTAGGCTGTGTTGCCACCCAAATCTCATCTTGAATTGTAGCTCCCACAATTCCCTCATGTACTGGAATGAGGGACCCAGTGGGAGATAATTGAGTCATGGGGACAGATCCCTCATACAGTTCTCATGGTAGCGAATAAGTCTCACAAGATCTGATGGTTTTATAAGGAGTTTCCCCTTTTGCTTGGCTCTCATTGTCTCTTGCCTGCTGCCATGTAAGACATGCCTTTCACCTTCTGACATGATTGTGAGGCCTCCCCAGCCATGTGGAACTGTGAGTCCATTAAGCTTTTTTTTTTTTTAAAATAAATTACCCAGTCTCGGGTTATGTCTTTATCAGCACTGTGAAAACGGACTAATACATCTAGCTTCAGAGTATAGTGGTCAAGTATATGGATTCTGGAGGCAACTTTCTGGGTACACACCCTGGCCTAGGCATTTATTGTGCATCACTTTCTTTGTCTGCAAGATGAAGATAATAACAGTAACTACCACATGGGACTGTTGTACAAATCAAATGAGTAAAACCAAGCTGAGTATGCAGAACAGAGACTGGCAGTGCTCAGCAATGTTAGTAGTGGTTATTACTATATTAAGTATTATTCTTATTATTAGATATTCTTTAAATTTGTAGATGGTAGGGGCTCATCTTGTCTGTCTTTGTGCTCTACCACAGAGCACCTTGCATATTGATACATGTTTATAAAATAAATAAGTAGATAGCCAAATGATAAATAAGACTTCTATATTTTGCAAGTCAATCTAATTTTCCTCCATTAGTTTTGAGGTACAGGGAGCTTGCTAAAACCAATTTAAATTTCAGATGATACTATGACCACATTGTCTTAAATATAATACACCAGATGATCACCCTGTGAAGCAGGTTCACTGTGCACTGCTTACCAACTTGTCTGTATTCAGTAGGTCAAAACACCCCGCCCCCAACAAGTTACATGAAGTGAGTTTATTACTTACAGATAGGCAGCGAGACACAACAGGGGCCTAAGATTTACTGCCAGTCGGTCCCCCAAGGCTCAGAAATGCTCCAGGTATCCTGCCTGGGAGGAGTGGAGTCTCCACTTGCATTGCAGCTGAGGGACTTGGGACAGCAGCCCGCAGTGGGTTTTGTATCCCGGGTGAAAATGCTGAAGGTCATCCTGTTTTTAGGGGGTGCTGGAACACAGCCCAGGCTGTTCAGGCCAGTGCCCCCTTATTTCAGGATATTGCACTCACAGCACCATCTGTAGTTCTTCTTCTTCTTCTTCTTTTTCTTTTTCTTTTTGCTTTCTTTTTTTTTTTTTTTTTTTTGAGACAGAGTTTTGCTCTTGTTGCCCAGGCTGGAGTGCAATGGTGTGATCTCAGCTCACTGCAACCTCCGCCTCCTGAGTTTAATCAATTCTCCTGCCTCAGCCTCCTGAGTAGCTGGGATTACAGGGGCCCGCCACCATGCCTGGTTAATTTTTTGTATTTTTAGTAGAGATGGGGTTTCTCCATGTTGTTCAGGCTGGTCTCAAACTCCCGACCTCAGGTGATCTGCTTGCCTTGGCCTCCCAAAATGCTGGGATTACAAGCATGAGCCATGGCGCCCAGCCTGTAGTTACTCTTGAAAACTGCAAGCAAGAAAGAGGGAGAACTGGGTTGGTCTAAGGCCACCAGGAAAGCTGTCCTGTACTTTCCATCTCAGAATGTCATCTCATGCTATCACTGCACAAAGGCAATACTGATACCCTCTCACTGGCATTATGTGGAGATGGCATAAAGCCAGTCCTGGCCCACTAAGTCCGTTGCCCAAAGCAAACCTTCTAGCTATAGCCCAGTAATAAATAAATCACTGCTGGGCTTAGCCTATCTAGTAGTGTTGGCATCTGGCAATATTGCCTGGCTCACTGTGTAGAGATTGGCCAGTTAGGCCAGAGGTGGAGTCTGGAAGTAGAAGTTCAAGATATGGGAGCACCTTAGGTCTAGGAAGGGCCTTGGAGAAGCCATGGAATTTTCATCGTAGACATAGTGTGATGCCTCACATTTTGGGGCTGTCCCTACACAAGTACTGAGGATCATTTTGTAAAAAGATCTAGTTGTTTCTCTTAAGCCTGGTCAGGTTTCTGTCCTACCTCTCTGGAATTCTAGGGCAGGTGGGAGAAAATGTGTTGATAGAAAAAGAAGGGAAAGGGGTAGGGTGCAGAGGGAGAGAAAGGGAGAATGCTGTTGTTGGAGTGTTGGAGAGGAATAATCACAGAAAATTACCAGGAAGCAAAAGAAGAGATTTCAATTTTGATATATTTTTCTACTGTTGCTACCATGAACACAAGAACAATGGAACCTGTTTGAAATACCGATCAATTGAAGGAGGGTAAAGAAGGCATGCACCCAGAGAAGACAAGCTATGTAAGTGCTGGCCCAGACAGGCCAGTCTGCGGGGCAGAGTGCGGCTCTGGGTGGATGTGGGTGATGGAGGTGTCATGGAGCTGAGTTATACAGGGGGCACTCATAGTTCTTTTCTTTCTTGATGAAAAATTTGCAATTTTTACACCGTGGCAGAGCAAATGGAACTGTGACTTATGATTCACAATTTATGTAGTTTGACACCTCTATCATGTTTCTTGAGGGCACAAAGCTTTATTGCACTCCAAGAAGCTGCAGAGGTGAAAGAAGGAACCGTGCCCACTTCATCTCTGAAGTCATGTTTATGGCAGGTGTTTGTTTATTTATTTAAATTCATTCATTCAACCAAAAAGCATTCTTTGAGCAGGGTTTGAGTCTGGGGTTGCTTACAGAACTATGCAGGAAAGAGCGTGGACTCATGAAGTCGACTCAGGAAGGGAAGTCTTGAATAAATTATGAGTCCGAATCCCACCCAGCAATAGCCTAGACATGATTGTAATGCAGCATAGAATTTCTCTATTTTGTGATTTATTTGACTTCAGTTAATAAGCACCAGGGAAAAGCAAATGTGTGCGCTTCATGCTGAGATGACTGTCTCTATGAGGGAATCCAAACAGAGCTCAAAGCAGCAGCGAGCCAGCCCAGAGGCTTCTTTTAGTCTGCTTTCAAACTTCTGAATACAGCAGATTTCTGTTGAAAACAAATATGATTACATTATTTTAAATAACTTGAGGACCAAGTAATATCTTGGCAGACTCAGTTGAGGTGTTAAGCACAAATGTCTCTCCAGCTAGCAATTAATTGCCACCCAGATCACGGGGGAAGTGGGGCTGCACGGAGGGGGCTGCTTCTGCGGCGGTATTGCCTGTGCGTAGAATCCAAGAAGGCAGTGTCCCTCGAGGTTTCAGGGCAAGGTGTGGCTGATGCCAGCCTGACTTCTCTTCCTGCTCAGCTGTGGCAGACAGAGGACAGTGGAAAGGGAATTGTGTCAGCAACTGAGCTGTGTGGCAGCCTGAATATTCCATGTGGTAATAACCTCCCTGGCCAGGCCCTTTGCTCCCTGGCATTGGAAATCAAGGTTGCATTGTGTTGGGAGCTCACAAGTTGGAGGCTCCATATTATGGGGGAGGGGTGCCAAGTCCCATATCATGGCCTGAGGTCATCCCAGATAATACTCTCTGTGATGGCCTAAAACTCCTCATCCATGATCCAGGGTCCCCTTCCTTGCCTGAGATAGTGTCAAAAAGGGCCCTCTCTCTGCCTAGCCAAGGCCACCTGCATTTCTTTAGGGCTGCAGAAATCCTGCTCACAGCCCAGCCCATAGAAGATCCCAGAACCCCCATGACCACCCTACCCCTAGCCCATCAACTAACATGACCCTCAGGAGGAACCAGACAATCCCAAGTAAAAGGTAGCTAGACTGTTTCTTATTTATTGGATGATAGACAAAGTTGGGAGTGCAAAATAGAGGGGATTCTGGCAATGTCTGTCTGCATTTTAGAGGAATTTACCCCGGACTTAGCAACCCCATTTCTGGGGATCTATTTACAGACATACCTGTGCATGTATTCAGTATGTAAAAGGCTATTCAATGTGATATTATAATAGTCAAAGATTAGAATCAAACTGAGTACCCATTAATAAGGAACTGTTTAAGTAATGGTATGTCTACACAGTGGAATACTATGCTGCTATAAAAATTAACGAGGTAACTCTGGATGAATTGATATGGAAATATCTCTAGGATATCGTGTAAAGTGAAAAAAGCAAGGTGCAGGACAGCATATATTGTGTGCTGCTTTCTATAACAGTGTTTCTCAACCTTTTAAAAAATCATTATGACTTCCCTAAGAAGCCATTTTAAGACATTTTTCCTAATCCCCACCCTCCCATGAAATTTTAATACCATGCATATTTGTTTATGTAGTATATGTGTAATGTGTATCTGTGATTTATACATAAAAAGAGTAAGAATTTTTCACTTCCAGAAATCAATTATCACCATCTTGGGGGTGATATTACCCCCATTGAGAATGACTGTTCAATAAGAAAAGGAGAAAATAAGTATATTATATAACAAAATGGAAGGATACATAAGAAATTAATAAAATGGAGGGGAGAGAATGAGGAGCTGAAGGCACACGTGTGAGCAAGATTTCTCTATGTATTCATTTTTATATGATTTTGGTTTTTCAACTATGCAAGTTCATTGCCTATTCAAAAAATTAAAGACATATAAATTCACTTTTTCTAAAATAAAGTGAACAAATAAAACAGACATCTGAGGAACTCCCAAACAAAACAAACAAGCAAAACCCGCAGCTCTATTAATGCTCTCCTTCAAACCATGCAGACCCCCTGCCCAGCTTGGAATCCACCTTCTGTTCACAGCTGTGCAACCCGACCACACCCAAGGAGGGGACCTCTGCTCTCTAACAAGAGTCCCCCCATGTTGATTTTTCAGCACCAAGGGAAGCTGAGAACACATCCTGCACTGTTAGAAGGGCTCCCCTGATGTGGGCTAGTTTGGAAGACCGTAGCCTGCGTTTTAAAATCATCAGGGTGTTTCAAAGCAGGAGGAAGAGGCTGCAAAGGAGCTGTGAGGAAGCGAGTGCCAGCCCTTCCGAGAGAACGGGAAATGAGGGAGGAACATGCTCGTGTCCTCTCTTCCTCCCAAGGGCACACACAGGCTCTCATTAGGGAGGGACTGGGATTCTGGTAGTGAGAGGTACAAGGGCAGAGATCCTGGGCCTGCTCAGATTGCATGTCATTCAAAGTCAGCTGGCCAAGTTGGCTTCCTCCAACAGAGAGTATTTCCTTTTTCCCGAGAGCGCACTCCAGAGGCGGAAAGGCCAGGCTGAAGGTTGATTAGTAGACCAGAAACTCCATTGTGGGATTAACAAAACAAAGCAAAACAAAACACTGGGGCTCACACTTCAATGTATCACCAACTTTAATTTGATTGTGTAATGAGGCATGATAAATAAGATTTGCATGATTGCACCCTTTCCTTTGCTTAAATATCAAACATTGCAATGAATATTTGGACTAAATGGTTGTCTTTGAAGTGAGTTTTGTTTTTAAAATGCTTCAATAAGTTACCTAGAGAGAAGAGAGTCAGCACATTTAAGTCAAGTCCCCCAAACTTCAATTTCCTCATCTGTAGAATGGGTATAATAATGGTTCACCATAACTACAGTTGGTCTCCTTCCATCCGGTATCTGTGGGTTCCAATTGTGCACTGAAAATATTTATTAAAAATGGATGGTTGCATCTGTAGTGAACATGTAAGACTTTTTTTCCTTGTCATTATTCCCTGAACAATACAGTATAGTAATTGTTTACATTGCATTTACATTGTATTAAGTATTAGAGGTAATCTAGAGATGATTTAAAGTACATGGGAGGATGTGCGTGGTTTATATGCAAATACTATACCATTTTATATAAGGGACTTGAGCATGCATGGATTTTGGTATCCTCAGGCAGTTTTGAAATCAATTCCCCATGGTTACTGAGGGATGACTGTACATGAGAATGCTGCTGTAAAGAGTGAATGATATAAGAAATGTTTCATAAGAGTAAGATATTGTCATTGTTGACATTGCCATTTCTAGGAGGGGGTGGGAACTTTGCTTTTTAGAACTCCATAGATGACACTCAACAAACATGTTGAGCTGAATTGTTGAAATAAATTGAAATCTTTCTGCTCCATTGAGGGAGATTCTAGAACAAATGTATCTCTTCAGTAACGTGAATTTGTTTCTCAACTTTAAAAAAATATGGAGAGATATCCACATGGATATCCACAGATACGCTGTATCTCCATGTGGAGGATTTAGATATCCAGGGGTTGCATGGAAAATGGCAGCTTTTATTAATGCTTTTGGTGCTGGATTTTATGCCCTGTTGCCACTATCTTTCTGTTGGGCCTCAGGGTTGTCACTTAAAAGTACTGTTTTCTCTCCTCTTTCCCTCCCTAGGTGTTGCTCTTCGGACCACACACTGGGAAATGCAATTTGTCTTAGGAAGCAGATTGTCTTTTTCCTGCTAGGCCACACCAACCCTGGGTTCTAGACTGTAAACACTGGGGTGCTTCTTTCAGAATTGCTTTGTCCTCTAGCATCATCATTTATATCTGAATTACCATCAAACCTGCCTACCCTACTACCTTGAGTTCATGGCAGAAGATTCATAGCTTTTCTGTGTTAAATTAAATTTTAAAAATGCTTATGATAGAAAGAAGTTTTCAAATAAGCGTGTAAAATAAACGTGAAAGAAATAGAAATTACTCATAATCCTACTACTTAGATATATAGAATGTTAATATCAGGTGTGTAGACATCTGTGTACAGTCATGTGCTACATAATTATGTTTTGGTCAGTGACAGATGGCATAAACAGGGTGATCCCATAAGATTATAATACTGTATTTTTACCATACCTTTTCTGTGTTTAGATATGTTTAAATACACAAATACATACCATTGTGTTACAACTGCCTACGGTATTCAGTGTGGTAACATGTTGTGTAGGTTTGTTGCCTGGGAGCAATGGGCTATACCATATAGCCTACGTATGTAGTAGGCTGTACATCTAGGTTTGTGTCAGTATAGATGACCTTTGAACAACTTGGCTTTGAACTGCTCATGTCCACTTACAAACATGGATTTTTTTTTCAATAAATCTCTCCTGCCTCCCTTTCCACTTCCTCCACCTCTTCCATCTCTTCCATCTCTGCTATCCCTGAGACAGCAAGACCAATCCCCACTTCCTCCCCCTCCTCAGCCTAATCCTTGTGAAGACTATGAGGATGGAGACCTATATGATAATCCACTTCCACTTAACGAATCGTGAATGCATTTTTTCTTTCTTATGATTATCTTAATAACATTTTCTTTTCTCTAGTTTACTTTGCTGTAAGAATACAGTATATAATACATGTAACCTACAACATATGTGTTAATTGATTGTTATTGGTAAGGCTTCTGGTCAACAGTAGGCTATTAGTAGCTAAGGTTTTGGGGAAGTCAAAACTTAGATGTGTATTTTCATGGGGGATTGGAGCCCCTAGCCCCTTCAGTGTTCAAGGGTTAACTGTACACTCTATGATGAACACAACAATGAAATCACGTAACAATGCATTTCTCAGAACATTTCTCCCTTGTTAAGAGACACTTGACTGTGTTCAGTTATATATATACGTGAGTAGATATACATATATATGTGTGTATACATATTTATATGTATGTGGAGAGAAATATAATGTATGTTTATGTATGTGTATATATATTTATGTGTGTATTTACTTATTTTGCTTTTATATGCAAATAGGATCACACAACACATACTGTTTTGTGATATGCTCTGTGCCTTTAAAACAACTTGATAATATGGCAAACAACTTTCCATATCAATAAATGTATTTCTTATCCATTGCTCTCAGCCTCCAAATTTAAAAATTTATTTTAATTTTTGACCAAGAGAAGCTGATATAATGAATATCCTTGCACAAATTCTTTGTACAGACTCTTAATTCTTTCTTTAGGATAAGTCCTGAAAGGTAGATTTACCCACTGGGTTGAAAGTCTGCACATGATAGCAAATACAGAGCATACCCCAATTTGTACTCTTACCAGCAGTGTATGATGGTGCCCCTTTGCCAATTAGCATTGGCTTTTATCTTTTTATCTAATCTTGCCAACTTGTATTTTTTAACTTTCTTTGTATGTGTGTAGGAACTTATACATTTTCTCATTTTTTTTCTGCAACATGCTTAATATTGTCCATTTCAAGGAGGGTATTTGTTATTTTCTTGTAGATTTGTAAGATCTCTTTATTCTTAACACATGTCAGTTGCTGTCTTAGTCGGCTCAGTCTGCTATTACAGACCATAGACTGGTCTATGGTTTAAATTATAAGCCATATACTAGGTGGCTTATAAACAGTAGAAATATATATATTTATATTTATTTTAAATGTTAAGTATATAGATTTTAAAAAACATATATACACACACACACACACACACACACACACACACACACACACACACACACACACACACACACACACTCTCTCACATTCTGGAGGCTGGGAAGTCCAAGAAGAAGGTGCTGGCAGATTGCTGTCTGGTGAAGGCCCACTTCCTGGTTCATGGGCAGCTGTCTTCTCCCTTGGTGGAAGGAATGAAGCAGCTCTCTGGGTTTCTTTTATAAGGGCACCAATCCCATTCATGAGGACACCACCCTCATGACCTAATCACCTCCTAAACGTCCCACCTCCTAATACCATCACACTGGGGGTTAGGATTTCAACATGAAATTTGGGGGATATAACATTCAGTCTATAGTAGTTGCCCAGTTTAGCACTCAGCATTGGCTATCCCTTCTGGCCTGTGTGTTCTGCATCCAGTCCAAGTACAACTACCAGACTAATTTTCGTAAAACTCTAACAAAAAGAGGCTGAATTTAAAAGCCTGCGATTTCCCCATAGTTTCACCCAAAGTTTTCTCTATGTTGTTTATTGGATTGCATTTGCTTTCCCATCTCAACTCAACCAGAAATTTCATTTTTCCCAGCCAATTAAAGCAAGGTCATTCCTACCCCTAAGTTTCCAATTCAGTTGTTCCCATTTCTCAAGTTCTAGATCAAATATCACTTCTTCCAGGAAGTTTCTTTGATTTTTCCAGCTCTCATTGTTCTCCCTTTGCCCTTTGAGCTCCTGGAAAATTTGCTGTCTCTATCACATATTTTAGCAGTTTGGCTAAATATTATTTTATATAATTTGTTCATTCATATGTATTTTTTCATTGATTGAAGAAGGACCCAAGGTTTTTTTTTGCATTTTATTTATTTTTTAATTGACAAAATTGTATATATTTATGGTATGCAATATGGTGTTTTAAAATATGTATACATTGTAGAACAGCTAAATTGAGCTAAATAGTATATGCATTATGTCACATATTTAACATTTCTTTTGTAGTGAGAACACCTCAAATCTACTGTCTTGGCTATTTTCAAGCGTACAATACATCATGATTAACTATAGTCACTATGTTGTATGATCAATCTCAAATCTTGCAGTAATATTTGCAAGGACAGTATTTTTAATATTCCTAAATGTCCTTTAGAGATTGAGGCCAAGATGATCAGTTGTTAACCTGACTGGCTAATTCACTGGTTGAGAAAGAAAGGCCATGAACAATATTTCTGTACTCCAAAGCAAAGCTGGAATGCATAACAATATAGAAGGTAACTAGCAATGATGAATTTTTTTACCTTTTTTTTTTCCGGCAGAACATGTACAACACCCTAGTAAATCAGAGAGCAAGATATTTGAAGGGAGATTAAAAGGATCTTCCTAATGGTATCTGATTCAGCTCCACATTGCATATGCTTCATAAAGAATCATATAAAAGTGGGTAATTCTTTGATTGTCTTTGTAATACTTAGAAGGAGATGTAGGTGTGGTTGGTCCATTGCCAGAAAGCAAGTTTGTCCATTCACCATTTATGAGTATTCATGGGGCCCCAAGAATTGTGGAGGGGCATGAGTATCCAGGTATCACACCAGGGAGATGCTGAGTATGTTGCTGTAAGAGGATTTGGGCTCCGCTTATTCACAATAAGTCATCTGCTAGCAAAACAGCCTTAAGGATATTGACTCCCTCTCAGGGGCAAAACTTTAAAAGGCTACTATGATAATGAAGGCTTTGAATATTTGCTCTAACTTCCTGTGAAGGGATGAATAGAAGAAGGAAAGAAGGAGAAGAGGAGAAAAGAAAGTCTCATTTTGCCACAGGACAGAAAAAGAATGTCTGCAGAGTCTGGGGGGATAGAGGGGGCAGCGTGAAGTGATATTAAGATGAGACCCCCAAGATACAAATCCTAAGCCTGAAGGCAGGTGGGGGCTCTGAGCAGTTTCAAACTTTTCCTTCCTCAGTTTCAGTCCATACAATGAAATGAGGAAAACAGTGGATGTCTCTGGTACTTCACAGAGATATGGCCAGAGTATGATGCCATGAGAATACTGAGGTTTTGTAATAAGGCCAATACCTATTATTTCAGCATGCAGTGATGAAGCTGTCATGACTATTTATTTTGAGAGGAGCTCGGATTGCTTAAGGGCTATCATTCTTCCATCATGGCCACATGAGGCAAAAGTGGGTGTCATTTTACCACGTCTTGTTTCAGATTCTGCAGCTGACAAGGATATGGGAACTTGTTCTTGACCAGAAACTGTGATTATGGAGGGGCCAAAATTATTGCTCACATCTGTGGATCTGTGGCTCTGTGGATTCTACATATTGCAGAAAGAGCAAATCTCTTCTTCAGCCTCAAGGCTCTCTGGAGCTGGCTGCTCTACGTGGTTGTGCCCGGTGAGGCTCCCGGGCATTGCTAGTATGGGCAAGGAGGTAGTGGAACTAGCTGGGGTGTGCTGGGGTGTGCAGAACCACATGAGGTGGTTCTGCAGGTGTCACTGTACCAGGGCCTGGAGGAGCATCTCCCTACAGAGCAGAGGGAGCACAAAGGAGACCCCTGCCTACAAAACTACTCTTTTAAAACCTGAGCCAACCATTATAAATGGAACATTTCACTTACAAACACAGATTTCCTGCTTCTCTTGAAAGGTCAGCCGACCTGAAGACATTGGATGTGCATCCTCTCATGAAGTTGCTGTCCATTTGCTTCAGTTCCCACTTGCCTGCTCCAGTCCCTTCTGATACCTGCTGGAGCTCATAGTGGACTTCAGGGAAGAAAAAAGCGGCCTCCTGGGTGGGAGGTGCCCTCTGCTGCCCCACCCCAACCCCTTTAGAAACAGAACTGGGAACAGAGCACACCGTTAAAAAGAGACCGGGGACTGTTGGGCAGCATGGTTTTCCACACACTCCCCTCTCCCTCTGAAGAAGCAGATGACAGCAGCGAAGATGCACTGAGCTGCTGAGAAGAGTGGATCTGGACGCCACAGCGTTTCCTATTACACACGAGCTCCACGAGAACAATGTAGGCCTGAAGCTTTCCTGAATGGCGGAGCTTGTCCAGGTTTGCCTTCCCAAGTGGAGCAGCAGCACAGCTGGGACTCTGCGGGGTTGGTCCTTAGGCTTTAATTGGAGCAAGGCATTCAGCCCTCCCTGCCTCTTCAGTGAGCACTGCCAGTTTTCAAGGACCCCTGGGACACCTCTTCAGGAGGGAGACAGGAGGAGAGGCACTTCTGTTGCCTGAATCCCCATGGCTTCTGACATTGGCTTTTTTTTTTTTTTTTTTTGCGCTGGAAATATTTTGCATCTGGACGCATCCTGTGCTGCTCTCAGCTAGCTCTTTACAATTCTGCGGCTGTCATGTCTTTTCTGGCTAGGGTGGCTGCGGCTGCTCTGAGGCCTTCTGATAGTTCTTGTTTACCTCCAGGAGGTATTCATTCTTTTAAGACAGGATTATGTAGCACACTCAGCTCTGTGCAAGCTGTTACATTCTTTTCCTGAGGCTAGGCAGCGTCTCCTCCAATTCCCAGGCCTCAGAATGCAAAGAGCCTCCTGAGCCTCCTTCTAGGTTGCACTCTGTCCCCAGAAGGCCCCTACCTCAGGGGGTAACCGAGTATCTGTTTCCACTCTTTTAGAAGCTGGCTTTATGAGGAAGAAAGGCCAGGAAGGGTGAGGTCAAGTGTCCTTGCAAGAGTCAGGGAGAAAATGCTGCCAATTTCTGAAAAGCTAAACACCAATTTGGGAGTCATGCCATAGAACCTGCCTGCAGTTAATGTTCCAGGCAGGCAAAAGCAGCTCATGGCTGTCTGGGAGCATAGGGTTCTGCTTCTCAGAAAGGAAGAATGGAGGAGGTTTATCTTCCTGGAGCACAAGTTAGTAACTATTTTTGGATCATGATTCTCCCAAGATATAAGAAAGCTACGGGCCTTATAAGGTCCCAGTAGAGACCAACAGGGGACTAATAAGGTTCCCAAGAGGGATTCTCATTGGTACAGACACAATACACATGAGGCAGACACATCCCAAATAATTTCAGGAAGTTCTTGGACCCATTCACACCTGATCAAAGCTCAGGTGGGGGTCTGGAGCCCAGGAAAAATTTCTAGTTTTTGTTGGTGGGTGGCACAAAGCCCCAAAGGGCAACTCTTCCCTCCTCAAGCCAAGCAGAGGAGGCCATTTTCTGGGTAATTTAGGTAGAACCTCCTCTCCCTCCCTCAGTATTTCTTTACACTTGGAATTCAAACCAAAAGTATGTTGCTTGCCAGGTAAGTGGCACCTTCTCTGCTGGCCCTAGACTCCTAGGAACCACAGCCATAGGTTTATGCACAGCTCCTGCTGGAGAGGGCTCTGCAATGCTGTGAGGACATGCTCTAATCAACTGAGATTTATGAACTAGAAAATAAATCCTGCAGCACTGACTCTGTGTTTGGCCTATGATAATAAGGGTCCCTTATGGCCTTGAAGCTGATGTCTTTGCACTGATTTATCATGCAGACTGTGGGGAGCCATAGGCCCCCTCTGCTAGCAGAGAAAGGAAGCCTTCTTGGCTACATTTTGAGTACATTTCTCTCCCAGTGGCAGGACAAGCTTCATGGACCCAGACCAAATCCCTTGGCAGTGTTGCTGGTGGTGGCCTTGGCTTGGGGCTGTCTATCAGCTCCAGCACCTGGCCAGAGGCCTGGGGCCAGGCCAGCGATGGGAGGACACTGGATGGGCAACATGAGGTGGTTCTGCAGGCTTCACTGTACCTGGAGAGTTACGGCCCAAAGCCTCAGGGCCAGCCAGAAGGGGGAAAAGGGGTTCCAGTCACACTAAGTTGGGACCCAGATTTGGCCATAGGCAAAGCTGCAGAGCCTGAATTCATTTGTTCTTAACTCTTCCGGCTTCTTTCTCAGCCACCTCTGTGACCACCTGCTTAAATGTATATTCCTCCCGAGGACTGCCCAGCTGCTTTTTGGAAGAGCCCCCACTTTGCTCAGCTCCCACAGCACCCCATACCTCCCTCAAAACATGCACGTTAGTAAAGTTCTTGCTTCAGAATTGAAAGGTGCTTCCACATTTGAGCTTCAAAATGGACCTGTGAAGTAGACAGACTTAGTCCCTGCCTACCTTTTCCCCCAAACTCACCCCTGATTTTACAGATAAGGGATTCAAGATGGTGAGAAGGCAGGGAGTTGGTGTTCATTACACAAAGGTGTGACTTCTGCACAGCCTTTCTTTTGGAGTGAAAAGGGCCTGGATTCAAATTGAGGCCTTGCCCCTGGCTTGCAAGGTTGCCTCTTTAAAGTTTTTTGGACTATTCTAAGTGTTTTCTTTTTTTAATCTATAAAATAGGGATAATATAATACATTGGGACTAATATGAAGATTAAATTAGAAAACATAGCAGGCGTTCAATCATGGGGGTCATACTGGCTGTATCTTCCACAGCCCACACACCGTGTTGTTTTATTTTTTGTTGGTCATATGCCACTCATATGCCATATCTTTCCAGGGCCATTTACCATTAATGATAACCCAATGTGAGCATTTCCCAGGGTCCACACTGAAAGGCCCCAGACTCATTTATTTTGTTTCTATGCTACTTTAAGTAGCATGAACACAAAGGCACTTTCCATTCTCATTGATGTGGCAAATCACTTTGTGCATATTGCCAGAATCTCCTTGATTACTCTCAGGTATGGGTTGGTGGAATATGTTAATATCAAGGCAGACAGAGCAGAGCTAAACATTTCATATTTTCACAATATACATTTTTTTCTTTTAACCCAGAACTCTCTATTAAAGCCTCGTATGACCTCCTGTCCTTTGAGTTTGCAGTTGTCAATTCTACCTCCCATACTCCCACTGTCACAGGTTGGTCAGTCCTCTGATCACACACTTGGCACTCCGTATCACCTACAGAATCAAGTCTCAATCCTTAGTTTGTCTTCTCAACTGTACAAACATTCTGCTTAAGTGGCCAAACACAATCTATGATGCCCACCAAAGGATGCTCTTTCCTCCTGCTGTTCACTCCATCCGCTATGCCTTCTTCACCAGCATCCCCACTGCCCTGCCTTCCCAGATAGAATTTCCTTTCCAAAGTCCTCTCTCATCCATAGCTCAAAGCAACCTCCCTCCCTCAGAAGCCCCTAGCACTTAATTGTGTCTTTCGTATACTATTTAATCACTTTCTACTTTGGAGAGTATTCATTTATTCTAATCTACCTGGTTTAGCACCTCTCTCATGGAAATCTCCTTGAAGGCAAATTCCCTGCCTTATTTATCTTTGTAGCCTCATGATACCAAGCACAATACCCTTCACATGTTTTCAGATGAATTAGTGAATTAAATAGATAGATTAAAAATGTTTAAGTACGGAATAAAATGGTGGAACTAGTTTGAATGATTGAAACGTGTGAATATACTTGAAGCAATGTAGTCATATTACTTTTAAGTATATGTCTTCAACTAGGCTGATCTAGTCTTGCTTTAGCCATATCTTTAGGGAACCTGTTTTAATGAATAATTAATTTATTATTAATATTATATACATAATTTATACGTACTTTGTGCTTCTAAAATACTTCCCAGCTCTTTGGAATGTCTTTTCCCCCCAAAGTATTTTCATATTTCTATTGAAAATAGAAATCTGGTTTACACTATTAATTTTTTGTTCCATAGATTGTGCGTAGATATTTCAGCCCAACTCCTGTCTGAATGACCAAAATACATTTGGCAAAACACCAGTCCTGAGAGAAGCTCCATGAGAACAATGTATTTTGTGATCAAATACTTTTAGGAAATAGTGTGTCCTGTTCCTTCCTCTTGGAGATTGCCATGTACTAGTTTTCTATAGGAATGCTGCTTTATTGGGTTCCACAGTAGGGAGGTTTTCGTTTTTACTGACCTCTTATCTATATGAGTAGGCTTCCTCTTCAATGCAGTCACCATTTGTTGGACTAGAGGGTGTGGATTCATTTCTGAAGGCCCCTTCCTGCTCACACTGTGTCCCCCATAGAGGGGACAGACAGAGCTCTCCCTATTCCACTCAGCTCCACTCACTGCCGCCCTTGCCATGCCCACCTCCCACCACAGGCAAATTGCAGTCTCCCACCTTCCCTTCCAAGCCTTTCTAGTAGGTAATTTTAGGTTAAACCATATGAAATTGACAGTAGTCGATCATCTTGTTATCCTAAAAATGGCAGTTTCACATAGTTCAATTCAATGCTTCTTCTCTCGCTTCAGTGACACTCCATTCAGGGTAATGGACAAGATGGAGTTTGCAGAGGCGAGGAAAACACCTGTTCTGTATGGGTGCCTCTCACACCACCTCTCTGATCATCTTCTTCAGCTCCCTTTTTGGAAGCTCCTCTTCTCATTCCTCAGGTAAGAATGTTTTCCACAGCTCCACTTCATTTGGTCCTTGCCTCTTAATACTCAGAGCTCTTCCCCTCACAGTTTCAACTGGCCACTTCGCAGACCCCACAGCTAACCTCACTCTCTCCTGAGATACAGCCCTACATTTTACACTGCCAAGGAGGCACTGCCATAGTCTTGCACAGAGGAAAAGAATGTGATGGTTGTGTCCCACCCTGCGATGGCCCCCACCCACCAAGACCAGAGTGTGGATGGACTGGCACACCTTTCTTCCGCTAGAGACATAGCTGAGGCCCCTGCTCCCCCACCCCCAAAAGGTGTCATGGTTCAATGGCTCTGTGTCCTTCATACAAGTCCCTTCAGGCAGTGACTGTCAGGCAGAGGGTAAATCTCTTTCTACAGACAGGAAACTGAGGCACTGAGGAGTAAAACACCTATTAAGCATAGCAGACAAGGCAGGAGCCTTGCTCAAGGCCAGAGCTCAAGCAATATTAGCTTGAATTAAAAAAAAAACAAACAATGAATTAAAAACCAGCTCTCTTGTTGGTAATGGCATAATTATCATGTGATCATGTGATCACTGCCTACAATATGATTTGAGGGGCCCCAGGAGACCGTGAGGCCTTGCCCAGTGGGGAATGGGTTCCATAACCAAGTGGACAAATCATGCTGGACACATCAGAACACATTTCTGGCTTCAGCTACCTGAGGAATGAAATATTCTCATATGTGTGGTGGTCATATTTTATGCAACAGATGCTGTTTTGAGGGTCTTGCATAACTCAAGACAAATTTTCCCATAGCAATAAATGTAAAGTGGGATGTGTTCCAGGAGAACATAAATCTCTAATTATTGTGTTGCCTTTTTGCTTTAAAGCTGCTTTTTATTTTCTTAGCATTATTTTTAATAATTTGCAGAGCCTTTTCCCACATTAACAGCATATCAGAGAGTGAGGATGGGCTTCATTGTGGCGTTTTACCACATGTAACTTCCTTCGCAAAGATTTTGATTTGGGAGAGATTTTTATCAGCTTTAGCATGAACATCCGCATTCAGGAGTCTTTTAGATGATACCACTCTAATAGATTTTTTAAAGATCATAAATTATATCAGTAAAGATTATAATATTAGCAAAATAGTCACACAGATACTTACAAATTCTTTGCTATATGTAAACAGTAACAAGATTGACAGACGACAGAGCCTGGAAAAGGATGGCTGGCATTTCTGTGGCCTAATGCATGGGAAAAGTATATACTGTTTCCAAGACCTTTGCCAGTCTTGGAATTCTGCAATTCTTGCTGGTTTTTTTTTTTTTTTTTTAATTTTGGAGGATTGTCATTGATTCCAATTCTGTGTATAATATGAGACTTTACCAATACTATTCTATATGGCATGGCTTCATAGCTGCACAATTAAAATCTTTATGAAATGTGGTCATGCTGTGATAAGTAAAGAGGGCCACATGTGCCCTGTCATTTGGTCTCCACTGACAACAAGACAATGAAAACCAATAAACTGCCCCTTCTGCCCCCACTGCAAAACACCCAGGAGGGACATTCTAAGTGTGTGGATTCCCTGAATAGCTCTAGGGCAGGGGCTCTCAAAATGTGGTCCCTGATCAGCAACATTAGGCCCCACTGCGGGTCTAGTTGCAATGGAGATTCTGATTCAGTACTGCTGAGGTGGAGACTGAGAGATTCTGCCTTCCTCATGAGCCCTCAAGGGATGCAGATGCTGCTGGTCCACGGACCACACTTTGAGTAGCAAGGCTGTGGAGTGCTTTGGGGGCCCTTCTCTGCCTCCCATAGCTCTTCACTTGCAAGTTCCTAAATCTACCTTTATTGTACCATTAAAAAAAAAAAGGTTTAATGCAGCTGAAGTAACAGTATCAGTGATGAATTCTTCCTCAGGACAAAATAACTGATGACTTGCAAAGCACTCTCTCTTTTTGATGATGGAGGGAGGATGAGGGCCCTGACTTTGACCTGGGCGGGAAGCCTGATAAAGGAGTCTAGGTAAGCCGGAATCACTTTTGAAGACTTGACTGATCATTCTGTGCAGGGCCAGCCGAACACGTACTAGGGACCACTGCAGCTTAGAATGTCTCAAGTTTCGTGCTGCTTTTGTTATTTAATATGTCTGACTTCATATAAAGGAGCTTTGTTTAGGGGTGTGAGCTAATTGAGCATCAAGGTATATGATATAGACATTGCCCTCAAGGAATGTAATGGAATTTTTAACTGTTTCCAGAACAAGACTTAAGCAAACGATCTCTGTTCAGAAACCACAGCGATTCGTTTTCCGTTTTTAAGTACTTTTTCATTCTAGACAGCGAAGTTGAAAATCATGAAGGAGCATGCTTTCTTCTCCAAAAGCCATGGGTCCATTCTGTGTCAGAATATATTCACCTTCTTGGGGAAATGAGATGACAACTAATTTTCACATAAAATTCATTTTGTTATTTACACAAAGTCCAGCAGGCAATATGCAGTGACGAAGTAGCTGTGCGTGGGATTACTGAGATTGATTTTTCTTCTTTAAACATCCCTTTAACTGTGGATTTAATGATGTTTATACAGTAAAAAACATTCATTTTAGAAGGCCAAATAGTCTCTGAACTGTTTCTATTGTGCATTGTATTGGTAGGGATAGAATAAGCTCATTATTCCCATACAGTCAGGAGAGCGGAAAGTGATTAAACCTTTTGATAAGAAGATAAATGATAGGAAATCCATCTGAAAGCCCACACTGCCCCGAGTCAGAGTTTCCACATGGAGCTAGCACAAAGCCTTCCTTCTGTGCAGGGCGCCCTGGGCAGCCTCATCCTTCCAGCTGTTGTCCCACGTTGGCTGTGACACTTCTAGAGATTCACACCTGGGGCAGTAGTGTTTCCTGAAAGCAAGACCCCGGAGACTAGGCCAGGCTCCTTGCTATGCTCCACTTCAATACTCATCACTCTTGGGAGGATTTGTTGAATGTGTGCTTCCCTGGTGCTATGTACTCCCAGATGTCAGAGATTGTGTCTCATCTGCACAGTCTGTCACATGAGGGTATTTGCTGGGTGGATGGATGGATGGATGGATGGATGAATTGATGGATAGAAGGACAGACATATGGACAGACAGGTGGAAGGAAGGATGGATGGAACCTTATCAAGCTTTAAAGAAGTCTTCATTGAATGCTTGGCCCTAGGCCAGACCTCTAGTTCTAGGGCTGGTAAATGGTAAACTTGGACATAGTCCTGCCTTCTCATTAGACTAGTAAGCTGCATAAGTCCCTTGCCCCTCCAAGGCATAGGCTTCTCATTGGGGAAGTCAGGGGAAGCCCATCTTTCTCAGGAAGTTTGTGTGACCACAGTGATTTATGTGATGATGCATTGAAAATTATATCCATCCATCCCTATGCTGTCAAACAGCTTGAACCACCTTCAGCGTGTCCATTTCTGGCCCCAGAACTTTCGTTCAGGGCCTTGAAGGCACTCAGGGCACGCGGACCCTCCAGCTCCCAACTCCCTCTCACTTCATCTCAGGCCATGGCAGAGCGAGATATGAACTGCCAATCCCAAGTTTAATCTCCATTAAGCAAGGAGTTGAGTTCAGAGATTACAGAAATCCCTCTCTGTTTGTGTCAGAGCGCACCTACCCACCATTGCTGTGCTTTCACTCTTCCAGTAAGGGATTGAGGGATTCGACTTGGGACTGGCCAACCACCAGGATGAACTGATGCTTCACTGAAGCTTCAAAGTTTTGTGTAGCAGGGATACAGATTTTTAAACATCTAGTTGTCGTTTCTCTAAGGAAAACCTTTTTCTTTTCTTATGTACAAGAAAATAAACAAAACAAGAGAAAATCCCCAAACTTCACATTAGGATTTCTTTTGTTGTTTGTTTATATTTAATTCTATTTTATTTTAAGTTCCGGGATACATGTGCAGGACGTGCAGGTTTGCACATTAGACTTTCTACTTATGCTCTTGATCTCGTCTGACAAATTAACAACTTCGTCACTTCCGCAAGCCTTATTAAGCCCTCTTTACTTTTGGAATTAATTGTGATGGGTTGACAGAACTCCAGAGAGCATTGAAGAATAGATTTGACTCTATTGCCAGCTTACTCTAAATTTGTCTCACTCATGTGAAAGCAATGGCACTTTGTAATCTGGAATCAGGAATTTATCAAATTAGAGCTTTCTCTAGTGTCAGAGTAAATTAGAGCACAAATGATTTTTTTTGAATAATACTAATAAAATGAGGCTGATGGTTCCATTTGCTGTCTTGTATATGAAATGATCTTGTTTACATGAGTTTATTTTTAGCAGACTCTTTACCTAAGAGTTCAGGATAAATTCAGTGTTTGGACCTAAATTTACCCTATTTATACAGGATAGTACATTTTAAAAAGAGATACATCAATGAAATTACTTTGTGCCTACGCAAATCTTTGGTTTAGGAATCAAAAGATATAAGTTCTAATCCTGGTTTTGCCATTTACTTCCTGGCTCTACGTCCAGAGGAGACATCTGCTGTTTTTGCCTGTCTATGGCCCTCCTCCCTGTTTCCAAGTAACAATAGCTCTTTCTCACTCATGGTCCATGTTTTCTTTGGAGCTGATTCCTCCAGCCTTAGGGACATTCAGGGTCATGGTGATTAGTTTAGCACTGGACAATGCAATTTAATCTAGGTTAATGAAATTCAATCTGTGACTTTCACTGGAACTACTGAGAAGAGTAGTTAATTTCACTGAGACTACCCAGTTATTTAGACTATAAGGCTAGAGCCTCTGGTGGCCATTTTTTGTCACCTCATAGAAAGGCAAATGCATTACTAAGAAATGGAGAAATACACATTTTGGACATTAATTGAGCACCTGGCTGTGGCCATATCTGCAACGAGTAATGCTTGGACTTTCCAAATGTTAATAAATGATCCCTTTCCTCTCCAGTTTTCTTTTGTTCTCTCTCCTTTTCTCCCCTCTTTCCTTCCTTCTTTCTTTCCTTCCTTTCTTCCTGTTTCTGGTTTAATTTTGTCATTTGCAATGAAAAGAATAGTGACCTTAGTAAATGCCTTAACCTCTCTGGGCTTTAGTATGTAATTGATAAAATAAAATGAAATGATTTTTTTTTTGTCTAAGAGTATTTATGACTCAAATATACATTCTAGTGAAGCACTTTTGGAAGTATATTTGTTCCAGGACACCGACTAAACATTCAAGGACTGCAAAGAGGCAACACATCTCCAAATGTCTCTCAGCTCTGCCTCCAGGATCAGTGGCTTCATTGTCATTATGGGCCATCTCATATGTCCAGCTAGGTTGGTGAATTGACAAAATGCTGTCACCAAATCACATCTGTACCAGAAGGTGGTAGCTTAATCATTGCTAACACACTGTAATCCCTGAAGAGGAAGTAACTGGTACATTGAATGACTTGAGCTCGGGAGAGTGCAGGCAGGTAATAATTTTATTCTTTCTCACTGTAGATAATTTTTCCCCACTCATGAGACAAATGATCAAGCAAATCCCGTGGATTTTCCTGTCATTCTTAGATAAGAAAAGGTTCTCTGGTCACTTTAAGTTATAAGAATAGTTTAATTTCAATAAACTATTCAGTCTGCCCTAATCATTAAAACTTCAAACTTAATGCAAATCTTAAATCTTCTCTTTCCTCCCATCCTGGGCCTGAGCAGTAGGGGAGGGAGAATGGTTGGCTTCTTCTCCGTTTCCCCTCTGCCTTGTCCTTCTCCTCCTCCCTACATCACCAGGCTGCTTCAGGCTCCTGCGGGGCTTTGAGATGGTGGAGAGGAGACGTAAGGAATTGGAAACTGTCATATTTCACTTCCATAGCCGTAACCCACGTTGTTACCTTCTGGTTGGACAGATTCCCAATGGAGACCTTTCGGTTGGTCTCTGTGTGGGTCATTCTCTCTTTGGAGACTTTAACTGCAGTGGAAATCACCTTTCCTCCTTCAGCCCTTGCTCATTCAGTGCCCCACTGGCCCTGTTGGGTCCCATCTCCCTTCCAGGTGGTCCATATGAGACTGGTCTAAGATTTTGCCAAGCCAGCTCCCTTCCTAGGATCCCATATCTAATCCTTGAAAAACTGCCATCGAGGAAGTGTAATTGGCCCTCAATCTACTCTCTCTACCCTGCCACCCAGGCTGTTTCAGCAAGCTTCTTGCCTGTGGGCTTCTTCAGGTGTGAGTCTGACCCCGCCTGCTGAAGGGGACACAGGTCAAGCTCTCCAAGTGGTTCTTTTAAAGCCTATCTCAGCTGGATTGAAAAGAGGGAAGTCACCCTTCCTTCTCAACCCCAATGCAGGGAGAGAGCATTTGTCCACAAGACTCAGAGCACACTCTCAACTCTCTTGGAAGGAAGGCAGCTTCCTTAACCCCAACCATGTTACAGCCTCTAGGCAGATTATGGCCAGGGGACAAAACTTCATAATGGCTGCCATAGGTGGTCTAGAACTTCACTTTGGATTGGGGCTTTCTTGGCTTCTAATGTTCACTGATACTTCTCAGCCTCTGGAGCCTCAGCCAAAACTGAAACACAGTTGAGTCTCATTGTAACATCCCAGTCCATGCCTCATGGTTCATGTCAGAATTTTCTGGCTCTGCTTCTAACTGTAAGTGGAATGTTCTGGGTGGAGGAGTCTCCCATCCTATCCTTGGGATATTCCCCAAATCATCTCTGTCCAGGAACCAAGAGGATCTAGGCCACAGTGGTTCTAGGAATGAAAAGCATTTACCTTCCACAGGACTATTTCTTCAGATGCCTTTTCCTGTGTTTGGGAGAATTTCAGTCACATCTGATGGGACTTCTAGCCAATCTTACTCTAATATAAATTATTGGTCCTAACACTTTTGTAAGTCAGACTCACAAAAGGAGGCCCAGAGAAGTTAAGTAGCTCTCCCAAGGTCACACAGCAGAACCGTGGCAAGAACCCAAACCACAACCACGAGTCTTTTACTCTGGCCTCTACACCTTGCAAACTCCTTCCTAAGCTCATTATCATCTGTTAAAATCCCATCTCTCATTTTGCACACAGCAGCCGAGATGTCTGTGGATTCATATTAAAAAGAATGCAAACATTTCCAGAATTCATTTCCATTTCCATTTCCAGCTCTGAGGAGGTGTTAACTTCAGAGTACTTCGCTGATCATTTTTTTCTCCAGCAGTAATAATTGTTTTGAAGAACTTGACACACATTTCACCAGGGCTCAGTGCTACTGAGGAGTCCGGGAGCAGTGAGGAACTGAATTCCAAGAGCTAAATTTGCATTGTGCTGCGCCTCTAGAGAAAGCCTAACACCCCAGTCCCATTAACAATAATGATAGGTGTGTGCTAAGCTCTTCTTTTCATGCCAGAAATATATCTCATCCTTTGGGGATCTGTTCCGATCCTTGGCCCTTCTGTGCACCTAACCTCCACAGCATTTGCTCTATAATTTATAAAAGATGTGTGTTGCACCTGGGTGCCTCAGAAAATTTAAAATAATTTAAAAGCATTCAACACAAGCGTTAAATTAAAGCCCCCCAAATCCCTTGCCTGACGAGTGTAATTAAACTCAGACCCACACAGGTGAGTCTTTGAGTACATCCTAGGGATCAGGAGGCCTGGGCTGGGTTTGAGGTAGGAGCAATTCCAGAGATTGGAGGCAGCGAATGATCATTCTGCAGGCAGCATGGCATACTAAGGGGAGACCAGGGAGTTTAAAGATAAAGCTAGAGAGAGCGCCATTATTCCAAGGTGCTCTTCAGTGTAACAGACATAATCTTCTTCATCTTACTACACCTGTCAAGGAGGCCCAGCTTCTACTGCCAGCAAGGTTCATATTGGCTTGCCCTCCAGCTTCTCAGCAGAGCAGGAACATGAAGGAGTCAGAGTTTCTCCTAGTGCTGGTCAGCTTGCTTAGCCAAGGGAGTCTTTGATGTGCAAAGTACTTGAGGCTGGGATCTGAAAAATGTGCTAAAACATTAACAAAAACAACACTTCCCACCCTACCTTAGATTTTATTTTCTAGAGCAGTTATTTTTAAGCCCAAGTCCCTGGAACCTTGGAGTGCCTTGAAAAGCACCAATTTTGGAATGAGAGGGACAGTGGTTTGAATCTTGGCCCTACCACCTACTAAGTGAGTGACCTCCAGCAAGTCACCTCACCCGCCTGCCTCAGTTTCCCAATCTGTAGGGGGCAAGAGGATAACAATGCCCATCCTGCAACAGCTGTCTTAACAGTTAAACAAGATCACATATGTGACTCTGCCTGGCACAGGGCTGGAGAGTGTGAGTTTTCACAATTTCAGAGTTGTCCTATCTCCATGGCACAAGCTGGGTAAATTTATATGATGCTGAATCACTTGGCACATTTTCTTAGAGTGGCAAATCATTCCAGTCTTCCTTCGATTTTCAAATCTAAAAGTGAAGGTTGCTCCCTAAGCTCCCAAGTAAGTACATCCTTGTGCTCCAAGATAATTGAAATTTGGATTCTAGACAAACAAAATCGCTCAATTTAGACAGTAAAGAAAAAGGTGAGCTTAGGACCTGAGTGATCTAGATAATGGCTTTAACTGTGTACTTGGTGGGACTGAAGGCTCCCATTGGGTTAGTCCCTAAAGTTGCACAGTCCAATATGGTAGCCATTAGGCTATTGAGCACTTGAGATGTGGCTAGTCAAAAACCTGTAAGGGATACACATCAGGTTTTGAAGGTTTTAAAGTATTTTATTGAACATTTTTGTATTGATCACAGGTAATATTTTAGATATTGGAAGCCTCAGAACTTAATCCCCAGTGTTGGTGCAGCTTACAGTAACTGGATCTGGAAGGTGTTCCTGGATCCACAGTGACTCAAACGCCTTGGGCAGTAGGGTCAGAAAGTACCTCCAATCCAGCCTGGCGCAGCAACTCCTTCTCCTGTCTTCTTGCTCCTCCCACTACCAACATCTCTCCATATTTCCTGTTTCTATTCTAGAGGGAGAGGTGGAAGATATCAGACTGACCTAGTTAATGTCATCATTTGTAGTTAGAAGAACTTTTCCTCTCAGGCCAAAAGTCGACTGGTCATGTGAGTGTCTCTGAGCCGATCAGCTGTGCTCTTGTGTGGGAAGATCAGCCATAGGATTCAGATTAACCATCTCTGATCAGAGAACAGCCTGGGCCACTTCCCTCCTCTGTGGCTATGAGAGGGACTGGTGCCATGATTGCCTAGTCCAATACACTCAGTGCTTTAAAACTATTAGCTAAATTAAACTCAAGAAAATGAGATCAGTTTCACAGTCTGATAGTGAAAAATGCCCTTGAGCGGAGATTAGGGAGGGAGGCAGTAGTGATTCCTCCATGGCCACGTGGCGGAATCTGACCTCCCTCAGCTCGCTTTTCTCTTTGCACCTGATTGTTGTTTGGATTCGGCACAAAGCACAGAGAGCAGCCCAGGTGAGAATGAGTGGAAATCACGCTGCCTCAGAGAGTGACCTTGTTATGGGCTGAATCATCATCTCCTTTCTAAAGTTCATATGTTGGCCGGGCGCGGTGGCTCACGCCTGTAATCCCAGCACTTTGGGAGGCCGAGGTGGGTGGATCACCTGAGTCAGGAGTTCGAGACCAGCCTGGCCAACATGGTGAAACTCCATCTCTACTAAAAATACAAAAAGTAGCCGGGTGTGGTGGCGCATGCCTGTAATCCCAGCTACTTGGGAGGCTGAGGCAGATGAATTGCTTGAACCCGAGAAGCGTAAGTTGCAGTGAGCTGAGATCATGCCACTGAACTCCAGCCTGGGCAACAGAGCAAGACTCTGTCTCAAAAAAAAAAAAAAAATCATATGTTGAAGTCCTGACTCCACTGCACCCCCCAATCCCACTGCCAGTTACCTCAGAATATGACTGTATTTGGAGATGGGGCCTTTAAAGAGGTAACTGAGTTAAAATGAGGTCATCAGGGTAGGCCCTAATCTAATGTGATTGGTGTCCTTATAAGAAGAGGGGATTAGGACACAGATACACATGGGGGAAGGCCCTATGAAGGCATAGGGAGAAGATGGCCATTACAAGTCAAGGAGGAAGCCTTACAAGAAACCAACCCTGCTGAAACCTTGTTCTCAGACTTCTGGCCACCAAAATAGTGAGAGAAAAAAATTCTGCTGTGTAAGCCACTCAGTCTGTGGTACTTTGTTATGGCAGCCCTAGCAAATGAATATAGCACCCAAAGATGAAACTGCCTCATGTCGAGTTTTTTTCTGTCTGCTCAGCTGCCTGGGCTGCAAACTTGTGACTGATACAGACAGCCCATGAGCTTCTAAGACAGGAAGACAGGTGAGCAGACCACCCAGGTGTTGAGCCCTCCCTACAACCATAGCTGGAGGCACTGGCTGCAGTGGGGAGTCTTCCCATCACGCTTGCTGTGGTGGGACGTCAGCCAGTAGCTCCTTTCTTCTCCATTAGCTCCTGGAGGCCGGCTCCAGTCTCCACACCTGCTGTTTACTTCGTTTTTCCCTTCTGAGTTGGCAGCAGGAATACAAGGACTCCCCTGGCTTCTCAGCAACTGAGATGCAGCCATTTTTGCTTTGAAAGTCAGAAACCTGGGAGATGCAAGAACTATCACCTTTTTGATGGAATAGGCCCAAAAGAGCAGGTGGCAAGGAGGCCAAGTGCCAAGAGAAAGCTTAGTTGTCATCTGAGGCCTTGAAACTTTTAAAGTGATTCAGCAAAGCTGTGTACACAAAACTTTATCAATTATGCATCATAAATAGGTCATTTAAATGCACAATGTGCTAATTGAATATCATTTTAATTCATAGTAATAGAGAATAATTATAGACCCCACCCCCATTTCTTTTCAGAATGCAAAGATGAGCAGAATAAACTGCCCTTGAGAGGCCTTGCAATTGGGGGGAAATCCCCAGCAAATATAGAAATGTGGGTCAGTGGAGAGGTGAGGAATGCTTGGGCTTTTGTCCATCTCTGTTCCTGCCTTTCTCTGCCTGTCCTGTGATTGCAGAAATCTGGTGCAGCAAAGCTTCGTTTCTCCTCTCTGTTGAGTTTTTTAGTTCAAAGAAGGGCCAGTGGGTTTGGCTCCCGATAGTATGTGGCCCCTCTCACCAGCATTGGCCACAGAAGGGCACACTTAGGCATGCAATGTGTGTGCCCAGCACCGCCCTCCACAGAGCCTCTACCTTGACCTCTGTAACC
This sequence comes from Homo sapiens, assembly GCF_000001405.40. Taxonomy (NCBI): domain Eukaryota; kingdom Metazoa; phylum Chordata; class Mammalia; order Primates; family Hominidae; genus Homo; species Homo sapiens. The sequence continues at coordinate 116,410,794 of NC_000005.10, forward strand.
CAGGGCCATCTGGAACCCATAGCCTGGGACAGTGTTGGAATGGTCCTCATATAAACCACTTGCCAGGTGTCTTGTTATAGTGAAAGAAAGCTGTTTAATAAGAAATAGATGGCAGAGAAATTTGGTTTTTAATGAGAACTGAGATGCTTACAGATATTCATTTATAGTGGTTATCTCTGGGAGGGGAAATTACTGGTAATTTTTCAGTTTTCTTTCCTTTTCTTAGTATCAGCATATATTCATTTTCTAACAATAATAAAATAAACAAAGCACATAGATGTTTCCCTTCTTGAATCAGATGCCCTGCACTGTGGCTGTAGTCCATCATCCAAACTGCATGGAGTCCCGGATGGTGTCCAAGTCATGTGACCTGCCAAAGCCCATCACTTGCAGTCCTGTTGCCAAACGGGCCTGTGAGTTGGAGAGAGCATCCGTAGGAGGGAAAATTCAAAATGTAACCTCTGGCAAGGGAGAGGTCCCTGGGCAGAGCAGGCTGAGAAGTAAAGCCTTGGCCGCCTGTTGCAGCTCAACTTTCTCTGCCCTTGTCTGACCCTGTCTCCATCTGTGAGGTCTACTCCTTATGGCTGGTTTCCCCAGTAGTGTAGCAAAATGTTGCTGTCTGTAAGGCCTGGAGGGGCAGGGCTGAAAGGAGTATGGCTGCCTGTGAAAACCACAGCTAAGCCTCTGGCCTTCCCTCCATCTCCATCCCCAACCCCTTCATGGCTGCCGCCCACTCTCCTTCCTCCTCCTGCTGGCTTGTACATTGGAAGGAGGAAGGGAAGGGAACAAGGGAATGAACAGTCAGTATTTGTCAGCTGTGAGCCAAGTGCTCTACATAAAATAAACTGTCTGAATTGTCACAAGAATTCTGGCAGATTGGTGTAGCAATCTACTTCTAAAAATGAGGAAACTAAGAAAGACATAAGATCTAAGTCAATGTATATCATGCAGCGAAGAAATGAGATAGTGAAGATTTGAATGCAGGTCTTCTGACTTTAATATTCAGGCTCATGTCTTGACTTCTGGTGCATCCTTTAGGGTTACAATTAGTTCTAAGACTCTAAGTCTGTGATTTTTCTGAAATTTAGTTTTATGGGCTGAGAGTCCCTTTTGCCTGGCTTTGAGATAGACATCAATAAAGAGACATAGGTATATAGTCTACAGAGAATTATTGTGTAAGAGTAACTGGAAGGTGCCCAAACCAGAGCTAGAGAATTGGAGATAAAGCAGGTTGTGCAGCTTTAACGGCTCTTTCCCTCCCTAGATGAGGCCACCAAGAGAGTGGAGAGAGTGTTGTCTTTCCTCCACCAGCCCCCTCCTCTGGCCCCCTCCCCACTATGGCACCTAGTAATGCTACTTCCTTTAGTAGAAGTTTAAATGGTGTTGAACCGCACTCAAAATAAAGCTGTGAACAGATTACCCTTTTATTTTATGCCCTACTGTGAAGTCTACCCATGAAGTGTATATTAAATCACATAAAACTTGTATCACCACTGTGGCACACTTATAATATAGCTAATTGTTCTTTTAGCATAGTTTGGGAAGTTAGTGTGAGCCTAACTGCCTGGTCACCATTCTTACAAAGCCAACTATAACTTTCTGGGTCCAGCCAGTCAGGGGTGAGAGGTGAAAGCAAGGAAAGCAAAACCGGATACTCTGAAGAAATCCGGTCCAGAGAAGCAGACCTCATTGAAGACCTTAGAGTGATAAGCAGGAGCAGAATTTACCAAATTTCCTTTCTTTCTTTATCATCTCTATGATTTTTGTTATTACAGTAGGTCACTGAGCTGTTATTTATTTAATATTTTAATTTAGATGGACCCACTTTTTTTTTTTTTTCTTGAGACAGGGTCTCACTCTGTCACCCAGGCTGGAGCACAGAGGCATGATCATGGCTCACTGCAGCCTCAACTTCCCAGGACCAAGAGATACTCCCGCCTCAGTCTCCCAAGTAGCTGGGACCACAGGTATGTGCTACCATGCCAAGCTAATTTTTAAATTTTTATAGAGGCAGAGTCTCCCTATGTTGCCCACGCTGATCTCAAACTGTTGAGCTCAAGCAATGCTCCCACCTTAGCCTCCCAAAGTGTTGGGAACACAGGGGTGAGCCACAGCTCCTGGCCTGATAGACTCACTTTTAAAGTATTTTGGTTTCATCTTTAGCAATATTATTCATGAAATTACTTATTAGTTATATGTTTTTCTAAAACACTCTGACATTGGGATATTGGGACATGACATTGGGACATTGACATTGGGACATGACAATAAAAAATGTTTGTGTAGCACTAAAAAATCATCTGAAGTGCCACACTTTGGTAATCAATGCCAAAGGGGACCAAGAACTCTTTCTTCAACTATAGGGAACCCTCTGTACTCAGGGCTCTGAGAACTGGAAGCCCTCAGCTGCTGCCCTGTCACCTTCTCACCACCCTCCCTCTCGGCCGTGGGTGAGGACAGTGCAGGCACCTGCACTGAACTATACCTGGCCAGCTCCCACCCTCTATATAGGAACTGCTTTTCCTGAAAATAAAAGCTAGCTTGATTATAACTTTACCTGCAGTAGCTATATTTTCAGAATCCCAAATCAAGATATATGTTTTGGTCACAGGAAAGAATATCTAAAAGTGAGACAGTCCCAGAAAACATGGGGGAGTGAAGCGGTTGTCCTCAAGTGGCTTGTGAGTGGAAACTCTTCTCCTGCCCCATCATGGGCTTTGTTCTTAGGGGAAAACTGGATCCACCTGGAGACAGTTTGTGCTGTTCGATGCTTGCTGGGTTTTTATGGGCTGGCTATCAAGTGGCTGGGCATTTTCCAAAACTTGAATTCCTTGTTTCTTACTACTTGTTGGCCTTGACACCTGAGGCTCTTTCACAAGCATGCACTACTGTGGTCAAAACTAACTGGAGAGAAAGAGAGAGAGATTGAGGGAGACAGAAAGAGGAGAGAAGAAGAGTGAGAGGAGCTGGGTTGATGCATTAGGCTCGGTAATGGGAGGGATGATAACAGGGGTGGTCAGGAGTTGCCTACCAGTGCCGTTTTCTATCTCCAAGAAGGCTGTGAGGTGGCAGGAAGAAAAAACGAAAGAGCGCCTACTGGGGTGGGAGTCTTTGTAATACTTATGCAAAGAATGGAACTATTTACCATGTGCTTTTCCTGCCACAGTCACCTCAGGACATTTTCTTTGTCTATGTTTGTCAGTTAAGACTCTTGGCTGCAAATGCCAAAAAAAAGCCAGCTCAAATTGTCTTCAGCCAAAACAGAATTATATTGATTCATGTAGGCTGCAATGCACAAGGGGTAGGGTGGCTGAGGCCAAGACAATGTCCTCAAGACTTATTTTCTTTCCATTTTTCAGTGAGTTGGCTTCCGTCTTGACTTTATGTATTTATTTAGAGATAGGGTCTTCCTCTGTGGCCCAGGCTGGTGCGCTGTGATGCAATCATAACTCACTGCAGCCTCCAGCTCCTGAGCTCAGGTGATCCTATCCTCCCACTTCAGCGCCGCTGAGTAGCTGGGACTACAGGTGCATACCACTATGCCTGGCTAATTTTTAAAGTTTTTGTAGAGACAGGATTTCACCATGTTACCCAGGCTGGTTCCAAACTCCTGGCCTCAAGTGATCCTCCAGCCTTGACTTCTCAAAGTGTTGGGATTACAGGCATGAGCCACTGTGCTGGCCTTCTGTCTTGACTTTATATGGTGGTGATAGCCCCTACATTGTTTTTGGTCTCCAAGATTTATTCGGCTCCAATCCAACTTTCTTCAGCATTTTTTTGTTTTTAGAAGATGCAGTGTAGCGAGAAGGTCAAAGACCATTTCCACCAAGTTCAGGGATAGCTCTCCATAGCAAAAGAGGAAGGCTCCTGGAGGGCCATGACCAAGCACTGAACCTGGTTCACAAAGATCCCTTTGGTGGTGTTTGCACCTTGATGTGCAAAACAATTTATGAATTGCCATCACCAAATGAGACTGGGCATACCAGGTTTCTGCTCAGCTTATAAAATATACAATACAAATATGGTGAAAATATTTCTTGAAAGACAACACAACAGCGCTTTGCCATGATTGAGACTTTTGGATACTCCCTCTGGGCCAGACATACCTTGGCCGATGATGTCCTGGCATATGCAGGTGCCGGTGAATTTGTCTCCCACTCCCCTAGCCCCTGCCCCATTCTTCAGGCCATCTCTTTGTTAGGCTTCTCCTTTCTAGCCAACTCTCCTAAATTGTTTTCATTTTGGACTTTCTGCTTTTGTCCCTTAATTTATTTGACTACATAACCCAAACATACAGGCCAAGTAGGAAACCAGAGGGACTTGGTTTAGAATTTCCTGACAAAGAATATGGAATAATTCAAATTTACTGCTAGAGACTGACATTTGTTTTCTTATAGAACCTTTAAAATAAAATCAATATTCTTCATGTATCTGTCTGGAGGAAGGGTCCCAGACAACCTCACAGGTCACCTTTAGTCCTGAGGCTTGACAAACTACAGCATTCTGTCCTGGGCTCCTCCTTCTCCATCCTCCCCTCTCCTAATGGGCTCCTCTGATCTCTGCAACCACCTCCTCTGCCCTGAACGCAGGCCAGCTGCTGACTTGGCTCAGAGAGTCATGGCTTTGCTGCCTGTTTACCTTGGAATAATATAAAATAAAGCTGATTTGACTTTCTCTGGTTTACCAAGAGCTTTTACATTTTATGCACTCTGTCTCATTAGAGATAGCATCTATCCCATTAGATTGCCATAATATTTCCATGAGGAATGCTGAGAATAAGAGTGTTCTGGTTATAATTGCATAACATCCCCAAAACACAGTGCCTGAAAACACCGACGATCATTTACTTACCTCATGGGTTTGCAGATTGGGAAGTGCTCCATGCGGAAGCTCATCTCTGCTCCATGAAGGATAAGCTGAGACAATTTGACTGAGGGCTGGAAGCTGAGCTTCCGAGATGGTTCCCTCACCGGTCTGGCAAGGTGGTGCTGGCCATCCAGCTGGGCTTCTCTGGGGGCTACTTGGGTATCCTTACAGCATGGTAATTGGGTCCCTCGAGCAGGCATTTCTAGAGATGTCATGTGAAAATTTGTGGTTTTAAAGACCTAGATCTGGACACTGGCATAGCAGCATTTGTGCCATGTTCTAATGGTCCTGCTGTCACAAAGCCCAGATGCAAGGGGACGGCACGAAGACCTATACGTCTGAATGGGAAGTGTGCCAGAGAATTTGGGAGCCACATTTTAAAATTGCCAAATTGACCAGAGGGAATTGAAGCTTCAAGTAGTTTAGTGACTTGCCTGTAATCACTTGAGTGGACCCTTTCGAGATGCCCACCCACTTCATTGCCAACTTCTCTGAGATTTGCTGTTTACCCATAGGTGGCCCTGAAGTCCTTTTTATTCTCTGGAACTGGGCATCACATAGGCATTTCCATGTTCTGTGTGAATGGTGCCCCCGACGTTTTACAGTGTTGCCAGCCTGAGAGTCTGACTGTGACTGGCTCCCAGGAATTTGGAATTGGGATGCAGAGAGGCTGGCACTGCAATTGGCTACGGTTAACATTCCTTGAGCTCTGTTTCAAGGTCAGGGGATCTAGGGCCCAGAGCAGGTGGCACCACTGATACGTGTTCAACATGAAGGACATTATTTCTTTTCTCTGGGCCTTAGCCTCCTGTATATGAGGAGGTAAATGATGCTAATAGTCTGTTCTCATGATTCAGTGCAGGTCAGGAATATACAAACTTGGCCTCCTAAAGCATTGTCAACATCTTGTCTCCTGATATTTTGATTCCTGTGCTGGCATTGCCAGAGGACTGAGGAGGGGTAAGAGGTAGTTTATTTTGTGATTGATTCAACAATGTGAGGCCATAGCCTCTCGATTTCAGAGTTGAAGGCTGAGGCTGAGCTCCTAGGTGCTGAGAGCCCCGGGCAATGGACAGCTCCAGTGGGGCCTGCCTTACCTGGCAGGGCTGCTGTGTGGGCCCAAGGAGATCATGGCTGGAAAGAAACTTATCAACAGTGAGGTACTTCATGACATGGCTTTTGGTATCATTGCTATATCCCAGTGGTTCTCAACTGGGGTGAATTTTCCCCCATGGGACAATTGGCAATGTCTGGAGACATTTTTGGTTGTCACAAGGTGAGTGAGAGGGTGCTACTGGCATCTTGTTGGTAGAGGACAGGGATGTTGCCAAACATCCTACAATGCACTGTACAGCCCCCCTTAAATAAAGAATTATCTAACCCAAAATATCAACAATGCTGAGATTGGCAACCCCTGCTATATCTGAATACCCAAAGGGAAATTTTGAACCTTACAATCTGTATTGAATCAAAGTTAGATTACAGCTGGAGTTTTCAATACTAGGCTTTCTAGTTTTCAATACCGTACATAACCTTTCTAGGTTATGGATTTTGTAATCCAGAGATGACAGCTGAAATCCTTGCATTTTGAGTTAATGTCATGAGATTAATTTGGATGTTCACGTTCATACCTCCTTGCCCAAGAGTTCACAAACTTCCAAGATTTTGCAAACTTCCATGTCTGAGTTTCTGGTCATGGTGTGGTGTCTCTGTTATATCCCACATCCACTCAGATGTGAAACTTACCTTTTATCTCAATATCCATTCAAGTGTGAGTATTTTCCTTTATGTGCCTGGGCTCACACATACCCCATCCACACTGGACAATGTGTGTGTGTACAGTACCGTGTTTGTGTGTATATATCAGAAGGAATTGGGATGGAGTTGGAGATTTATAACGCACCAGTATCTCTGTTCTTAAGTTTTTTTACCTGCTGCATTAACGAGCCTGCATGGAACCAAAAGAGTGGCATCAGTGAGTGTGTAGAGTAGAGAGAGAGTGGATATAAGAATAGGTAGCTATGAAAAACATGACATTTGAAAAATGGAGTATTCTGCAAATATGAACAAATTAAAGGAAGTATTTTTCAAACTTTTTTTGAGCATAACTCTCAGGAAAAAACAATCTGATATCTCATCCCTGTATACACGTCAATACAAATAATTTAAACAAAAGTTTCATGGAATAAAACCCCCTTATTACATGCAATGCTCTTGGATATTTTCTTTGCTTTTCTATTTTATTTTGTAAGAATGCAGCAGCTGACTAAACTAACCAGTGGCTCTGACCTCCAGTTTGAAAATATGGCCTAGGGTGATATATGTGGGTAAGAGCCTGGGCCCCATGGTGGGTGAATATGGTGAAGACTAAGGCTGCTGGCACTGAGAAAATTGGGAACTGCAAGACTCCAGTACTCCATGACCATTCACTGTGGCATCAGGTTCTCGGGGTGTTGGTGGGACCTGTGGATCAGGGAACATTTGGAATCTATGAGCCTAAACCATCAGTGAACATAGGGGAGTCATCAGGAGGTCAATGGATGGCTAAAAGGAGAAGGGAGAAAGAGCAGGTTGGAATAAGCCTCAGAGGTTGTGGTTTTCTCTGAATATAGAAGTATTCGTGGTTAGAAGAATCCTGATCATCCTTCCAGGCCCAAGCACTCATGGCACAAAGCACAGCACAGCTGCTCAGCACAGGTGGAAAATCCTTGTTGATGAATTTATTCTTTTGACAAATATTTATTCAGCACCAACTAACTTAATATCTGATCCTTACACTTCTGTGTCCTGTTTTGTTTTTCCTACCAGGATCCTATTCAATCTAAAACTTGATGCTAAGGAACTCACAACTACACCTGGGCACTGTCTGACAACATTATCTTCTTTGTCTCATACCTGCATTCTATATTAACACATAATAAGTCAAATGCAGGAAAGCAATTTAAAAATGGAAACACCCAAAGTTGTTATATGGATCTTGAAAATGGCTTCTGATCCTATCATAACACAGATTCTTAGGATAGAATAGTATAAATCATACAGTCCAAGACTGGTTTAAATGACCGAAAGAGCTCTGGGAATAAGCGAGCAGTGGATTCCCAGTCTAATGATGAAGAACTCAGGTCACTGGACTCCAATTATTCCTTCAAGCATAATGTCTGCGTCAGGTCCATTTAAAACAAAGGCTGCATTTAAAATGATCACAGTTTATTTACCTTTTTCCTGGCTCAATATTCATCTATAGCTCTGAAAGAGACAGAAACGACTCCAGGCTTTGCTCTCTTGGGCTCTAATCTGGTGGCATAATCTGGAGTATGTTAGACCTGGCACGAATCCTGGCTCAGTCACTCACCAGCTTTCCCATGTGATGGGAAATCTACAATTCCCATTTGCAATATTGAGCTTTTGTGAAAAAAACATTTGAGCCTGACACACATAGTAGAGTATCTGGTACAAAGCAGGTATCTAAAAATACTATTTCTTTTGCCATCTTTCCCTTTCTCCTCTGTCCCTGTGGTAGGTGGTAGTGTTATTCTCAATTCTTCACCCTTCTCTGTGTACCATTTACCATGTAACTTTGAAGTTCTTTTAACCAGAGACAGAATATATTTTTCTGCCTTACTGATATTGGGGTTGGCATCTTGATTTGTTTTGGGCTTGGCCATGTGACTTGCTTCAGTCATTGAGATATTGGCAGATATGACACAAGTAGAGGCTTGAAGTGTGTTTTTATGGGTGAGCTCATTCTCTTGCACTCCCACTTTTCACCATGAGAACAACACACTTGAAAACACTTCTGGTTCACAGAGAAGGAGAGACATGTGTGGGAGACCTGGACCCAGCCCACAGCTTGAGTCAAGTGCAGCTGAACGTAGCCCAGATCAGCTGAACCCCAGATGATCTGCAGATGCATAAGAGAGAAATAAGTGCTTGCTGTATGTCTCTGAGTTTATGTAGCATTATTGTAGCAATAGCTAACAGATAACTACATTATAGCTTCCACACTCCTTAATAAATGCTGCATATCTTAAATAGCAGAGAAAGTGACTGTTCCAGGGAAGTGGTAGAACAAAGTGAATCACTGGTGCATAGAAGGGGCTAGAGCTTTATTCTTTTGCTCTGCCCTAAAAACATTTTGTGGTGTCATGTACTGAAACTTCTCCATCTTTGTTTGTATGTAGGGAATATGTTATTAGAATGAAACTGTTTGGACATGGCACTATTTCCTTTGAGGCAGTAATTCCATAATTATTGTTTCTCTAAGAGTAAGGCCAAGCTGTTGTTAATAGATAAAACAAGCACACGTTGTGCAAAATCAGATTGTATTGACTTTGGAAGAAAACAAATTCTTATTGGCTGTTTACTCTTAGGTAAGGTGGCCTGATCTATCAATAGTGGGGAAACTAAAGTGGATCCCTCTATGCATGGGACAGAGCCTACCTTTCTCCACTTTGCAGCCAGCAAAGGAAAGCAGAGGACAAGGGGTATCACTGGGCACCACTCTAGGAAACTTCATTCACTTTTGCCCTACAGGCTTGTCTCCCATGGGAAGGGTTGTATCCAAACAGATAGGGGCAAGAAACTGGAAGAAGCAGAGCATAGAGAGGGGCTACAAAAGAAGGGGGATGGAGCAGAGTCCTAGAGATGACCTGGAGACAGAGTCAGGGACCCTGTGTCAGACCGGGCAGTCAAAGCGCTGTGCGTCAGTGCGGCGCTGAAGGGGTGAGTAAAGACGAGAGTCCAGCTGGAGCTCCACTTACCAAGCCAGGTGTCAGGCTCATAGAGCAGTGGAGCACCATCTAGAAGGGGAGATTTCTTTATTTTTCTAATTCTCACAGAGGCACACCATGAACTAACAGCTGCTCTGGGCAAGAACAAAGCACCGTATGTGTGGGACATCCTCAGAAGGTCCAAACTCTGGCTTTGTTCTCCTACCCCCAACCTTGCATGGGGCAAGGAACAACATTAGTTCAATAAAACCTTGTCTTTGGGCTCATCTACTGTGTCTGCCTTAGGATACCTTCAGTCCAACATCCTGCTGAGTTCAGAGTGGGTGCATTCTGGGTGGTGGTTCTTCCAAAGAGGAAGCACCTGTTTCCTGATCACCTGGCAGCAGCGTCCAGCCCTTTCCCTTTGGACTGCTAGAAGGAGTCCATTACAGACCAGAGACAATTTCCCAAGCTCGAGGGACCATAAAGTGTATTTCTTTGCTGGCTCTGGATCCCCCTTAGGTAATGAGGGACATCCCCCTGTCAGACCGAAAGAAGGAGGGTCCTGACACACTCAGGTTACAAGTCTATTCTATTTCAAAAGTAAAAATTGTTAATTTTTGATTTTGTTTAGAGAACACCCATCTCTGGGTTTCCTAGTTTTATTTCTTTCCTCTATTTGTGTTACATTTGGAGAGAGATCCAAATTTTGTGGGGCCCAACGCTTACACAGCTTGAGGGTCTGCTTGATGAAAAACATAGAAAATAACAATACGACATTAGGTATAGAATTGAATCTTTATAAACTATGAGGCTGGAAAGGGGCGGGTGCAAGTACGGGCCTTGAAGCTTGAGCCTTATCAGCCTCCTGGTATGTCTGTGTCTAACCACATTTGATTCCATTTCTCTCCCCTTTGTGTAGGAGGGTGATAGCCAGGAGCCAGAGCCTTGCTCTGAGGGGAGAGGCAGGAACCCTTCTCCTGGGCTCTCCAGTTTGTTCTCTACTGTGCAGTTGGGGCAGAGTGTCCTGCGGATGGAGCAGGCAGCTCTGCTCTTCAGCATCACCTTGGGGAGGGTGACTGGGGAAGGCTTGGCCAGGCTGCTTGGCAGAGTCATCCTCTTGACCATGAGATGAGTGAGATACTCATGCAGAGGCCTTGGCACATGTCAAATGTTTCCCTCAGCCCTTTGATTGACCCCTCAGTGGAGTGTATTGGTAAAACTACAGGGAGACTCTGTGTATTAGTCCATCCCTGCACTGCTGTAAAGAAATGCCTGAGACTGGGTAATTTATAAAGAGGTTTAAATTGGCTCATGGTTCTGCAGGCTGTACAAGAAGCATGATGCTGGCATCTGCTTGGTTTCTGGGGAGGCCTCAGGAAACTTTCAATCATGGTGGAAGGTGAGGGGGAAGTAGGCACATCTTAAATGGCTAGAGCAGAAGGAGGGAAGGGGGTGGTGGGGGAAGTGGCACACACTTTCAAACAACCAGATCTCATGAGAACTCCCTATTGCAACGACAGCACCAAGATGGGATTGTGTTAAACCATGAGAAACCTTCCCCATGATCCAATCACCTCCCACCAGGCCCCACCTCCAGCACTGAGGATTACATTTCAACATGAGATTTGGGTGGGGACACAGATCCAAACCATATCACGCTGAGATCTGCCAGAAGTGTCTACTGGTGTTTTTTGTTTTCTCAGAGAGCACTTGAAACCTCCCCAAAGGCCATTTTGTCTAAAATAGTCTCTCCCAAGGCTTCCTTTTCTTAAGATGGGCCACACTTTACCATCCTTTCAGGTTAAGAAATGGTAGTAGTTTTTTTTTGTTGTTGTTGTTTTGTTTTTTTGTTCTGTTTTGTGCTGCTAACAAATATAAGGGAAAATAAGAAGGGAAGGTACTTCATTGGATGGTTGTTCGGGCCTTCGAAAGGTCAAAAAAGGAAGCGGGCCAGGTGTGGAAAGCTATATGCCCAGAATTAGTGCACAGCTTTTTCCAGAAGCCTCATTTTATATAAATTGGTTATCTTTTTGCCACTCTCCCAAGAAGGCCCTGATTGGCCTGGCTGCGGTCTAGTGTCCCAGGGTTTGTGACAGACCAGGGCAACCCAACGGATAGTCCCATCAAGGTGGCATAAAATGGTGGAGCCAGGGTTCTGCCAAGGGAATATGAGGGCTTACAAAGCATGAGGAAGAGGCACAGGGGGCACACACTACATGCATACTCTAGGAGCAGAAGCATCTTCTTGTGCAGTCCACCATCAGGGATGACTTTCTTGCAACAGCACCACCTCATCATTAGCTTAATTAACAGATCACAGGAAGTGAGGAGATGGGACTCAGGGCAGTTTGCTGGAAGGGTGGACATCGGGAAGAGTCTGGAACATGGGAAGTGGGTGGTAAGAGGCAAATCTGGGTGGAGGATCCAAGAGGAGGAGAAGAATCTTAACCGCAGAGAGTATAAAGAGTATGAGAAGTTGGTACCAAGTGAGATGGGGAGGTTACAGGGAGGATAATGGGCCCCAATCACAAAATGTGCTGAGTTCCTCAGTTTATCTAGGGAGAGCTCTCACTTTCATCCTGGGATTTTCCCTATTAACAAAGCATTATTGTTTTAAGGTAGTCATTTTCTTAACTTCATCCAGCCATCCCAGTCCAAATGGGGTCAGAGAATAAAGGAGCCAAGGCCCAAGGAGAAAGCAATTTTATCTTTATCAGCTGAGTTTAGAGCTCCGAAGACTATCTCTCCAAGGGATTCTGGGAGATCTGAGGTGTTGCATGGCCAGAGGCAAAGCTGGCCTGAGAGATATTTGTAGAGAAGTCATAAAAGCCATGAGACACTATGAAAGATTGGTTCTCAGGAAGAGCAGAGGGAAAATCAATCTTGTCTGGCTTTTAAAAATGCAAACAAATGTATGATATCATGCAGCCCTGTGGGAGGACTTACTATATCAAGCTGTGGGTCACAATTAATGCTCAGGATCTGCACACAGAGGTCTTGATAGTCATAAAATGAAAGTGTCATGGCTGGATTGCAGCCTGCTCCTACTTCAGGGTTTCTGGCATCATAAATCACTTGTATGTTCAAACTTTGGAAATATTTCCTTTCTTACTAGATCCTTTAGGCTTAGAACACATATAATGAGCAAACTTTCACAATGGCAGGTCCAGTGAAGGACCATAAGCTTGGTCTGGGAGGCTGCTGAGGCTGGTCCTTGAGGAGAGGGATATTTGGTTATTGTCAGAAACTGAGCAGGGGTCAGTGGCACCATCTTTCTTCCTGCACAGAGCTGGAAGAGCAGAGCTGCAGCTTCTTGCCCCCTCCTTTCCTCCCTATACTCCTCCCTAGATTTAGAATAGGTATATTTCTTGTCTACACTGGAACCCACTGTCCTGCAGCCACTGTCCTTGGTCCTCAATCCGTCCTGGGCTCCTGTCCCTCACTCGACTGTGCTGCCCTTGGCTTTTTATTCCACTAGAAAACCACTTTGATCATTTGCACTAATAGGAGCTGGCTACTTTATGTTCTTTTAACTACAGAGAAAAGCAGAAAGTACCTGTGTGTCCTTCACCATGGAATGTATTTTTAGATGACTCACAAATGTGTCTTTTCTTTTTTCCTTCCAAAACTCCTAGATTTATTCTTGGAAGCAGCCCCCTGCTGCTGACTTTACTTCTCTTCTTGGCTGTGTCTAAGGAGGAGCGCTGAGCCAAAGTCCCTCGTTATCTGTTTTATTATGAGAAAGGACATACAGTTCTGCTTTGCAAAAGAACACTGAGCTTGTATGAAATGCCCTTGTTTCAGCGCTGGGTTGCTCCAGGTGAGATGTGTTGACCAGTTCTAGCCTCTTCATAAGCCTGATGGGTATAAATTTGAGGATCTTAAGCAAATGCACAAAACCCAGGATCTGAATTCAGCACTCCCCACTTAAAAACCTCTGATGGTTCCCACACCAAAGGCCAGATTCTTTAGCCTTACATAAAAGGTTCTTCACAATTTAATGGCAGCCAAGTTTTCATGTCTCCACTTGTTTCACCATGACCATGCACTCTGTGCTTCATGCACACCACCTCATTCCTTTTCCCTAAAACTGACAGACCGGCAGGGGTGGCTCATGCCTGTAATCCCAGCAGCACTTTGGGAGGCCAGGGCAGGTGGATCACGAAGTCAGGAGATCCAGACCATCCTGGCCAACACGGTGAAACTCCGTCTCTACTAAAAGTACAAAAAATTAGCCAGGCATGGTGGTGGGTGCCTGTAATCTCAGCTGCTCATAAGGCTGAGGCAGGAAAAGTCGCTTGAACCTAGGAGACGGAGGTTGCAGTGAGCCAAGATCGCACCACTGCACTCCAGCCTGGTGACAGAGTGAGACTCCGTCAAAAACAAAACAAAAAACAAACAAACAAACAAAAACCTGGCTACCCAGTTATGTGCTTTCTTTGCTTGTGGGAGGTGCATGTCTTCAGCTGGGAGTGCCCATCTTCCTCCACCCTGGTCTCCTATGTATTGGTATCCCTCCCAAGTAAAGTTCCTGCCTCCCTTCTGTACTCCAATGCCCAGTGTTCATCTCTGTGCTGGGATCTTATCAAGGTCCATTTCAATTATTTGTTCACATCTGTCTTCCTCACTTGACTTATGAGTTCCCTGAAGGAGGGCATTAGGTTCTTATTCTCACTTTTAAATCTTTAGCCCCAAGTCTGGCTGGAGCCAGTGCCCAGTAAATATTTGATGAGTAAAATAAACAGTTCTACAAGGGCAACGTTCCCTTGGACAACAGAAAATTAGCAATTTTGTAATGGGCACAGGTCCCTTCAGAGGCTGGATGTTCAGGGATATTCTCTTCTCTTTGCCTGGCTCTCTGCTGGCAAAAGGGGCCAGAGTTCTTCAGAGGCTGTTAATGCCTCTCTTGACGATCTGCTTCCTGTTGCTAGCTAAAGACAACTACATGCCATTTTGTTTGCTTTCTTCCTTTCTTTTCTTCTTGGACAGAAGGTTCAGAGCTAAGCCAATGCTTTCTAGTATTATTATTCTACAGACTCCCTCCCGCTATTGCCTCTTCTTCTTGGCTGTTGCCTTCTGACAGTTTCAGAGCTTGTATGGTTCTTTCCTACCTGTACTTTGAATTGAAAGCTATGTCACATCCTTTGGAAGCAGGTGGGGTATAAATAATAAATGAGAGATGAACATATGATACGGTGCACTTATGAAGCTTCACTGCCTGCCAAAGCAAGAAGTTTCCCACCCTGCGTGTAAAGGTGTGCTCCTGGTCCCCTGAGATGCACACCTGGGTTCTGGGTCACACTCAGGAGGCTTCTCCAGAGGGTCTCTCACAAATTTGGGGGATGCGGTTCTGTGTATTCACTGATTCATCTTGAATGTGGATGGACCACCCTGATTTGCCTGCCAGCTCCTTTGAGACCATTAGGTAGGGGATTATGAAAAGATAAGGTGATCACAAAGATGTTAAGACTCACAGTGACCACCTTATATACCATCTCTGGACACACACAATTTTACAATTTCAAGAGGATCAGGGACTGCAGTTTAAAAACCTATTCTTTACAAGATAGCTTAACCAGGACGTCATGCGGATGAATAAATATGCAATAAGTGCGAAGGACATGTTTTAACAGAAGAGTAGTGTGGCAGCTTTGTTTTACCTGCTTTAAAACTTTTTATAATTTAAAAAAGCATAGTACTGGCACAAACACACAAATTAATCAGTGGAATAGAATAAGGAAACAGATCCTTATTTTTGTAGATTTGCAAACAATATATGATACAGGTGATGATAATCCTTAGGGTTCAATCAGAGAAGCAGAACCACTGTCAATACTATAGAGTGGTAGTTCTTAATGGGAATAATTTTGCCCCCCAGCGGACATTTGAAAATGTGTGCAGACATTTTTGTAGTAACAACTAGGTAGAAAAGTGCTAATAGCATTTAGTGGGTAGAGGCCAGAGATGCTGCTAGACATCCTACAATGCATAGGACAACCTCCACAACAAAGAATTATCCAACCCAAAATGTCAATAGTGATGAGGCTGAGAAGCTCTGATATAAAGGATTTATTAGCAGACTTTGACCTCATGCAATGGTGGGAGCCCATGGGGAAGTCTATGCAAGGCTGTAGCTGTGTTCTTAGAGCCTGAGCCACCATAGAGGAGTCTGACTAGCAGTTAGGAAGGAAAGTTGGACACGGAGGGGAGGAGAGAAAGGACAAACTGGCAAAGCAGTAAGGACAAACTGGAATCCATGAGGACAAACTAGAACCTGCTTTTGTCTGTCACCACCTCCAATCTTGATACTGTAAGTGACTTGTAGGAGAAGCTGGTTCCCTGAGCTACGGAGCTGTACAGGCATACCTGGTCTAGGAGTCAGAGAAGCTGAAGAAGGAGATTTGGTGAGAGCTGAAGAAGCTGCAGGTCTGAATGCTGTCCTAAGCTAACATATGCAAGAGCTGGCAACAGCACCTTGAGCCCTACAATGACCTTCAAAACACAATGGCTACTGTGTCATTGCCACCTTCTAGGTTTCTCCTGTAGGCATACCTAACCTGGAGCCACACAGTGAAAGGAATTCTGGAAAACAGAGTTTTAGCTTAGCTAAGTTGACAGAATTCAAAGTCACCATACTGGTATTAGAAGACAGTGGGGAAGTATACCTTACTCAGTAAACTGAGTAAGAACCCCTTGTATTTGTTTGGAAGACAAGAAGATGGAAGCCTTGCCTTATGCACATACAAAAATAAACTTAACAAAATGGAGAAAGTTGATGAAGAAAAGAGAAAACATTCTCTCTTTGTTTTTCTAAGCAAATGCAAATTTGCTTAATTTTACTAATGTTCAGAAACGTGGAAAGTAAAACAACAATGAACCTTCTTACCCACAAGATTGGCCACACTTAAAAAGGTGGAGTCACCTCAGTCAGGGTATGAGGAGAATGGTAATATCATTTGTTATTTGTATGATTGTGAATTATAGGAGCATTTTTGAGTGAATTCCAGAAATAATTATTAATATTGAAATACACATACCCTTTGGCATAGCAATCCAACTTCTGGCAATCTAGTAAATAAAAATAATGTCAATTTTAAAAGGTATACATTCAAAGTTATTATGTATTATAGACTCATTGACATGGGATCAACTAAATACATGATGCTACGTTCTTAAGATTTTTGTAATATGAAGTATAATACTATTATTAACTTGACTGTCTGGCTAATGCACATTATAGGATTCACCATATATGGTTAGTGGGAATATACATAGATACCATGAGAGCAAAAGACCAAGTAAGTGAGGGTCCACGTCAGTGTCAGTGGTTACACTGTGTGTGTGTGTTGTGGGGCTGAGGAGGATGCTGTCCAGGGACAAACATGATACGTAGATATTGATTATATAATGTGTGCTGACTTCAGAGACCTTAACATCCAATGAAATGTGTCCATTTTGGGTTTGAAGAATTTGGGTGCTTGCACATTCTTCCAGGACCATATCTATTGGGACTTTATTTATATAGGCTCTTCCTGTCTTATGGAACAAACCCCTCTATGCCACTCTGCCCCCAAACTCAACCATCAACCCCACTCCTGTAGCCAATTCCTACTCATCCTTTAAGACAGTGTGGGGTCCACCTTCAGTCTCACAGAGGGGAGGGGTCCCTCCTGTGGCTCCTCAATGAGTGTCCTGGAGCCTGATCAGAGCACATGGCTCACTGCATCGCATTAGTCTCTCCACCTGTGTACTTTTTCAGCCCCTAGAACAGCACAGAAAATATGATGTGCAAAGAATGTTTCCTGACTACATGAATCAATTTCAGACTTTCTCACAGACATTTGGGGAAAATACGTTTGTTTTGTGTGTGTGTGTGTGTGTATGTGTGTGGCCACAAGAATTATGCCACAATTCTTGTCAACCAAACACCAAAAATCACCAGAGTGAGGCTTACCCAAGGGGAGAGATGCTAATGATTAAAACTCCATTCCCTACCCACTGCACTCAAGACCCCACATCCCCTCAGCTGTGAATACATTTCACATATTGAGATTTTTTTCCTCCTCATCTGACAGCTAGTGCTCTGATATTCTGGGGAAAAAATATATATGTATTTTTATTTTACCATTAAAGAATAAAGATATATTGAGCACCTACTGAGTCACATTAGCCATGCAGTATGCCATGTTTGTTTAAACACATGCAGGTCCCAGAGGCTGCTTACAGCACTGTCACTCAGCCTAATGGTTTTACACGCAGAGCCTGGATGCTAGAGCAAGCTCAGTAAATTTGTGTTTACAGCCAGCACAGCCCTTCAGAAAAGCTAGGAAAAATC
Organism: Homo sapiens; assembly: GCF_000001405.40. Taxonomy (NCBI): domain Eukaryota; kingdom Metazoa; phylum Chordata; class Mammalia; order Primates; family Hominidae; genus Homo; species Homo sapiens. The sequence goes on from NC_000005.10 coordinate 116,428,707, forward strand.
CATTGCTACCTGCGTGTGCTTCACAGGAAAGGGTCCTTGTCTTCTGATCCCTCTGATACCCTCTGTATGCCCAGGTAACACAAGGAAAATGGCTTATGGAGACCCAGTATGGGCTGGACACTTTTCTTAAATTGTCTAATTCAATTATCTCCCATAAACACCCTCTTATTTTTTTTACATGAGGAAATTGAGGCTCAGAAAGTTTAAGCAATTTCTCTAAGCTGCTCAACCTGTAAGTGGTAATTACTGAACTCCAGAATCAGGCTGTGCTCACTCCTTCTGTCCTTAGATGGCACTTGAGAAATTTTCCAGAGGGCAGATATTGCCTCTGTGTGCATGGAGGCTCCAGGGAGCACAGGTAAGCTATGGCCTGCTTGAGCAGCATGGCTACCAGGTCTCCTTGCACAAAGGCCACCACAGTTACAGATCCCAGACTCTGGGCTCCAATCCCAAGTCACAAGGCTGAGACACAGAGAAACTGGCCAATCTCTGCCGGGTGCTTGAACTGGAGAGTGATGTGCTTTGGAAGCTCAGGCTGCCTTTCTAGAGCAGCCACATTAGATCCGTGTGCAGAGACTCAGAGAGTGGTAGTTTTGGGGGCTGAACTAAGTCAGGACACTAGAGTCCAGGGTGCCACAGAAAGAGAAAGTGCCCTGCTTCTTGAATTTGTAATTCTAGGTTTCAGGCCCTCATAAGAACCAGTGAATTCTTGCATCAGGTTCTTTGAGATATAGTCATTGCTCAGTATTTTCAGGGGATTCATTCCAGGACCCCCACAGATATCAAAATCCTCAGATTCTTAAGTCTCTGATATCAAATGGTATAGTATTTGCATGTAACCTATGCACATTCTCCTGCATAATCTAAATAATCTCTAGGTTACTTATGATACCTAATACAGTGTACATGCTATGTAAATAGTTGTTATACTGTATTATTTTAAATTTTGTGTTATTTTTAATTTTTAAAATATTTTCAATTAGTGATTGGTTGAATCCATGGATGCTGAACTTGTGGATATGGAGGGCCTTACTCAATAAACCAGATAAGAGCCCCTTGTATTGGTTTGGAAGACAAGAAGATGGAAGGCTTACCTTATGCACATATAAAAATAAACTTAAGAAAATAGAGAAAGTTGATGAAGAAAAGCAAAAACATTTTTGCACCCTATATCCTCATAACAAATCCCGATTTTACCTAATTAAACTGGGCTGAATACGTTTCTATGATTTGTAATCAAATGAATCTTTATGTATGTCATGCTAGTTTGGCCCCCAAGTTGTACTCTGTCCAGAAGGCCCAGTGACCTGTCCTCATGAGTCACCAATGTCTTCTGGCAGGTCTAGGCTGACCTGGCTGAATAATGATGCCTATAGCCCCACTCGTTTGAGGCAGAAGGCTCATACAGTAGCTTCCACCTCCGGTCTCACCACCATGTGTGCCAATATGTGCTTCTCCCTCAAACTGCACTTAACTCCAGGCCTTACTGGATATAAGTATTTCTAGTGCCTTTATTTCCAGAGCTCCTTCCAACTGACAGCCTGGGCCTGGGCCTTGAAGGGCACTTCCAGTGGGTGTGGCTATGTTCAGGCATGAGCACCAATCATTGAGTACTTCCTTCTAAAGATCCTGGGGAAAAAGGTGTTGATTGATCTGGCTTGGATCACCTGCCCACCACTTTGTTAGGAGAGTACCAGCAAGTTTAATTAATGGTCCCATCAAGATTGTAACAAGGAGAACATTAACTCTCCAAGGAAAGATAGGATGCTGTTGTCAAAAAAAGAAGCCAGGAGACATGACGTCCAAAGGCCCACGGTGCCTAGGAAACCAGCTCAGTTCCGTTCTGCCGCTGCCTGAGGATGTATGTGTTTCTTCATGTTCACTTGCCCCTTATGATACCAAGGCAAACGGGAAGGGTTGCCTTTTTCGTTCCCCACATATCCCACAGGGTGCTTTTAAAATTGGATTTTCTGTCTTCACATGAAGTCCTCATATTCATTTGAATCTAGTTCAACCTGCATTAAAAAAATGTGTCGGGTGGGGTTGCGAGGACCACCCCCCCCCCAAGGCCCTGCCGTGTCGTTCGGCATGAGCTTGGGTCCCATAAGGAGGGTCCGCCTTAAGGAGGACCCTTAAGGAGGACCCCCATAAGCCTGGGTCCACCTTAAGGAGGACCATGGTGTGTGCCAGTCTGCTTTTGCTGGTTTGGAATTTCCCATTTCCCTAGGCTACTCCTCACACAGTGTCCCATCTAAAAAGGCAGTGATTCCATCTGTTTCGATGACCCTCAAGACTCCCACGCAAATTCTCTTCCTCAAAGATTCCAAATGAGAAACAATGGTATTGTTTTCAGCTTGAAGAGGTTTCCTCCCCGAATGTCATGTCTACCCAGACTCAGTGGTTGTGAAGAAAGTTGTGGGGCAAGCTAGCAGGGAGCCCCCCATCCACACTGTCCCCTTAACTCACTGCCTTATCCTCAGGTGAGGCAGGACAGAAGCACCTGCAGAGTGAGGAGTTTTGTTTGAGGCCTCAGCTCCTTCCTCCCCTCACCCACCCACAAAAAGGTTCCAAACTTCTTTAAACCAACATTTTGCTTTTCATCTTAAATTTTTGAATAAGTGAAACTGAAGCTTTGACGCCTTATTTATTTTAAAATCAAATTTAACTCCTTCCCACACAGCCCAGATGTTCCTTCACTTTTCCTATTTTGATTTTCTCTTGACACGAGTAATGAATGGTGGAAATCAAGGCCCATAGAGGTGTCACTGCAGACAGCCTTGTGCCCCTTAACATGTTGCTGACCTGCAGGTTCTCCCAACACTTCATCCTGAGCTTCTCTGCCACCTCCAGCCCCTGATGGTCTTGCATCTGAACTTGGGAAATGTGTTAGTTTGCTAATTCGGGCATGATTCTGTCAGCCTGCATATGCTGGCACATCAGAGACGGGTGAAGAGCCAAAGTATAAATAAAGCTAAAATAAACGGTATTTGAAGACCTTGAAACAGATTAATTTAGACATGGTTTGAAAAAGAGTGGGCTGGCTTCTTCCTCTTAATTTTTTTATTGGGATTTGGGGATTTTTTTTCATGGTAGAGCAAAATGTTCAAATTCTATTTCTTTAATTTCTTATTTCAAATTGTACCAAAGACTAATGAAGGTGCAACTTGGCTCACATTTTCCTTTGTGTAGGGTGGGCACTCAGTTAACAAGAGGACACTCAGGCTGCTGTGTACAAGAGAGTTTGTTCAACTTTCTAGGTTTCCACTGTAAGGAGAGGAAGAAGCAGATATTAAACACTGTTTAAAAAAAATTAAATAAGTAAAGAGGAGCCCTGGTCCTTGAACTACCTCTAAGAGATATCGTATTACATTTTTTCAGTGTTTCCTAGGAAACCAGCTCAGGGTAAAAATGTATTCTTTGTCTTCTGCTCTTTGCAAAATTGTTTGAACCATCATATCTCATAAAAGGTTGCTTCACAGGCAATTTGAACAGCATTAAAAAAAAGCTTAATCTGCAGTTTGCTGCACGAATGAAGGCGATACACCTTTATCGGAGGTTGAATGCTTCAGATTATATTTGCTGAAAATGGATAAGACTGTGCCATTATTTCTGAAGCATCTGTGAAATCAAATCTTGTTGTCTTTTTCTCCTCCAAATCATGAGTCTTCTGCCCCTAACAAACCCAAGTTGCATTAAAAAAAACTCCTAAAATAGTTTTAGAAGATTCTTATCAGCACTTACACAGCAGAGCATTAATGAAGAGAGAAATAAACACCTCTCCGTCTCGTGCTGTCTCTCTCTCTCTCTCAGGCTTGTACTCAGCCAAGATCTCTATGCATCTGCTTAGTCTCCAGAGCTGATGTGCTTGTGTGTCCCTAGTGCCATCATCCAGGTCAGAATTCCTTGATGCCCACTCTGCTTTCTTGGGCTACCTCTGATTTATATTCCACTATCTTTGTGTGTTCAGTTGTTATTGTGGTTTTGCAAATGACTGAGGTACTTGACTGTGTGCTAGGGTGGGGTTCTAGTAAGGGTCAAGGGTTTAGGGTATTAAAAGTTTAATGTTTTGTTTTAAACACTTCAAATGTCATCTACTAACTATATCTTATATGTTAAAGCTCTTTGGAAAACAGAACGAGCATCTCTGCAGTATTGATGTGGTTGTGCACATATGGAATATCTGTGGGATTGGCTGCACGTTGTTATTGTGTATTGTTGGAAGAATGTTGCTAAGCGATTAGTCTGACTCTCTTGTGTTATTAATCACATAGGCTCCTGCAGTGTTGCCTGTCTCTTGGTTTCTGATAGGCACTCTTTGTCACGTTAAAAGGATACCCTGTCCCACTTCACCTAATAAGACAAAATGATTAAAAGCACTGGCTATGGGGTCACCCAAATATATACCATGGGCCCACCAATTACTAACTCGGTGAGTACAGCAAAGTTCTTTAATTTCTCTGGCCTTCAGTTGCCTTATCTGCCAAAGGAAGTAACAAAAGGTACTTACCTAATAGTATTCTTGTGAGGATTAAATGACCTAATGTCCAGAGAACACGTAGCCCGGTTTCTGCAGGACACCTGGTGAGTGTGTAATTTATGCTACAACTATTAGGACAACTATGTTATTCACTAGTAGTAATTTTGTTTAAGTGGTGCATGGATACTCAACCTTTACTATGTTATGTCTAATAATGATAACTCCATTCAGCAAATGATTTATTGTGCCCCTTAATTTACCAGGCTCACTGTAGGCTCTGGGCTTATAAAGGTAAAAAAGATGCAGTTCCTGCCCTTGATATGCTTATAGTCTAATGGGGAAGCAGAGCTTTCCAATGCATTGTATGTTAGAAACCTTTATGCACAGGGTGCTTTGGGAGAGGAGAGAAGAGCACAACACTGCCAGGGAGCTCAGGGAAGGCTTGGGGGAGGCAGGATGCCTAAACCAGCTAACAGGCATGTGCAGTGGTTAATTACTATATACATATATAGCACACATATATATACACATACACATATAGACATATATACACACGCATATATATGCATATGTGTATATATACACACATATTTATATGCATATGTGTGTGTATATATATACACTTTCCCTTTTAAAAAAATTAAAACAATTTAAAAAATTTTAATTGACAGAGATGTTCAAAGTGTACAATGTGAAGATTTAATATGCATATATAGTGTAATCATTACATTAATCAAATTAATTAACACTTATCACCACCCATGCTGTACCTCAGATCCCCAAAACTTATCCATCTTATAACGGAACATTTGTAGCCCTTGACCAACATCTCCCTACTTCCCCTACCCTGTCAGCTCCTGGCTACCACCATTCTACTCTCTACTTCTATGAGTTCAACTGTTTTAAAGTCTACATCTAAGTGAGATCATGCAGTATTTGACTTTCTGTGTCTGATTTATTTCACTTAGCACAATGTCCTGCAGGTTCACCCATGTTGTCGCAAGTGACAGGAGACCCTTGTTCTTTATGGCTGAATAACATTCAGTTGTATATATGTACCAGAATTTGTTTATCCATTTATCCATTAATGGACACTTAGTTTGTATCCAAATCTTCGCTAGTGTGAATGTTGCCGCAATGAACACGGGGGTGCAGGTAGTGCTTCATCATATTGATTTCATTTCCTTTGAATATATGCCCAGAAGTGAGATTGCTGGATCATATGGTAGTTCTATTTTTAATTTTTTTGAGGAACCTCCATACGGTTTTCCATAATGGCTATACTAATTTACAGTTCCACCAACAGTGTACAAGGGGTCCCTTTTTCACACCCTCACCAACACTTGTTATATCTTCTCTTTTTCATAATAGCCATCTTAACAGGTGGGAGGTGATATATCATTGTGGTTTCAACTTGCATTTCTCTGATGATTAGTGATGTTTAGCAGTGTTTAATATAACTGTTGACCATTTGTATGTCTTCTTTGAAAAATGTCTCCTTGTGTCCTTTGTCCAATTTTTAATCAGGTTTTTTTTTTTTGCTTATGAGTTTTGTGAATTCCTTGTATATTTTGGATATTAATCCCTTTTCGGTATATGGTTTGCAAATACTTTCTCCCATTCCTTAGACTGCCTTTTCATTCTGCTGAGTGTTTCCTTTGCTGTGCAGAAGGTTTTCAGTTGTTAGTTTTATGTAGTCACACTTGTCTATTTTTGCTTTTGTTGCCTGGGCTCTTTTCTTTTCTTTTCTTCTCTTTTCTTTTTCTTTTTTTTTTTTTTTTTTTTTTTTTGACAGGGTTTCACTTTGTCACCCAGGCTGGAGTGCAGAGGTGTGATCTTGGCTCACTGCAATCTCCACCTCTCAGGTTAAAGTGATTCTCCTGCCTCAGCCACCTGAGTAGCTAGCATTGCAGCTGTGCACCACTACGTCCGGCTAAGTTATTATATTTTCAGTAGAAATGGGGTTTCACTGTGTTGGCCAGGCTGGTCTTGAACTCCTGGCCTCATATGATCCATCCGCCTCGGGTGGATCCCAAAGTGCTGGGATTACAAGCGTAAGCCACCACACCTGACCCATGCTGTTACTTTCTTATCAGAAAAATCATTGACAAACCATTGTCAAGGAACGTTTTCCCTATGTTTTCTTCTAGGAGTTTTACAGTTTCAGATGTTACGTTTAAGTCTTTAATCTCCCTTGTTTACAACAATAATGCACACTCCTGAATTTCAGAAGAGCACAGGGCCCTGAAGTGTGCATTTTCCAGCCTCCCTTGCTGCTCATTGTGGCCCTGGGATTATGTTCCTGCCCATGGGGTGTGAGCTAAGTGCTCCATGCAACCACTGGGGTTACCCCTTAAAAATGACTCAGCATGCTCTTGCACCCACTCTCTCTTTGGCCTTCCTATTGACTAAGAAATTGGCACAATTAGAAGAGCTGCTTGAACCTGAAATGGAAGCTACTCGCTGAAGACTAAAGAGCTGTCCCACAGTCCTGGACCATGGGCTTCTGGGCTGCTACATGAGAGTGAAATCAATTTCTATCTTTTTTTTTCAGCCTCCGCATTCTGGGATTACAATTTACAAGTCTGTACTTTAATAGACATGAGTATGGTCTCTTGCAATGAATCAGAAATTGGGACATATGTCTTGTACCCCTAGATCTGCCACAAATGAGCAGTGTGCATTTGAGCAACCTCTTATGTCTTGGTTTATTCTTCTTTAAAAGGTGGGTGTTGAACTAGATCTTTCAGCACCATGAGAAGTATAATAATGACCATCACATATTTGGTATAATGCTTTATCGTTGAAATAAGGCAGAGCTTTCTCCTTGTAAAGAATGTCACAAACTCTTGGGACAAGAGACAGGGATAAGTTTAGGACTGAGTAACTGCTACTTCTATCCAGACCATCTGTAGCTCAGAATGGAAACACCTGGGGCCTGGACAGGGCAGCACCACAGATGTGCTTAGGGAAAATGGCTGTGAGTGTACCAGTTCAAAGAGCATGGCACCAAAGTAGACAGGCAAGCCAAGGCCACCAGGTTTCATGTACTCATGTCCATGAGTGTAAGCCTCATGGACCGAACACAAGGAGTGTTTACAATTGTGCTTCCTTCAGTGCACCGTGGGCCTCATTCTCTAGGCCTCAGTGTCCTGGCTGGAGGCAAGAGTTTGGGCTGAGCAGTCAGGAAGAGCACCAGGTGGTAAAGGGAGGCAGAAGTCAGTGAGAATGAGGTAGTAGGGGGAGCTCCACTCCAGAGGCGGGGGCTTAGCATGGGACCAGATTGATGACTAGCTAAAAGAGAGCCTAAGCAGAAGCAGCTTTCAATCTTACACACCCACCAGTAGCCACATCCATTTGTCATTGCCATGGCAACACCTAAAGTGACCATCCCTTTCCATGGCAATGAACCAATGACCCCAAAGTTACTACCTCTGCCCTAGAAATTTCTGCATAAACCACCCCTTAATCTGCATGCAATTACAAGTGGGTATAAATATGACTGGAAACCCCTGAGCTGCTACCCTCTGCCTAAGGGGTAGTCCTGCACTGCAGGAGCAGTCATGGAGCTGTAACACTGCCTCTTCAATTAAGCTGTTTGCTTCTACCTCTGGCTTGCCCTTGAATTCTTTCCTGGGCAAAGCCAAGCACCCTCGTGGGCTAAGCTCCACTTTTGGCTCGCCTGCCCCGCATCAAGAGCACAACCAGCTCTCCCTGGACTCTTCATCTGGGAATGGACAAGGAAGACAGCATTACAGTGTGTGGAGCCCCCCAGGCCTTGATGTGGGCATCACGTGGCTGAGATGGCTTCATCTGTGAAAAGGAGCCAGAACTCTTTATCAGGCTAGGCAGGGCTTTTGTTTAACTGGTCCCTCTGGCTGCTTTTGTTGACAGATAAGGAGTATTTACGGAAGAGAAAAAAGACATTTTCATTATCAGCAGGATGGGAACTCAAAGTCATTTAATTTGAAGATATAGAAGGCTGGGATCTCATTTTATACACCACATTGGAGAAGAGGGGCATATCCTGTTAGAGAAGAGGTGGAACATTCACCTCATTTGACTTTTACACACTCCTGTGAGGTAGGCAGGGCAGCCATCATTAAGTCCATTGCACAGATGAGGAAAATGAGGTGCCAAGAATTTGAATGACTGCCCCAAATGATGACCCACAAATGGTGAGGCCGGCTCAGACTAGAACCCAGGCCCACAAGACTCATGACGTGATGCGTTTTCTTCTAAGCTACTTTGCCTTGTGGGAAGGGAAAACTCCAAGCTGCCAAATTAAGAATCACTGTCCCTAAGGGCTTTAGGGGCTGGCCTTTGTGGGGCTGGTCTTGGAGTACCTTGGCCTCACAACACACCTTCCCCGAGCCGCACTCATCCCTGAGCCCAAATCTGTCTGCTGCTCTGCCTAGGTAATTAGAGAGGATTGTTTTAGGTCACCCTTTCCTGAAGACAAAACAATCCCTTTGGTTTCTCGATTAGAAAGCCCAACAGATTGAGTGACAAGGAAAAGTTTTTGATCTTGCTATTACAGTCACCTAATTAAAATGAGATGCAGATGCTCCAACACCTAGTAATTTTCACCTCACTTACTTTGGCTTCAATTACAGCCCTTCCCTACTGACTTACACTGTTTAAATTACAAAGTTAGAAGGAAATATGACTATTTACCTGTTTCTATTCATACATATAAGTCTAACACATTATCTTTTCTCCCCAAGCATGAAATGTGATCACAGGCCTTCTCTTCACCCTGGAAATGAGGGGAATAAATCTTTGGTTCTTAAATAAAGTTAAACACAAATAAGAATTCAAATCAGCCAACACCTACATCAGTCTTCAAGAGACAACTTTGTTTCACACAACACACACACACACACACACCACTTTGGAATATATAATTTCCTTTCTAAAGTTGACTGGCTATGGACTCTGACCCTTCTGATCAGGGAAAGTTAATTGTTTCCAGAGTAGTTACCTTTATTGAGTACATAATTAAGTAATCATTGCAAGGCAGTTGGAATTACATATATATTTTATACCAGAGCTGCCATAATTGATTGCAACCAAGCCTCCCTATTCACTAAAAAGCATATTTGTGTTCTGAGAAAAGGCTTTGTTTACTACAAACAGGGCTTCAATTGTCTCACAAACAAACAGCAACAAGCAAACACAAAGAGAACAGTGGGAGTTCTAAGGAGAATGCCCATTTTCTCCTCCCTCTGAGTGGAATCTGTCTGAGGTCATCTGTCAAAGGGGTGAGTGGAAGATGCTGGCTTATTCAGAGTGCTGTAGCATAGGTCTGTATGATGACCAGCCAGGGACTGCTGCCCCAAGGGCAGGAGGAAGGCTGGGCACCCAAATTCAAGAAGATGGTGCTGCCTCTCTTGCACCGTGTGCACTTACAGCTCACTAAGTCAAGGAAGGCTTGTCTGTGTCAGTAGCAATGTGGAATGAGGGGTAGCAACATGGAGGAGGAAGACAGGTTCCTAAGCAGAGCTGAGCTCTGCCTTCTGTCTCCTACTGGAAGATTTTTCTAGGCACTCAACCAAATCATTCAATCGTCGATATCAGGGGTAAAGTCGGATGGTTGCTTTGGTACCCATTGTGCCAAAGTGACCATGAAGCTGAAGTGAAATGACAACAGTGGATATTTCTTACATGCCTCTTACTTTCAAACTAACTTTACCTCCGTGTTCTGTGACGGGGAGGCTGGACAAGTTCTTCACCCTTCTGGGTACAGGGCATTTCTTCTTCTCTGCTTTGATTCATCCTGGGTCCTTAGAAGCTTCTTAAAAGTTTTTTTGTGATTATCTGTGGCCTGGGCAGGATGAAGCAGCTACAAAAGCTGAGCCTTTCATCCTTTTTCTTTCACAGAGGCAGTTGGTGTTGCAGCCCCTAAAGTGTCAGGGTGCGCCCCCAGAAGGGAGGTCCTGACTTAGGCTCCAGCTCCCTCTTTTCCTGCTTTGTTGACAGTTCCTAATAACACTGCTGGCATCAGGGCTCTGCAGACGCAGGAAGGAAGAGATGTGTTCTTTAACGATGGAAAAATATTAGAGCACAATGCTCTCAAAATAGAATGTGTGTGCCTAGCCTTTATTTTGGGGACTTTATTGTTGTAACGGTCTCTCCTGGGAAATGCTGTAGGAGACTTTTCCCCTTCACTCAAGCGGAGTAATTGTGTAACCTAAGGTGTCCCCAAGACAGCTGAGGGGGGGTGATGTCGACACACAGGTTTTTGAAATATGACTACATTATTATGTTGATCAGTGCTCAATAGATCCCTTCTCTCTAAACTCCTGTTTCTTTGAAGTGGGGACAATCATATATATGCTGCCCACCCCACTAGGCTGTTATTAGGATTAAGCAATATAATGGACGAGATTGTATCTGCAAGCTGTAAAGTGCTACAAATGCAAAATGTCGTTGCTGGCAATTGGAAGCCCTGCCCCCTTCTAGGGGGTGGGGGGTACCCTTCCACTTTTCATTTTTTATTAAATAAACCTTAGCCATATTACTGAAATTCACACTTCTGCTTTGACATGGGACTAGATGTGCAAAATGTTCAGTATTCATGCCAGAGAACTGATACGAAGTTTTGCTAAGAGCAGCCCACTTTCTCAGCACCCCATAATGTGTGTGGTAAGGACAGTTGTCGTGATGCACAGGAAAAAAGAGAGTAGTTGGCTCATGAAATGGTTGTTCATCATCTTTCTCATCCTGGGAAACCCCTAGGAATCTGCATGAGTTTCTTTCATGTTAGTGTCCTGGCATTTGATATTTTATCCAATGTCACCCTCTTCTGTTTTTTTTTTTTTTTCCTCTTGAAATCCATCAATGAAAAGTGCTTCTGATTTCATGGTTACCCACTTTCCCCCTTCATTAGCTTCCCCTTATTTGGACCATTATTGCAGTCCGTTAGCAGGACGGATGACTTGCTTTGGGAATGACGTTAATGATTCTCAAGAGAGTCTTTTATCTGAAGGTGATTAGGAAGAATGAAAAAGTTGTTAGCTGCCTCAGCCAGTGCCAATGGGCTGGCAGGGACCTGTGTCTCGTCTCCTCTGCAAACGTCCTGGGTCCCATTTCTTAAACCATAGTTTATAACACTCACCTTTGACCAGAAAGTGCTTAGGTGGGACCCATGTTTTACCAGAGAAAGGGTAGAAAGCCCTCCCAAAAGGACCACTTGGTCAGTAGACATGGGTTCCAACCTCTGTGACATTTTTGATACTAGACACCAAGAGGAAAAAGCCCCGTGACATTTGTGCATGCACATGTGTGCATGGATGTGTTTGCAGAGGGGAATGGGAAACCCCCCACCATTCAGCTGCCTCTCTTGATTTGCTCAAATTTCATTTCCATTTGCTAGAGGGACATCTGCACGTTTCCCTGCCAGCCACATTTAATGCACATCAGTTCAGCCCTAACCCTCTGCAGAGGTCAACCGCCCCCTAACTCCAGGCATCCCCGGGGGGGTTAGAGTGAGGGATACACAATACTCTAAATGGAATATTGAAGATCCCCATCTGTCTGGCAGTCCCAATCAATAAATGTGAGCCCTTCCTTCCCACTTCTGTACAAGAGACAAGTCATCACCTGGTTTCAAGACAAGGGAGAGATGCGGGTTTCTAAGAGTTACTGAGTCCAAGCACCCAGCTGTCACAGGGCTGAGCCAGGAAAAGGATTATGCTCTTAATCATGTTATTTTGTTACTAAAGCGTTCTTTTAAATTCCCCTCACCACTTCCCCTCAAGCAAAATGTACCAGTGTCTGAAATTAGAGGTGCTTTTCTGACACTTTTACTTGCTGAATGACTTTTTGTTGAAAGAGCTTTTGTTCAGGCAGTAAAACCTAGGTGCTGGGGTCCAGGAGCATCTTATTTGGCTTCTGCCAAATTACAAGGCTGAACAATGAGACCAGTTTGTGTTTATCTGACATGGGCCTTTAGGAAAACATTCAGGTCCAAGATGTCATCTCTGATTCCATGAAACACCTAGCCTGGTAGCTGCATCAGGACAGCCACTGCTTTGGAGAAACAGTCTAAAAACCTTGTAACAATCAAGCTAGCAAGCAAACACAATTAAAAATCAGGGTTGTCTGAGGCAGTTTTCGTGTCTGAGCAGGGACATCCGGGGGGCCCCAGCTAAAATACTGGCTGCACCTGTTCAGCCTCTTTCACCTCTTCAGCAGCCCAGAACAAAGCTGACTGCAGCAAAAGCCACCAGATCAAGTATCAGGTTGCACTGCAGGGACTTTATACCTCAAGCCCATGTGATCCAAGCTTTTTTCCAACCCCATGCCTTGACCCAAATGAGGGGATCTAGGAAGCCCAGCTTGTGAAGGGTGGGTGTGTATGAAGGGCTTCCTGTGAGAAAGGATGACTGAGAAAGATGCAGATGCTGTCTAGATGGGTGAGCAGGATCAAGTCTTTCTAGCTAGTATTGCTCTACTGATCTGAATGAATTGGGGAAAGAGACCATGAATTTGTCTTCAGAATAGCTGCTCTACCACTAGTTTTGGAGCATGAGCAAATCCTTTCACTCAGTGGACCTCAACTTCCCCCAGTTTTTTGTTTTTTTGTTTTTTTTTGAGATGGAGTCTGCTCTGTTGCCAGGCTGGAGTGCAGTGGCACGATCTTGGCTCACTGCAGCCTCCGCCTGCAGGGTTCAAGTGAGTCCCCTGCCTCAGTCTCCTGAGTAGCTGGGACTCCAGGCACACGCTACCACGCCTGGCTAAATTTTGCCTTTTAGTAGAGGCGGGGTTTCACCATGTTGGCCAGGATGGTCTCGATCTCCTGACCTCGTGATCCGCCCACCTCGGCCTCGCAAAGCTTCCCCCATTTTTAAAATGAAAGGGTCATACTAGAGGTTGGCCATTCTGTCAGTTCTAGATAAGACATTTGGGTATAACCGGGCAGGGCTAACCTGTCAATTACATACAGTGGAAGTTCTTTCTGGCAAAAAGGACTCAGCTCTGTGACTGTTCCTTTTTGCATCTGAAATTGGATGTGCGGTTTTCACTTGTGTTGCTCTCACCCACTTGGCATGCCATCTGGCACACTGCCCAGCTGGCCTGCAGTCCCTCTCTAGGCCAATTCACTTCCCACATTATGGCCAGGTAGCTTTCCCAAGCACAAACGGTGTCTGTTGTTTTATTTACTCCAAAGCAAGGGAGCACTCCACTGCTTCAGCTAAATTCCTAGCATATGGGAACCAGGTCCCTCCTGGCCTGTCTCCAACCACCCTTTCCCAGACTTGCCCTGCCAAGCTCTCACAGATCCTGCACAAGGCCTGCTGAACCTTTTGTTTCCCAAAGAGCACACTTGGTGCCTTTGCAAAGGATGTCCCCTCTGCCTGAGCTAGTTGTTCAGAAAACTTGTTCTTTAAGAACCAGCACAAATATTGTTACCCTAACCTCTAGGGAGCTTCATCAGTACTTTGTTCGTACCTCCAAATGGCAACTACAAGGGCCATGTCGGTCTCTCTTTGCAAATGAGGAGGTAGAAACTATATTCTAGTCAACTTTGTGCCAGGCGCTATGGATGTAATTCAAGAAACACAATTGGAGATGGCAATCTAAAGGTTACTGGGCCACTATAGGTATGAACTGAGGCCTCAACCTGCAGCTTCCCACACTCAACTGACTTAAAGCATCAAAAAAAAAAAAAAAAAATTTCAGAGGGTCAAAAGTAAAATACTGTAGCTGAAGACTTATTTAAATAATTGTTTTAAAAACACCCCTAGAGGAAAACCTGACCTAGGCATTTCATAATGCTCTTTTGCAAAAGAAATAATGCTCTTTTTGCAAAATAATGCTCTTTTTGCCAAAGAAAAATCAAAGGCTGTGTCCCAATATACCTCCAATATACCCTCTGTGTTACAAAAGATAAATGCTAACAAGGAGTAAAATCCAGCCCCCTCCACCTTATTAATATGTAAGAAGACTGAAGTCACATCTGTGCAAGGATCTATTTTTAGTGGACCCTACATACTAAAATCCTAGCCTTGATCTCTTAAACTATCAAGCCTACCATAAATGTTTGATGATGAACAAGCCCATAAAAAGAAAATGCATAAAATGAATAGAAGGAGCCAATGCATGCTCTGCTTTTTAATTACCGGTGGCTTCTGCTAAAATCCTGCTCCAGGCTGGGTTTGAGCAGAGAAACACGTCAATAATTTGGGTGGGGGTGGCTGGGTGTGGACACTGCAAACAAATACATCAAACTATACCGTTATGTATGCTTTGGAAGCCAGATACAAATGGAGGAAAGAGTAGCATCATACCCACAAAGGGTGGGGAGGAGAGCAGCTTAAAAAGGAAAAATTAAGAGATAAATAAAAGCATTCAGGACACAAAAGATAATATAGAACAGTCAGGTTTTATTACTTTTAAGTAATAAAGAGCCTTTTCCTTGCTTTTCTTTTTTCCCTTTTTTTCTTTTCTTTTTTCTTTTCTTACAACATACATTAAGTCGTGAATCAGATGTTAGGGGATGTGGAGATGGAAGGAAAATTGGTGACATCACAATATTTTTACAACTTTACAACAAATATAAATCTGAGTTTGTTGCATCTACCAGTGTCTAGCAAGGGTGGAAAGCAAAGGCACACTCGGGTTTATGGACCCTCCCCCCACACACAGTGGGGAAAAAAACTGGGGAGAAATACTTAAATGCAGAAGACCAGCTCAATACATGTGGGTATTTTAGGGTTAACACCAGAAGTGATGGGTTGTGGGGGTGTAGGAATGTGGATGTAAGTTTTGACACAGGTCTCCTTAACAGCTGAGGCAGTGATGCCTACAAACACTGGACAAGACAGCCGCTTACGTCAATGATGGGTGCTGCACTGCCAGTACTCTCGGGAGTCAAGCATGGGAAAGAAGGGGGCAGGGGGATACAGACCCATCACCTTCCTAATTTCTGCATTTCTAGAGAAAATTCAAGGAAGAAAACAATATTTCAGGTTCTAGGAAATACTTCAGGGTTTCAGGAGACAGAGTTCACAGGATGTGAACATGGATTCCATTACAAAAGCCAAAAAAAAAAAAAGTAAAAACAACAACAACCACCTACTCCTAAACAACAGCAAAACTAATGGACTTTTGGAACAAAGGGCTCTCACCCACCCTCAGCTAAGTACTCAGGTCTGAAGGCAACCACACTGATTATGGAGGCTCCACTTTTTCACTATCCAACTCAAAACTGTCATTGTCAGTCTTTTTTTGAATTCTTTTTAAAGACAAAACTAAACCCAGAAGATCGAACTGGAAATAAAAGCAGACAAAGAGACCACCAAATATACTGTTTAAAAAAACAACAACAACACTGCTCATGGTTTACAGTATGTGGACAGTTCCTTTGTTCATGATAGAGTAAACAAAAGTCCCTTTTGTGTGCTTGAGCAAATGAAAACCAAGAGGAGAAAAACACACACCACCTCCCATCCCCTAAAAACATAATTAACAAAATAAAAAATAAAATAAAAAATCCTTTGCCCCAGTCAACGTTTTTGCAGCATCCATTGTGGTCGGCCTTGTACTTGGAGTTACTCGTTAATCACAGCAGGGACCAGCCTGCCTGCATCTATTTCCATGTCATTTCTTTGTGTGCACTGCACGTGTGTGCTGTGCACATGGCTTGGAGACTCCTCCCAGGTGTCTGCCCAACCGCGCACCGCCTGCTCTCTAGCCAGTGGACGCAGCAGAAAAGAGGAATGGGACGTTAGTCCCTTTTCTGCTAGCAAATAAGGATATCACCGTATTGAAATAATCTAAGGGAAGCAGGGAGCTCTTGAGGATGAAAGGGGATTTGACACACCCACAACAACACTGGGGTCCATGCTTCGCAGCACAGCCAAAGGGTGGTTCCAGTTGGCACAACTAGAAGGCAGTGTGAATTGGAGGGTGTGGTGCTGCCCAGCGTTCTCAGGCTGTCGCATGACAACTATCACCACTGCATTCTTCCATCTGCTTGACTCCAATCTTTCAGAGGGCTGGAAGTGGGGCAGAGGGTGGGGAAGGGAGGGTTAAATAAATATCTGCACTTATTTCAAAAGGGGGAACAGTTGATCATAAAGAGTTTACAAGTGTACACAACTCAAGGTGTAAGGCACAAATTTACATGTGGAAAACAGGCTATTCACAGATGTAACCCCACGAAGAACCCGTGTGATCAAATCATTAATTTATGCAAGGTAGCAGCCAGCATATTAGTTCACACCATTTGTGGATTTTGTTTGCTGTCTCACATGCAAGGTGAAATGGGATGGCATATTGCAAGCTGGTGCCTTCACAGAAAGTCAGAACCATGGACAAAACCATGTTGGCATCAATGAGATATGATGTGCCATTCTAAAAGCTTTCTCTCCTGATTGCTTTAGAAATTAGGATCTGGAAGGACTTTAACATGAATTAGTTTTTTTGCATGTTTATAGGCCAGAGACCTGACCAGGCAATGAACTGATAGATTTAAATAAATATTCCCCTCCTAACTTTTTCCTTTAGCTACAGACCAGACAGTCCAAACACAAAGCTCAGAATTCCAGCTCCAACTTATTTACTCAGTGAATTTATTGTAAAAATAAAGAAACTCAATTATTCCAGTTAATGGATTTCACGTTAAATAGTTTAACTTTCAATGGGCTTTCTGAAGAGCTGTTCATAGGATGATATTTGGAAGAGTCCTTTCCTTAAGGAAAAAAAGGGTGAACAATAAATAAAGAGTTACTTGCGTTAACGGTCACGTTATTTCATTAAAAGAGAGGAGGAGCAGAAATCTATGACATAGTTGCCCAACATGGCATTTATCTGCTGCAACAGAAAGCTGTAACACTGGCGGGCATTTCACAGTATTTGCGCATAGTAAACTTCTGCCATTGTTAAAGTCTGAGTTAGAATTATCAATGAATTCTTTTTTTTTTGTCTTTTTAAATTTTCTTGATTTTAAAAAATGTATTTGTGTTTTGCAGGTTGGAACGCAAACCCAGTCTGGCCACGTCCCGTGAAGTTGTGGACAAAATGTTTCAGTTTCTGTTCACCTCTGTGCGTGTGTGTGTATGTGTTGTGTGCATGTGTGTGTGTGTGTGTGTGTGGGGGTGGGGGATGGGGTAGGTATGTGCTTTTGGCTCATGTTTGTGATGATAACTGAAGTCTTTTGTGGGTCCGACCTGTTGTAGGGTGTGGGGGAAAGTGAAGGAAGAGAATGAAGGTGAGTCCCCGCCGTTGCAAACCTTCACCAAACCACGCGGCCCAGTTTTCGTGAGTACCCCTGTGTCCCAGAGAGGAGGACCCAGCGTCCTCGGCTCTGCCGCAGGCCTTCTTGGTCTGGTGGGTACTCGAGGCAGTTGAGAACCTTGCTGAGCTGAGCGGGCACCTCGCCTTGCCTGCTGGTTCGACACCTGACCCCCTCCCCCTGGGATTATGTACACGCATCATTGGGCTTCATGGATGTGGAAAGGGGAGCAAAGGATGGTTTGGGGGGTACGTCCGGCTTTAGCGAGGGCGTACGCTTCAGCCCCGACCTTGTCAGTGAGTTGTAGGCGTTGAGGCTGGGCTGCCTCGAGACAGTCACGGCCTGGCCAGATGGCTGGGAGCTGTGCACCTGGATGGAGTCCACCCTCTGCGGGGCGGGCGGCGGGTTGTCTCCCCTGCCAAAGCTCTGGTTTCTGGAGAGGTGAGAGGAATTGGAGGAGTTAGTGTTGTTTCTTTTGAGAGTGGTGGCCTGGTGGCTTCTCGTGAGCGAGTTCGTGGGGTAGCTCCTCTTATAGTCAACCCCGTAGGAAGAGGAGTGGTGCATTTCCAGCCGCTTGCTTAGACCGGTCTGAGACAGGGAGGCTCCCGGGGGACCCAGGGAGGCCTCCCGCTGTGGAACTTTGGGGGGCAGGCTGTCCAGGTTCTCCACAAGGTTCACCCCATGGTTGGGACTCTTGCTGCTGAGATGTTCCTTGATGGTCTTATACTCCAGTGTGGCGGCCTGGTCCTCCAGCGCCATCTGGGCCACCTCGCTCATTTTGGGCTGGTCCACGTACTCATGCTGGTAGCCCTGCTGCGTGATGGGCAGGACCACCACGCTGGGGATGTGGCTGGGGGAGGCCCGCAGGGGCAGGTCCGTGGGAATCACAGGGGAGCCCATGGGGGGCATGTCCTTTGTGCAGGCATTGATGAGGTTCTGGTTCCTCTCCCACTCGCGGCTGCCGCGGCTGGGCTTCCGCTTCTGCTGCAGCGTTGGGGTTGACTCTGGGGTGGGGAGGGCCGTCAGGTCCAGGTGGTGCTGGTCTGCTTTAATGAGCATCTTGGCCGTGTTGCCGGGAGTGGCGAGCTTGCCGTTGTGCATGAGTGGCGTGAGGATGGCCTCCGGCTTTGGGTCTTTGGATTGAGTGTCCCCAAAGAGGCCGCTGAGCTTGGTGACGCTGCTCATGGAGCCCCGGCGCGAGTGGGTGAGCTCCTTCTCCTTGCGCTGCACCACAGCCACGTCTTTGCGCCGATGATCACAGACGCAGTAGACGGTGATGCCCGAGAAGACGGCCCCCATGACGAAAGCCAGGATGACTGCAATGGCCAAGAGGGTGACGGGAACCAGCTGGTCGTGGCCTTTGAGGTAACTTTCCCGAATCACTCCTGCAATAGACATCGCATATGGCGTTAAGAAATGAAAGCACACCCCGAGGCTTGTTTTTGCTTGGCATTCACCTTGTTAATTAATAACAGTAGTAAGTGACAACAGCACCTCTGCACAACTTGTCTTCCAAGCTCAGCTTGCCAAACATTAACCAATTAATCCTCCCCAAGCCCCTCGTGTGCAGTATGTAAATGGACTCCATTTGTAGCCTTCTTTGTTGTCTAAAAAAGTGCTGTTCAGGCCGGGCACGGTGACTCACGCCTGTAATCCCAGCACTTTGGGAGGCCGAGGCGGGTGGATCACGAGGTCAGGAGTTGAAGACCAGCCTGGCCAAGATGGTGAAACCCCCGTCTCTACTAAAAAAAAAAAAAAAAAAAAAAAAAATTAGCCAGGCGCGGTGGCGGGGGCTTGTGATCCTAGGTACTCCGGAGGCTGAGGTAGAGAATTGTTTGAACCTGGGAGGTGGAGGTTGCAGTGAAGGGAGATCAGGCCACTGTACTCCAGCCTGGGTGACAGAGCGAGACTCCGTTTCAAAAAAAGAAAGAAAGAAAAGTGCTGTTCACTCTTTCCAGTACCTGCACTTTCTACTCTGCTTCACTCCAGGGAATATGGGAGGTTTTGGCTTTCAAAAGTTATCTTTCTTTCCTTCTTTATGGCTTTTTAACCTTCCCTTCCTAGAACTGGGATAACCAAGTTATCCTGAGTCTGGAGGAAGAGGCAACAATTTTATGCATGTTAGACAAACAAATCACACACTCTGGGCTTCCAGTTGGGATCTTTTCCGACGGCCCCCTTGTGGCCACCGGAGCCTCCGTCTGGGGAAAAGTGTTTGCCTTTTAAGCAACTAGAGGAAAGAGAGTGTGTGTCATTTTTATTTACACTGAGAGAATATAGCTAAAGTTCACAGACTACAAATGTTTGTGCTGATTTTGCATCACCTCTCAAAAAAAAAAAAAAAAAAAAACAGTGCAAACTCAATTTCAGGTAACTATCCTGAATATTTGAATGAAGCTTTCTCACTGGAACTGAAAGAAGATTCAGAAATAAGACCATTTGGGGCCCTGTAGTGGGTTTGAGAAGTGTTAGGTACCATTATTGCACCTAGAGTTTGCTGTCACAGTGGGATTTTTCAGCAGAGCTAATCTCTTCAATTTAATAAAAATTATGTGACTACACCCATCCGTAATCTTACACTACATTAACCAGGATTCAGTGTTTCTGAAGGAAGGTGCTTTCGCTATTCCTGCTTAATCAGCCACCCAGCTGAGTGACTCTAATCAAATGCAAACACAGAAGCTTTTATTTTTTAATACCAAGTGAGAATACACATCACAGTTGTCAGATCTTAAGTGCTTGATGCAGTCGCTAAAAAATAAAATCTCTAATACCTCAATTCCTGCCTCTGGAGAGTGAAAGAACATGAATACATTAGAGGCACTGCATGGGCTGAGGAAATGTAAACATTGTTCCTATTATGGAAATGATAGCAAGACAGAAAAGGTACCTTCTCTGGTCTCGGGAGACGCATTTTTCATCTACTAAATCAACTCTTTCTGGAATATGTTTCATGTATTTTACTGGCAGGTATCAGTGGCACAGAATTAGAATGAAAGGAAATAAAGATCTCTACCCCTTCCCAAGCCCACAACACGCAACCTTAAACTTCTACTGAAATGTTGTCTTTGTCACAGCCGAGACCTTGAAGCTTTCTCATGGGGGTTTTTCTGCTAAAATATTTTGATTTCTGAAGTGATGGTTTTAAAACCCAGAAACCTTAGCCTGAAAAGTACATTCTCTTTTTCTTTCCTTCCTAAGGGTCCTCCTCCCTTCAATTGTGACATCACAGTTGGTTGCTGTGGAAATGATTGTCCTGTGACAAAGGATTGTGACTTAAGTAGAAGCAGCAAATATCTCTTAAGAAATAAAGATTCTGTGATCCAACAAATACCCTTGGTAATAAAAGGCAGTCAAGGCAATTCACCATAAGGAAAGAGTGTACAAGACGGTAAGATATCAAATAATTTTCAAATGTGATACTTTTCAAATATTTCCAGATTTATCTCCATCAGCTTTTAAGGGGTAGAAACTGAGAAGCAAAAAACAGCCGGAAATTTGGCTGTAACTCACACCTTTTATGTGTGAAGCTCCCCAAACAGTGGGGTGTCCTGCATTCAAATATATTTTAGTACCTATTCACCAAGGAAATGTGCTAATGAAAATTTTCTTTCTTAAATTTGCATTTCCTTATTATGCTAAAATAGCTACTGATTTTTCTTCAATTTTGATTATGTATGGGGTTCTACCGAACACCGTTTTTAACCCCCTACATATAATTGCACAAAAATGTACACCTGTGGATAAAATGGTTTTAATTTCTCTCATTGACTTGGTGATTTCAGTGGGAGTTGAACACAGGCTAGACGGCCCCAGTAATGGGGTGGGGGTGTATTAGGTGTTTTTTTCATGGCAATGAGTATTTCATGAAACCCTTCCAGGCTACCAAATTTAGGGGGACTGGATATTCCCAATAAATGTGTATTATAATAGGAAGCTATTTACAATTGACTTTGGCATTCTACAATTTAAACTGCCCTCTCAGTTTAAAAGGAACGTGGAAAGAGTAAAGCTAGAGCAATTCATTGGTTTCACTGGGAAAACTGCAAATTTTTCACATGTATCCATTGCTTCTTAGCCTTACTTTTAGCTCCCAAATATCATTCTTCTTTCATGTCTGAAGGTCCTTGGCTATTTTAGACTCATGAAAGCTACTTATTCTTTCACTGGGAAGAACTCTTTTTTAGTGGATGATATTTGAGTTCAGGTTTTTGGTTGTTAACAAGTTAAGTAGGATCTGACCTTTCAGGAAAATGGTATCTCAGACAGATTTTTTCCCCCGTCTCATTTTGTTATATAAAGAGTGGCCTTAAAAACATTTTTGCATGTCTTCATCTATCCATGGGGAGGCAGAGGGCTTTCCTCATCTGCTTGTGTAAATTCAGAAACGTCCAAAGATGGAAACAGATCAGAGAGTAAGTTGAAAGTGCAGTTGAAGAAGATAAGGTAAACGTTATTTTTGGAAATGCCTTTCAAACTTAAAGCTTTCTGCTTATATCATGAAAAAGGCCAAAGAAGCATTCACAGAAATGATCAAGTCAACTTTGTGGAATAGCCATTGTGAAGGCTTGGAAACAGCAGACTTGTCAGTAGTGGTGATAAAAGCAGCTAGAGAAGATCTCAGTGGGCTTGGAATTGCAGGCTCCCACTTACTGGCTGGGTGACCTTTTGGCAAGTGACTTAACATCTCTGGGCCTCAGTTTTTTTATCTGTAGCATGAGGTGAACACACCTAATCTTACTGCCTTACTGGATTGTTACAAGAATCAAAGGAAATAAAAAATAGGAAAGAGCTTAAATGCTGTAGTTTGCTGGACAAATCTAAAGCTCAAAAGAAGCCACAAAGGAGAAGTGGTGGGTTAGTGGCTCACAGAGGGCTTCCAAGT
Source organism: Homo sapiens (assembly GCF_000001405.40). NCBI lineage: Eukaryota > Metazoa > Chordata > Mammalia > Primates > Hominidae > Homo > Homo sapiens. Next base: position 116,451,312 of record NC_000005.10, read on the forward strand.
GATAGTCGCAGCTGCTCCATTGGATTCCATTTGCTATTGGTCTCCCATGGGAGAGGAGTAGACCTGTGCTTCCAGGTCCAAACTTCGTGCCTTCTAAATGTAGTCAAAAAGGTGATATGAGATTTCGAAGCAATATAAGGGAATGCATACTGTTTCAGGATGCCTATAGTTACTGAATTTTGAAATAATTAAAACAACAGAAGTGGAAAATGTTGGCAATTATAGTTGGATTCTCAGTGGAGTGCAAATCCTGGGCAAGTACCACATTTTTTCGGCATTTATAACCCTTGCCATCCACAGAGCTCTTAGTTGGGTAACTCAACAAATGATGGCTGAATAAATGGGTTTTCAATACATTGTAGAGCTATTTTTAAATGAACTTCTAAACTTGGGAGGTAATCTTTAGAGTGACTATCACCCTTGCTTTTGAAGTCATGGAAATAAATTCTATCTCCAATCATATAAAAGAATTTTAATAGTAGCATCTATCAGACAAACAAAAATAAATCTATAATGGTGCTCAGTATTTGCTCAAAACAATAAGAAGAGAAACTATTTCAAAAATGAAATTAGTTCTGGGAAAAATCCAAAAGAGTCGATGACGATAAATGGGTTATTTACAACAACAGAGTGCCCCAGTGGAACTGAATAATTAGAAAAAAAAAAAATGCATCTCTGCAAAGGGCAAAGGGCAAAGGGCAACAGGCTAGAGCTGAGTATCCCTTGCTTCAGATGCTGCCTGGAAGCCCTGGGCAAGTAAAGGGCCCTTGGAGGGTGGTGTACTCCCCTCCGCAGGTATCCTCCCACTGCAGAGAGAACAATCAGAGTTGGCTTCTCTACCCTAGGGTCTTGAAATTCCTTCCTCTGCCAACCCCTGCATCCTCTTCTGCTCTTACCAATTGAAAATGGGGCATTAGTAATGAAAACAGTATTTGAAAAATCCTTTGCATTGATTCATTAACCACCAGCTATTTCTCACCAGTCATAAGGTGCTAAATGGTTAGTCTTTCCACCTTCCTATTGCAGGAAGCAAGGCACACCCTGGCTTAGAGATTTCTCTGAAATCATGTCTTAAATTGGCAGAACTGAGAAAGAATAGAATCTCCACTGTTTTTTTTTTTTTTTCCTGAGGTGAGAGTTTTCAGATGCTGGAGGGAGACCTCAGAGAGGAAATTTGAAGTTCTTTAGAGTCCAAAGCAATGAAAAGATTATGAAGGACCCTGCCCCTAGACCCTGCAACATGTGATTCAAAATAAGAACAATTGTAAACTGAAAACTAAGAGGAAGCCCAATACAATTCTGACTTTTCCTATGATGACCATGTTAATAAATTTTGAAATATCAAACACTACATTCCTTATTTTAAAAAATGTTTTCTAGTAGTCCTGCTCATGGATACTATTCCGTGCAAAGGGAACCTAGCACCAGGCTCTGAGACAATTTGCTTTAGAAATGATGTTTTCCCCTAACTTAGGGTTGGGTTGTTTCTTTATTATCACTCTCCTAGTATAACAAGGTTTTGGCTCCAAGCATCTTTGTGGCTGCCTTCAGCAAACATTTACCAAGCACTGCACTAGGTGTCGGGGAAGGACAATGATGAATGAGGCATAAACCAGCAGGGAAGAAGGCAAGTGCTTGCATACAACTCTGTCCAAAGTGTGGCTATGTCATGAGTTACATCACTTCTGCTTCAACAGTGGGCAAAAGCTTTACATTGGAAATGGCATTTGAGCTAAGCCTTAAAGATGCACAGGATCTTAGCTGGAGCAGAGAGAGCAACAAGAACTGAGCCTTGGAGGGAAGGAAAGGGAAGGCCGTAGTGAGTAATAGCAAATGGTCTAACTCCCTTCTAGTCTGTTAGGCTGGAGGCATGAGCCACCCTTCCATACTCAAGCTTGCTTCATGGCTCTCATACAGGCTGTTCTCTCTGCCTGGAATGTCCCTACTCATTTTCCCACTCATCAGACCCTATCTTTAGGGCTCAGCTTAAATGGGGAAGCCTTCTCTGACTCCTTAGGCCAGTTAAGTTCTTCCTTCTAAAGTGTCCCCAGAGCTCTGCATTCCCTTTATTCTAAAATCATCACTAGTATGATACTTGTTTTTCTCACCTAGACTGCTAAAACTCACCACTGAATCTTCAGGCAGAAAGGTGCTCAGTAAATATCTTTTAAATAAATAGTAAAGGAATGCATACATGAATGAGCACTTGTAGAGAAAATACAAGAGCAAGAGCTAGAAATACCATTTGGAAGGCTGTGGACAGCCTTGAATGATTAAAAAAGAGGTTTAGAAGATCTGCCACTCATAGAAGGAAAGTTCTTGGTTAATTTATCTGCAGTTTCTCTTGCCTGAGAAAGCTAACTTTCGGCTTGCTCTGTTCCACATTGAATCCATTATCGCAAAACTCTTGGCTTCAAAGAGTCAGTATCATTGCATCAAAAGCACAGCTAGTCTACCTGCATTTATTATTACTGTTTTTAAAATTAAAACTCTCAATCTTAAAGTATACTAATGCCCTGCACCTTACACAAATAGCTGGGAGATGTTATCTGTCCTATCAAAATGTGAAGCAAACAGACAAGCAAAAATACGTAAAATTAATCACACCTATTAAGCTAAATACAAAGGAAGAGCTCTACTCACCCCCACCCCAATTACCACCCTAAGCGTGTAAGACACAGGCAACCAGTAACCTAACTCGAAATGGTTAAGTGTGCACTTTCCCCTCTCACCCCCTTTCACTGGACGGCCCGTTTCTGAGCTGCTGTGATATGATGGATGTGTCTGTCTCCATAGTGAAGTGATTAATAGGCATCTGTGTAAAGTGGACCCGGTGACCACAAAGACAACAAAGCCTCTCTGTGTCCTTTAGAGAAATATGCAAAGGCAAAAAGGAGGATGGACATTTCCTCCATCACTGAGCCAGAGAGGGTTTGTGTTGGGTCTGAGAGCTAAGAAAGATGGCAAAACACCAAGAAAAGCCCCGGAGTAGCATCCCCTAAAAATAGATTCTTGATTCTGCTTTATAGTAAGACAAGCCTACAATTTCCTTGAAATCCTCATAACAACTTGAGTGAATGGAATCTAACAGCCCAATTTTTCTTGTTTGCAAATCTTACTGCAACAAAATTCCAGGCTCACGGTCCTGCAAGACAGTATAAATGAATGAACTAATCACTAGCCAAGCATCGCCCCGCTAACCACACAGGGCCCGCTGTAATCCCTATTAAGAAGAGAAGAAAACAAACAAGGGAAAAACCCTAACTGGAGACAATTTATTCTCAAAGCCACACCCCAGCCAGTCGAGGTGACCACGCTGAAAGTGAAATGGGAACTCTCTGTGGTTATCTGGGCAGGAAGCAGCCTTCTTCTTGTCTTACGGCATAATGTGAACCAGATGGCTTAGGAATAAACTGACATGCCAGCAGCCATGGAAATAGGCTTGGAGTTTATAACTTAAAGTTTCCTTTTCCTTTAAGTGTGTGTGTGTGTGTGTGTGCATGTGTGTGTGCGCGTGTGTGTGTATGTATGTGTTTTTCCTGGCAGGCTACAGATTAGGTACCAGGAGGGGCCATGGTCTTCAAGATATATAAAGTTAATGACTGACCATGCCAAAGTGGAGGTAGCTTCCTGGCCTGGCTGTTTAATGTCCTGAATTCAGAAGCTATTTTAAAACTCACATATTGAAATAATGCTTGGAGTGGTTGACTGTAGATGAACCCACTTCCACTTCGATCACCTTTAAAAGTGATGCATTTTTGGTTGGGATGTCATCACAGGGATAGAAGGGAGAATGAGCCTGGAATTCATTCTATTTCATTTTTTTAGAGAAGAAACAGCTTCATTTTTCCCTGTGTGCTGGGAACGCTCAGTTCACTGTTCCTCCACTGCTCTACTGCTTTAGAAATGGCATTGCCAATGGGAGTGCTACAGCCAGAGCACGGGCTGATGTCTAGACTAAGAGTCATGATAAGATAATTTTTAAAAGCCATGCCCTGGAATGCTGGTTTGTGGTTTCATGTGTTAGAACTGTTACTGTCCCCGTAAAGGTAATGATTCTTTTACATTGGCAAAGTTTTAGCAGAGTCTGCAAGGCGTATTTTCCTGCTTTTTGAAGTTTTCTTTCATCAGCTTTCTTAAATAAGACGAGAAACACAACATCTAAGTGATTTCTAAAACCAGACAAAGCATTTCTATTTTCCAACTTCCTGGTCCCATCTTTTTCCTTTACTCTCTCAAAAGGCATCAAAGCCACAAAATGGAGAAGTGGACCTCCTTAAAAAATTGTGAAATTTGGGCAAGTCTTTGCTTGGATTATTTGATTACTTGCTTTGAATTTTCTCTATAAAGCAAAGATAAAACAGATATGAAGAAACAGGTCTGTTTCAATACTGCTAAATCTTCCAACTTGAATTTTCTAGAAATGTAGTTCTTGAGATCTGGGTTAAAGATGAGACTGGGTGTTACTGGTTAAGAACATACACTTTGAGCTCATAAAGACCTGGGTTTGCGTGTTGGCTCTACAAATAGCTAACTGTGTGACTTTGGGTATGTCACTCGGTCTCCAGGCCCCAGTAGTGTTGGCTATAAGATGAGCATTGTTGGAAGGACTAAATAGGTTGAATAAATGAACACAAAGCAGTTGGCATTGTGCAGAAAACGTGTTAATGCTCAATTAATAATGTAAGGACAGTATTTCTAGAATGTTTGACAAGTTGCCTGTCTTGTACAGGGTCCAAGATTAGACTATTTTAAGGCAACACTTTGGTAGGGTTCAACTGTGTTAGCCAAAAGTGTAAAAATAAGGATTTACAACTACAACAAAACCTTGACTAGTGAACTTAAATAAGACAGCCCATCAGCAACGTGGAAAATGTCTGAATCAGTGCCACTCAGCATTAACATCACCTGGAACTAATTAGAGACAGAAATCCTCAAGTCCTGCCCAAAGTTTCAGCCTCAGAATCTCTGGGTTAGGCCCAGAAACCAGAACTCCAGATGATTCTTAAGTTCTCTAAAGCTTGAGACATGCTGTCCTGAAATAACATAAATAATATTCCAGAAAACATATCTAAGGTCTCATTGGATAATTTCTTTACTGTGGGTATCATGCTCTGACAAAGAATAGAAATCGACCTTGTTTTATTGGAAAGACAATCAAATTCCTAACAAACACTTTCCCTTAGTATCTGTCAAAAGCATGGCATATAGCTCAAAATACTGGGCTGCTACTCCTGCAAAAGAATCAACCCAATTTGCTTGCACCAAAACTGCTGAAACAATGCTTGTGGTCTCTATTTGCTCTGGTAGGAAGACTTGGAGGAGAATTTCTAATACTCCTCATCTCTGTAACTGTGGCCGTCAGATAGTGGTTGGTACCACAGAGCTCACGTATGTCCTAGATTGGGTCAGCCCAGGCATAACTGGTTCTCAAGTGCAGAAGAAGCAGAATGCTTGATGGAGCCCACCATTGGACAGAGTGGCTTCCTTTAAAGGCCTGCATCTAATATCATCTCAAAACCCACTCCCTCAACTCAACTTACAGCTATTAAGCAACGTTTGAGAATGGTTTAGGGGATGCCAAAATCTTTACCTTCATCTCTGCATGACTAGACGAGAGAAAAGAAACTCACGAAGGTTCTTCTCCTTTATATTCCCGGGGTGAAAAGAGGGACTTGAGTTCATGTGTCATTCACCAAAGTAAGGTCCTGCTTTATAATAATAAAAGATGCCTAGCACAACAGTTCACTCAACAGAGCTCTGTGCTTATTGATCTGCTGAGTTGAACTGAATCTGCAAATCCATAGAATTACATGAGACATTTTAAGTTACATTAAATTTCTGCTGTGTGCTTTTAAATCATGGAGTGCGAGACCCATCAGCACTTAGGGTATATTTATTACCTTAACAAATGTCAGATGATTGTGTCCAGTGCTATCTATTATTTATGAATAACAAGAGGCTGTAAGACTGGAAATGACATGCTTTAATACGTCCAAAAGGTTAGGCATAATGCAGTTTGCTGCCCTATAAATTTCTCGACACCATTTTCCTTTCTAATAAAGCATTGTCAGTGGTTGACTATACCGAACTTCCATTATTTCTATACTGTTCATAATGACTGCCTCTGATTTCAGTAAAAAAGAAGTAATTGCAGATATCTGTTTGAAAAGGAATGCATCCTTTTAAAAAATATGAAATTTAAAAATAATTGGAGTGGAAAAAAATTTATTACCCCATTAAAAATGAATCTCTTTACAAAGATAGTTGTCAGGCTGTAGACTTATAAGAGCTTAAGAAATATTAATTAAGGGTGACAAACCTTCACATTGCCTGTAATTGGCTTTCTGACACCAATTAAGATCCCATCTACTGTGCACCCAGTATATTTTAATATATCCACTACATTTCGGTAGTATACTTCAGGGCGTTTCCACAATTTAAAGTGCTAAGAGATTTACATATGATGAGGTTCACATGGCTCCTTTCAGTCCCTAGAGAAGCCCATACACTTTGCAAGAGTTTATCTATTACTTGCATAACCTGTATCTCCCTGGAACCAACAAATGAACACACCTTTTTCATCCTCTGTCTTTCCAGGATAATGGCATGCGTGATGTAGTTAGTTTGAGCAAGCCCTACGTAGTTTGAGGCCAGTCTCAGGTATAATGTCAAGAAAAGAGAAGCTATTCTCAGGAAATTACCTGATTTCCACTGTTTTGCCCTCTGTGGACTAGTTTGTCTATGGAGCAGTGAAGTTTGCAAAGTAAAACTTCTAACAAGCCTTTTAAAAAAAACTTGGTGAAACTAGGCTATCAGAAAGAAAGGTCTGAGACAAAGCGGATATTATTTTCCCACTTTTCCACATAATGCAAACTACTAATTGATTCTTCACAATTTTATCGTTAGGACAAAACAAAATCTAGATGAACACAGTGCCGTTGAACCAATTAAAGAGCAAATTTTTAACCACTCCAGATGTTCTGTTAATAAGATCACACTTAACCTAGTCCCCGTAGTCCTTGAAAGTTCCATTAAGCTGTCAGAAAACTTTGTCATTGTGTGTGTTTTTGTAGAAAAGATGGGAGAGAATGGAAAAAGAGACTGAGGGAAAAGGGTGGGGGTAAAGTGTCATGTCAAGTAGATGCAGCTTGAAAAAGTGGCTAGAGATTAAAGGTGAGAAGCACCTCTAGAAGGTGAATTGATTTTTTTAATACCCTAAGGTTTAAGTTGGCGTTTTAAAAGCAAAAGTTCAAGTCTCCATAATCATAATTTAAGTCCTTCATTTTTTGAGAAAATGAATGTTAGGTTAAAAAATAAAAGGTTAGTGGTATCCCTAGAAAAGAAAACTCAAATACGGGTGTGCAAATTCAGGCAGGCAGAGAGATGAAACAGCTTTCTACATGGCTGACATTTAACTTTTTTTTTCCTGCTACCCTTTCCACAATAATCTCATCAAGACCTTAGATAAATTCAGCAAGTTGTCAAAAGGATACAAAATTAATTATATCAAATCTACATCTATGCCCACACTACTGAAAGAACAATTACAGCCTGCCACTTGGGCTTCTCGGCTCTGGACCCTCTCCCCCTGCACACGTTCAAACATGGAAACCCACATCATCCATTTGAGAGCCCAGCACCTGACTTGCTCACAATATCATTTTCCTCAGTCCCTCAAAGAAAAGACGGAGACTACATATAGATTCCTTTTCTCGTAGGTGACCAAGAAATATTAATATAGTAAAAATAAACAGTGGCATCCTGGATTATATTATTAATTAAGCCACCGTGCTCAGCTGAACCCCACTGTTTTAACTAAAGAGAGGAAGAAGTCCAAGTTTGGAGTTCAGCTTGCCTGGGGTTTTACCTAGGATAGAGCTAGATAGGCAAGAAGCATCTACCAGGAAAATGCCAGCGATGTGTAGTAACAGACACTTTAGATCCAAAATTGATGCAAAATTCCATTTCCCAAACTTATTGTGTACATGTAATTAATAACCTAATATGATTAAATGAACAATTTATTATATATGTATCACCTGTCAATCTTGCTATCTTTGTCTTTCCCCACTTCTACCCTCCTGTGGTCCCTTTCTTCCCAACGTCTACCTTCCCATCCTCCACTTCCTGTTGCTAAAGCCAAAACTCCTTGGCATGGCATTTAAGGTTCCAGGCTAGGATTTCAATCTCATTTCCCATTCTAGTCGTCCATACACTTAGTCACCACACACTCCTTGCCTCTTTATTATTACACTCTGTAATTTCACAGTGTGGTATCTTGGTCATGGACTTTATTCAGCTTGGAATGCCCTTCCTCCTGTGAAATCTAACTTTTCCTTCAAGACTTTGAAAGGTCTTTCCTGTGTCCCCCACTTGGAATTAGTTGTGCCACCCCTTAGACTCCCTTAGTACTCTCCCTCCCCCTCTTTCCTTGACTTCCCTTACTGTCAGACTTCACTCTGCCCCAGCATTTAGATCACCTTTGGGTATCCCTCACTAAACTGTAAGCTGTCTGAATATCAGGTTTATGTGAAATTCAAATTAGTATCTTCTGTAACACTCAGCATAAGGTTTACATATAGCACATGTTTGTTCAATTTCTGTTGAATGCAGGAAAAAAGAAACAAAGGAAAGGTTGCTGTCTTGCCTTTCTTTGAGATGAGATTGTCAGCATTATTAAACTATTATTTTTTAGTGCTTTCGGAATTCCAGTTCTACCCCTCCAAAGCCATGAAAATGATAAAAAAATAAAAATAAAAATAAAAAGGAGGGCAGCCATATAATTTAGGAAGGAAAAAGGAATACATATGGTTAACATAACAGCTGTTAAAATTTTGAGGTTAAGTAAAACATAAAAGAACCAATAGTTTTAACCATGCTCCTCTTTAAGAACAATTTGATTTCTGAGCCTTCCTTACTTGAAAGTGGCATTTGAAAGCCTGTTTTCAATAATAATCTTTAAATTACTCTTTATCACATTTCAAACACATATATAATATTTCATAGACATTCTCTGAACTCAAGTATGCTAAGAATATTTTTCGTGGAATAAGATTTTTTCTTAAACATATCAGAATATGGATTATTCTAGATTTCTAAGAGTTAAAGGCCAAATGTAATATATAAATTAGATCTTATATATTCACTGAGTAAGTTATCAGTGACATCTTCTATAGAATTGTCAGGTAGCAAAAAGTTTAAGTACTCTCAGTTAATTCGGATAAACAAAAATGTTTTAGTTAAAAGTATGTCCTATGCAATATTTGCGGTATATTTACACTAACAATTATTTAGTTTTGTTTCAATATTAAAAATATTATTCAGGTGTATCTGCAATTCAAATAAACTGAGCATCCTGTATTTTGCCTAGCAACCCTACTCTTCTTTTCCCAAACAGTGTGCTTTAAATGACTCCCACAAATATTCTTTAAACCCACCCAAACTTTCAGAGGTTAAAATTGTTAATCTCTTTTTTTTTTTTTTTTTTTTGAGACAAAGTCTCCCTCTGTCACCCAGGCTGGAATGCAGTGGCACGATCTCGGCTGACTGCAACCTCCACCTCCCTGGTTCAAGTAATTCCCTTGCCTCAGCTTCCCAAGTAGCTGAGATTACAGGCAGTTTAGAGTAATAAAAATGATGCTAAATCTTTACTCTCTAAAAATTAAACTTTTTAATCTCTAAAAGTTTAGAGCAATAAAAATTATGATAAATCTTTATGGGTCGTGTATAGCACAATTTATAAATAAAATACTGATGAACTAAATATTAAGAACTGTATTTTTCATAGTCAGCAACAATACCAGCTTATGTACCAAATTTCTTACGAACTTTGAAGATGCCTTTCCTCTAACCTTCAAAATCAGAAATAAGTGATCTCTAATTCAAAAGAGTTTTTGGAACCGTCACAATCAATTCACTATCTCTTCGCGTTCCTTGCCTCTGACCATGCACGTTCTACCTGACTCAGTTAATTTTCCATTGTTGAGTGGAAGTGAAAACCCTTACCCTCCCATTATTAGTACTCCCCAAGACAGGAGCCCTTTTTCTGAAGTCTCCTTGAAACTGCCTTGCTCTACTCTCACATTTAAAAACGACTGCAATAGGATCATTTTTACTAATAAAAGGAATGCAAATTAGTATGAGTTTTTTTTTTCTTGAAATAAAGCTTAGGCTTAAAAAAAATAAAAGCCTGAGTTTGCCAACACTCCCACAAAAATTTTAAATATGAGTCTTTTACCAAACATCCATCACTTTCCTCGTCTTCCTTGTCAGGTGATGTGTTATTGCTACAATATTGGTACTGAGGGAAAGAACTGAAGGAAAGGAGCTGAAAAACTGTTTCACAGTTCTATGTCCTTGATGTGTTCAGCCAAGTTGTCTTTACTTGTCTAATATATTTTTTTAAAGTCTGTGGTGTGTGGTTTTGGCATTTCACAAAGAGAATGTTGGTCATAAAGGCCTTTTGGTGTGCTTTTGTGTCTACCTGTGTTCCATCTGTCTGGTGTTTGATATTTCTTGGACAGGAACTACGTCTATCTCTAATACAGCCTCTTACTCTTTATTGGCATCCAAATTGCACCACAGAGCCAGTGATAAATTCTGCTTGAGACACCTCAGAAAATGTTTTTGTTAACGGTAATATTACTGAAGAAATGGCAGAGAAAATTAAGCCCAAGTTTAAGAGTCAGGAAAAGAGGAGAGGCCTATTTTTCTTCCTTTATTACTGTCATCAGGAATAATTTTCTCTGTCCATAAAATCACTTACATATGACTTGATAGGAGCCAAAAAATTACCTTCTGTGTTGGGAGAACCAGGGTGCTTTAAAATCCCAAATCCATTACATTTTAAGCATGGGAGAGTGTTAAAATGTAAGAGTAACCAGGGGGTAGGATCTATGATTAACTATACTCACCTAAAATGAGATTTCTCAGTCTGTTAATAAAGACAGCTGACACTGAAGGCTTGGAACTTAGAATAGGTAAAGTTTGAACGGGAGAAAAGGAGAAGGGTCAAGGGTAAGCTATTGCCAGGCCGGGCAACACTGTGTAGCACAAGAGTCCTTCTGGATATCAGCAAAATAGATGAAAAGTGGAAAGGCTTTTCATCAACTTTCCCTAGGCTACAATTTGAGTAATAACTAGCGGCAGACCACACTAGGGTGCTTGCTGCTGGTGTGGAGAAAAAACTTGCCAGATGCTTAACAAGCCTAGAGTGGCTAATTTCTTATTAGTCTAAATCCATGTTACTTTAAATTTCTATTTCATGAAACTTTCCATCCCCAAACACAAAGCTCAGTAGGTAGCAAAGAAATCAGAAGGGCACTGGATTGTATAATTACAACACTTGGAGTGACGCATGTATTCACTTGGTTTTGCAAGCCCAGCCAGGAGAGGGTATAGTGGTCATCAAACCTCATTCTTCCAAATGTCAGAACAAAGTTCTTGGTAATAGTTTAATCTTCCCTGGACTCCTTCAATTGCTACAGTACACAGTCACCTAAACTTTGGTCATTCAACTACCAATACTACAATTTTAGTCATAACAATGAATCTCACCTACCATATTATTTACTTAGTATTTTTATATCCCTCATAACTCCTGCATTATTTACTTAATATTCTATTTAAATTACCTTTAAAATGTATTTCAAAGGGAAACTTGATATCATTATCACAAATAAAAAAAAAGTGTCACTTTTCAACGATAAAATGTAACCAGTAAAACAAAAATTAACTTAAAGCAAAACAATGTTAATTCCAGCTAGATCCAGTTGGAAGACAAAGCCCCAGTGTAAACCCTATTCTCTCTTTGTCAAAAAGAGATAGTAGCAAGTTTAGGGAGTTGTTAATGAGAAAACACCAAACTGAGACTTTTCCTTTCACATAATCAAGAAGATAACGCAGAAGACTGAAAGAGCATTGAAAAGGGCATAAATTTCCACCACATGACTCAATACTCTTGAAGGCCATCACATCCCTGCCACCTAAATCATGCCATGTAAGGTGCTACTCATCTCCCTCGGAGGAAATACTGCTGTAGGCTACTGCAAATTTAAAGATTAAATAATTAACTATAAAGAGAATTATTGATAACATCTGTGATTTATAAAATTCCATTTAGGATTGTGAGATGTGGACAATACTAATCATCTTTATAGATCTTATGAATCTTACCGGAATATTATTTCCCAAACTAAAAACTGCTTATACAAATAGCTTGTACATTGATTAAAATATATTCAACATTTGCTATCCATTTTAGCTTATTCACTTAATCTCTAATTTAAATTCTGTTTCTGTAATACATCTTATTCTTGTCTTTAATGTGCATATTTTCTGGACTAAATGTAATAATGTGATAATATCTCACTTTAAAGATTTCCCAAAAGATAGAAGCATACTACAACTCTGGCATTTCTGATTAAATGGGAACTGCTCTATATTTACTATTTTGTCTGTTTTCTGAGAGCTCACAAGAACTCTTTATTATAAAATAAAGTCTGAAGTAGGGGATTTTTATTCTATTCAGGATATATTCTTGTGTCCTCATAGCAGTGGTCAGCATTTACATTTTATGTGTATGCTACACAGCTCTCTTGGCTGCTCTGGATGTGGCTGATTTCCTTACATACCTCATAGACTTCTTGGAAATCAGCTTTAAAGTATTGTTACTTTTGGTAAGGAATAAGAGGCACAAGAATAGCTATTTGTTCTCAGTATTGTTTAACCTAAAAAAGAAAGCTCTTATTTCTTTTGCTGTGGGAAGCGGTGGTGGAGAATAAGCCAGATCTAAAAATAAACTGGATTTTCTTTCTTATTTATATGTGATTAGAGCCCCTTTGTAACTACCCATTACGACCTCAATAGTTATAGGAGGAATAAATAATATGTATTTTTTAATGTGGCAAAACCAAGACAGAAGTAGTCAGGGCTGCATCTCATTTATCAACTTGGTGATTAAAGGGCTCGCTCTAGAGGCTCCAGACATCTAGAGAACCAGAGATAAAACAGAGCAGTTGGCTGTGTTTTTACTAATGAATCCAGGGCTTGAAAGATATCAGGCAATTTTAAAGAAAAGCAGCAAGGACAAGAGACATTAGACAAGGCCAGTAGGGTAATGAAGGGCAAGGCCAGTTACTGAGAGAGAAAATTACTTCATTTTCTATGATAATGCTTCCGCGTGCTGTGCAGGTCTCTTCTCACGCTTTGTTAGTATGACTGTATATACATACAGCATCAGAATGCTACTCACGGTGTAGAAGGAAAGAGCCTTGGAACATTCCACAGAGGGGCAGAGGGTTTGGGTCTGTTATTTTGAAAGGGGGAGGCTAAGAACAATGGTAGCAGAAGGGGGTTAGGCTGCAAGGTGAGGAAGGGTGTTTCGACAGAATGTGAGGGACGCACAGGATTAAATCAAGACGAAAGACATAGCAAGGAAAAGAAAGAAAAACGCAGCAAACATACTCTGGAAATGGAGAATTGTTTGGAGGATGAAGTGGACAAAGAATGGGACCAGCTCACTGGCAGTCAGCATATCTGCAGAGTAGAGCCATGGGCATGCCTTGCTCACTGGCATTTTTACCAGTGGCCAAAATAAAATGGGCAATGGACACTTGACTCCTCAGTGAGCTGGTCAGCGGGCACATTTTCTGCTTAGTGAGGAAATGTGATGGATTTTAGAAACAATTCCAGAGTATATTTAGCTCCTAAAGCTGGGGCACACAAATGTCACATTCTCATGAGACAATCGACCCAGTAGAAAGAGCACCCGTCACAGGCCCTTAGAAAACCCATGAAACTCTTGCATCCCGGGAGATGCTGCATACACGGATGTGACATCATTAAGGCACCGACATCAGGGAATGAAAAGAAGCGAGGGCATCACAGATTCGTTCAAGTTAAGGGACGCCATCATGAGTCAGAAAAGGAACAAGACTTTTCCAACGGAGTAACGCCATCACTAAGTCATAACACAGTGCTTGGCAAAATGAAACAAAAGTTGAAAATAAATCATGAACATTAAACAAAAAACAATTTGGAGCAAAATGGAAATTAAAATCATAAAAACTATGATAAAAGGAACATTAAGCTACATCTTTTCTTTAAAATTTCTGCACAACAACTCATTGGCATTGCCCCATCAAACATACAACCAATCACAGAAAAGAAACTCAAATTTGACAGGGCAAGGCAAGGAGTTACTAGCACAAGAACAGTGATCATGTTAAACACCCATGCAGTCACCTCTGCCACCATTGTTTGACAATATGTAGACTGCTTCCAGCTTTGTCAGTATAATAAGACCCAAGAGAATGAACAATGCCGAATTTTAAAATGATGTGTCAAAGTGTTAAATGGACTTTTTGAGAACCTCCATTCCTTGGGGGGAGTTAACGATTAGAGAAAATTCACGCTACCCCTCTCAGTGAAATGAAAAGAAAATTACTGCAACCAACAGCTAGATATTTAGTTGGCATATTTAATGCTTTATTGGAAAGGCTGTTTTATTTTGTTTCAGAAAAAACGCAGTGGGCAAAAACAAAGTGATTTCTACTGAGTTTTCTCTTCTTGAGAATACAGTCAGGACTAGCACATCTGAGGTCAGGAGCCACACATAACAAATAATGGCATATGCTAAGGCTTGTAATCTGTCCGGACAGTTTCTCTTCTACCTGGAGCTTTCTCGGGATGGAAAGAGCAGGGAATCCCTCAAACTGAAAGAAGGAGATGAGACAAAACCAGCTTAAAAAAAAAAAAAAAAAAAAAAAAGATTTGGCCGGGAGCAGCAGCTCAAGCCTGTAATCCCAGCACTTTGGGAAGCCGAGGCGGGTGGATCACCTGAGGTCAGGAGTTCAAGACCAGCCTGGCCAACATGGCAAAACCCTGTCACTACTAAAAAAAAAAAATACAAAAATTAGCCGGGCATGGTGGCGGGCACCTATAATCCCAGCTACTTGGGAAGCTGAGGCAGGGAGAATCTCTTCAACTTGGGAGGCGGAGGTTGCAGTGAGCTGAGATCGCACCACTGCACTCCAGCGTAGGCAACAGAGTAAGACTCCATCTCAAAAAAAAAAAAAAAAAGATTTGAGTCAGGGCTTATTACTAAGAGGAAGTCTATAGAAGAAAATAAAATCAGTTAAGAGGACACGCTCAAGAACAAGACAAAAGGGGCTCCATCTTTATATTTTGACTTGGCAAATAGAGCAGCAGAGTGCCCAGCACTCTCAGGAGATGAGAAGCAAAAAAGCAGATGAAAATGTAGCCTGAGAGTCTGACCGGAAAGCATTGTCTAAAAGTGAAGATGGAGATATGTATGCAGAACACTCTGGGGGAGGGTGCAATAGCGACTGTCTTCCAAGGGTCACAGTGGCTGCTCTGCCCTTGAAACTCAAACTCCCGCTTGGATGAAACTCTTGAAAACATATAGAAGTAAACAATTCTGAATGGGGAGAAACAGCTCAGCAACATAACTGGGCTTTTCAGTCTCTGATTTACAAGACTGTTTTTTGGACAAGTAAAGGCCTCTTTGGTTGCAGCTGCAACTAAAGTAGGATGTGTTACCAGAAGCAGCAAATGGCAAGAAAAGAGATGACATTTCCTGTCTGCAGCTAAGCAAAGAAAGCAAAGGAGAATTTAGGACAGTTCACAGTAGAGTCCCTTTCATTTAGTGTGGCTTCCTTTCCGTTGTAAATGCATAGCAATTCTGCTTGATTAAATAACATATTTTTGTCTTAGCTACTATCCTCTAAGGGCAATTACAGTACGTCTGAGGAACATGGCTCTATTCAAATTCAGCACCATGCAACAGTGAGAGATGCTACCAGCCAGAAAAGACTTTGTCCTGCTATTTCTCAATTCACTGATTAACAGGGCCTTTACTTCAATTGCATTCACTTGCCAAAGCCCGAACTGCATTCCATCACATTATGGTGGGAAAAGACGGTCCAAAAATCACAGAATGAGACTAAGAAGAGTGGCAAGGGATGTCAGAAGCCAGCATCTGCTTCGGGCCAAGCCACACCTTTTTCGGGTAGAGGAAGCTCAGAGGACATATTATTTGTTTTGTGTGGTTTTTCCTTGGTCAGAGAATAATTTAGGATCAAGCCTCACATAGAGGATGGGGTTGCAGTCTTTTTCGAGAAACTTTCAATCATAGCGCATTGGAGGTTCCTTAAATGCTGCCAAAATTCAGCTGGAAGCAGTTACACAGTCCTCCCCACTTTTCCCTCCCTCTCCCCCGAGAGGAAGAGGCATTTCCAAGGCCTTACCCTTCTTGTCTTGGTGATTATGGGAAGACACTGCCCCCAAAGGGTCTGTGCTGTCAGGTGAGTCAAGCAGATGCTTCCAGTCCAGCATTCCTCCCCTAGACTCATACCCCTCTTGAGCCGTCGAATCTGATGTGGTTGTGCTGGGCAAGAGGGAACTGGAATGCCCTGTTTTCATCACAAATACAGTTAGGAAAACATCACCAGAGAGACCCACATTCCCTTTGCGCAGAGGCCTGGAGGTGGGACACCCAAGCTGGCTGTAAGACTGAGAGGAGATGGCCCTAGAAATGACACGGCTTAGTGGTGGTGGTGGTGGTGGTGGTGGTGGTGGTGTGGGGTGTGTTCAGCAGAAAGCCCATTGAACTTGTAGTTAGAAAATGAAGGGCCAGATCCTATCTCTCATACTTGCTGGGTGGGCCTCAGGGAATCACTTAACCTCTTCCTGTGCACCCAGTGGGGATAAAGATACCTCTCGGTGTTGGGAGGATAGTGACATAATGGTGAAAGCATCTTGCACAGTGTCTGACACATAGGTGCTCAAGAAAGGCCAGTGTCCTTCTTTGATATTCCCATGGCAGCACTAAACACAGAAAGTGTCCACTCTGGGAATCCCATTTGTGACCGATGGGGCAGGTTTCTGGTAGTGGGTAAGTCTTGTCCCTATCACAAGTAACTCAGTTACTCTGCACCCTTCCTATGGAGGTTCTACAGTGTGTCTAGTCTTCAGGTTCAACTCAACTTCACAGGCATTCCTCTTTCTGGGATTAGTTAGTGGTTTCCAAAGGGATCTATTCCCACTGTCTTTTCATTGGAATGGAGGCTTCAACGGCTACACGCTATTACGGCTGTCCCTTTTGTGTATTATTTCAATAGATGGTTTCCGTTTCTGAGGCTGCGTTGACTAAAATGATTCAAATTAGAAAAGGATAGATTTCTGAGGTTCAGATAAGCTACCATAGGATAATATGAGAAGAATGGCTAGGTTGAGAGTTACAGCAGAAACTCTAGCCATTTCCTGTGAATTCGTTTGTAAGCTCTCCCTCCATCATTCCACAAGGTTAAATACAGATTGTATCAGGTGCTTTGATCCAAGCTGGCACAATGATACCTGTTCTCTCTGGCAGAAATAAAATATGACCTCCTCGTGATTTTCAAGTGGAGTTATTGGCTTACACAGAACAACCTCTTGAACAATTTTTAAAAGATACAAGGGCAACTACTGTGCATGTATAATTGGTGCCTTTGGTGGAAAGTAGGGCAGACTCACAACAACTCCAAAAGCTCCAGCCTTGAAGTATGATCACCATGCACATGATAAATAAAATATTGGCCTCTAGAAAGACAGATTAAAAGAATAAGTACAGTGCATTCTTTTTTTTTTTTTACAATTATTATTGGAAGTTGGATTTCCCCCCAGGAGACTGTAATATTGCAAATTAGACAAAACATATATAACAAAGATAGCTTTTTATCTTCTTAAAACTTTGATTAGCAGGAAAAAGCAAGCCAAGTGGCTCGTCCATGCTATAGTGACTTCTATGGAGCCACCACACTTAAATGCTGCCACAAAGCTTTGGTAACATTGAAGAGGTCCCTTTCTGTATGGCACTTGTTTGGCTCTCACACAAGTGGGAAACATTCAATTTGTTGAAAATAGTCTGCTTCGTATCCAGCTGCTAAAAGCATGTTCATTTAAAATTCAAGGAATGCTTTATTCTAGACTTTTTGTTTTTACATTTCTGAGGTTCACATCTCATGTCATGATACAGATAAGAGAACAGGGGAAGGAAAATCAGCCTGAGAAATGGAAATATAGAAGTTCCTTTATTTCCTTTCAGCTTACATTGAGGTCTAAAACATAACTTTTTTTTTTCCACTCCTGAATTCAAGACTACTTTAATAAAATATATGGTCAGCCTAAGAGAAAATTCAGTGCCCAGCATAAGCAAATAATTAGAAATAGCTTTGTAGGGAGTTAGAAAGAGAAAGTGGGGAAGAATAAAAAATACCTCCCCTCCAAGTAGCAAGATTTCTTTTACCTGAATTGATACGCATTTTGAGCACTTTCAATTTAACTGTGTTCAAGAGGCAATTTTATGGTAATGCCATAAGTATGGTTTAGGGAGAACATTTCTTAATACGGTAATCTAGGGGAAATATATGCCTAAGGGACACATTCTCTGTAGAAAGATTTCCTGGCCCATATGCTGTGAATACATGGAAAACTCATTGGTAATGGAAAGCTATGGCTATGAGAGGAAATTAATGTGGACCAGATGGTAGTTAGGTAAGAGAATGTTTTACACAAATATGAGAAATCAGTCTCTTCTTCCTATCACTGAAGTGTTAGTCTAATACCCACCACATCTCGATTTTCTATATGTAAATCTAGAGAAACCATGCATCTGATTTACTGGAAAGAAAAAACTGAGCAGCATGAGGTTTGTAATCTTTTAAACTTATGCTTGAGGATAGGAAACACGTGCCAGTGGTGAATTAAACAGTCAGAGAAAGCAATACCTGACTCTCAAAAATTTTAGAACCACCCTGTAAAAGCACCATTAAGCAGCAGTCCTCAGTTTGAATTCAAAGATGTGTTATTACCTCTCCAAGCTTAAAAAAAAATTACAAGGAAACCACTTATATTCCATCTTCTAGTCTGATTTTTAAGGTTGTATTATTTTTGTGCATTCCCTAAGAGACTTTGCAACCAAAATAATGCTACAAAAATAGGCAAACATTTGTGGATGTGATATCATATGTCAATAGATTTGGAATCTATATTTTTGTCTTATCAGTCCAATAAGAAAGGTCACCTTTTAATCAATGGAGCTTATGCTTTATCATTCTCATAAAATACAAATAAATAGGTATATTTTGAAAGTTAACGTTAATGCATCATATTGTTTCTCTATATCTACAAGTCATTGTAATTCCAGAGGTTAGATACCCTTCATACTACTCTAACCTATTAACAATGTTTGTAGACAATTAGACACAAAACAGAGACACTAAATCAATACAAGAGAGGAAGAGAGAAGGAAAATAATCAGGGCCCAATTCACTAAAAGGGATTCTTGCATATGTAACTGGTGTGATACAGAGCTTTTGACAAGCAGAAACTCTGCATCGTTTATTGAAATGATCCCTTTTCCTGGGTTGGGCAGTTCTGGTTTTGTAGTTGGCTCTATGAGCCTACACTCAGCCACAGAGTGCAGGACATGCAGAGGATACAGCTAGAAACAGTGTGCATGCACTTTTTACTTTGGAATTGGCTTTCTTGTCTATATCCATGCTCATACAATTAGCAATTTGTTTCTTCTTTCGATGCTACAAATACAGTGCCCAGTACAGTGCCTAGGACACAGTAGTTGCTCAACAAGTATTTGCCGAATGAATTAGTGAAATCTATTCTGGGTTTATTAACTCCAAAATTAACATCCCTTGCAATGGTTTATTTTAAAAAGTTGCCAATATTTTTGTAAGTACTGTCTGAACCAGCTCTCATTTTGATGGTCAATTAATCATCTAACTGCTTCACACTGAATAGATTTAGCCTGAAATGGATAGGATCATTAGCTGAAAGAAAAATTCCACCTCTTCTTTAGTTGCCTCAAGACCTGAAAATGAATGAGCATCATCCCTTAAAGTGTTAACACGGAAGCATTAATAAGTAAGTACCTTTCCTTTTGTAAAGGAAATAAGAGAGAACATAGCTTAGGTAGTGATTTTTGTTCATAAGAGTATCTCATAGTTTAATTATTCTGTCTATTTAAGAAATTACCTGGGAGTTAAAATTGGTCTTGGTATGATTGATGAATGCTGGGGAGGTTGCTGGTTCAATTCGTTTCAAGATCTTAATTTCTCAAAATCTGATGAAGACTATTCAATTATAGGAAATGATCGCAAAGTATCATATTGGAAAAAAGCAGATGCTAAGTGCGGTTTTTTCCTCAAGGCAGTCTCAACTAGGTGACATTTGCCTTCTGAGCAATTTTTCTTCTAGTCTTTGGTGTTCAATATTCTGGTTTCAATCATAGATGAGGGAACATTAAAGTTGGATGAATTCTGTGGGCTTATCTACTCCACACTGCCTTACTTCACAAGGAGGCCAGTCAGGAGAAACCAAGCACTGTTTTCCATACCTACACAGCTCCAATGTATAAGCCAGTCTTTAAGATATTCAAAAAGGCTATTTATGTATGCTAATTTGACACAGGGAGTGAGAGTTTACAAAGAGCTATTAAACACATTTGTAGCCATCAGGAACTATTTCTTTGGATCATAAACCTGCATTGCTTTCTTTTCCTTCCCCTTTGTTTCTTTTCTTTTCCCTTTTTTAAAATTTATTTTTCTCCCTCCCTTATTTACCTATTTCTGTACTTAAAGACTGTCCTGGATCTGTTGCTTGATTATATATCTTAAACACACAAACTATAAAATGGCTGTGTATACATGAAACTCACAGCTTGCATTATAATGCAGAGGCTTAAATTTGCCATCACATGGATGTTTTTCATATCATACTTTAAAAAAACACATGGATAGTTTACCCTAATAAATATTTGGGGGTACCTTGAGAAATGTAAATGGAACAGCTCCATTTCAACTTCTCATATAAAGAGTTCAGAATATTCTGTTTATGGGCTTAGTAGCTTTGTTTAATATAGTGATTGTGTATTTCAGACCAAGAACAATGAGATAAATCCTGTTTGCACATCATTTCCACTGCGTCACTCTTCCTTGTCTACATTCTGAAGAAATCGCACTGAAAACATATCTAAATATTCATACTCTTTTTGAGCTTAAATTTCAGTGGCCAATTTCATACTATATTGGAAAGTTTTGTCTAATAAGAGCCTGACCTGTGTATCCTGTATAGATTTTCGCCAGCAGAGGGTATTGTCCTGAGTGCCAGCATTTTGGGGGATGGTGAACTGTATCAGCTGAGGAGCTATAGTCTATCAGTTAGGAGCATTATTCCTTTGTCTTGGATATACTTATGTTCAAAAGCAATTTCTTCTCCCTCAAGAACTCATTAAATGTATTCACCAAATTCCCTAAGGTTGGCATATTTCATGTTATCTGGATTAAAAATTTAGGACTCAGTCTCCCACATCAATTGTCTCACATAGGCAGAGTAATTTTTGAAGGACGGTGAAATTAATAAATAATTTTAGTGAATTGGGGCCCTAAAGTAACAAAGAATCTGGTCCATGATGTTTAGGAATGAAAACTATAAACTACTGCTGGATGAATGACTTCACGAATTTAAAAAAAAAAAAAAAATCCGTAAACTGACCATACACTGTGTTGTAAGACATTTCATTATCTGGTAGAGGAGTTGAAATGTCTATAAAAAAATGATGAGGATAAAAAATTAATTAAAAAGAAACTTAAGATTTGAACATACTCAAGAGGATTAATGAAATAGACATTCTCAGATAGGTTTCCACCAGTATGGAATTATGAGAGTAATATCTTCCTTACCATTCAGTGCCACAAAGGAATCTGAAAGACAAAAGGGAGGAGAAGGTTACTTAATGTTTTACGCTCTGCTTGGGGCGACTTACATAAGTGGGAATGAGCTAACACAGAACTATGCCAGCGTATGGTCCCCGATACTAAGTAAGTGCTTTTTAATTTCTGCGTGTAATGTAAGATGCCTTCTACTCAGTCCGATTTCTCACCTCCATATCTCTTCCACCAAGTGAATTTCCTCCAAGTCACTGCCTTTGCCAAGAGGCAGAGAAAATGCAAGAGTTGGCAGACGAAATGGTAACTGCAATTATAGGTGACTTCGAGAGTTTAAACCCTTCTTTATACAGAGGGACATGCATATGCATAAGTGATACCTGGAC